>NC_000016.10:19395576-19698607 GCF_000001405.40 Homo sapiens
GCGATGTGTCATAACATAGCCGTGCTCAAGGTATTTAATAGTGTCCAAAGATTGAAATGTTCTTCCACTGATTGCATGAATAGGGGCTTTTGATCCATTATTTGCAGGGACACAAGTCATCCAACTTTGTTTATCATAATTTAAACATCCTGCTGCCGGCCCCAGGCAGATGGAAGGAAAGTGATAACCAATGGAAACATTCATTAACATTCCTTCCTCCTCTGGATGAGTAGGGCCTCGGTTATCTATTGGTCCAGGCATCCAGATACTATCATTAACATGGGGTCTAACCATGTAACAGGCCTAATCAGTGGTGGGAATGGAATGTAGGCCCAGTAAGTGTAATTTTGATCTGCCTCAGCTATGGGGAGACTCACTGCAGGGAGATTACCACCATCATAGCTACCATTAGATTACTGGTGGTCAGCAGCTTGTTCAGAGACCTCAGGTTCTCTTCTGCAATGTGAGCTAGGCTCTTCACCTGCCCCCAGGTCAGTGGAGTTGCTTGGCGAGTTTTACTGGTTTCCATCTGCTCAACAGAGATGTTCATCTGAGCCATCTGATGAACTGGGGGTGCAGGGATGTTCCGAGGTCTTTTCCTCTTCCTTGGATTCTGGCTCATGGCACAGCTTAAGATGTCTTGTGGGCACCCAGACAGGAAGCTGATTCTCTTCTGGTGAGATACAAGAAAACCCTTGACCCCATGTAATGATTTTGCCCTTTTCCCAGGTTTTGGTTCTGATGTCCTTCCACCACACATGTTTTCCTTCATAAGCATTTATTTTTTGCCTTGTCAAATGCTGCTCTGCTGCCATTGTAACGTGATCTCTAGACAAATTCAGAAAATGTGAAGTGATAAGAGCCAATTGTAGCTGCATATAAGGAGTAGCGTATTCTCTGGTTTCCCCCTCTGTCTTTTGTTTTTGTAATTGAGATTTTAAGGTTCGATTAGCCTGTTCAACAGTGGCTTGACCTTGAGAATTATAGGGTATTCCAGTACTGTGCTCGATGTTCCACTGTTAAAGGAACGCCTGTAAAGATTTACTACAGTAGCCTGGGCCATTGTTTGTTTTAATCTTTTGTGGGATGCCCATGGCAGCGAAACAGGGAAGTAATGTCTTAATATGAGCAGCCGCCTCGCCTGTTTGGCAAGTTGCCCATACAAAATGAGAAAAGGTATCTATAGTAACATGGACGTATGAAAGTTTCCCGAACAAAGGTACATGGGTTAGGTCCTTTTGCAACAACATATTGGGGGTTAATCCCTGTGGGTTAACACCAGTCCTTTCACGTGGCAGTTGTACTACCTGGCACTGAGGGCAATGTTGCACAATGCCCTTTGCCTGTCTCCAAGTAATTTGTTATTTTTGTTTAAGTCCTGCTGCATTAACGTGTTAGGGAGTGAAAATCTTGGACATTAGTAAGCACAGTGGAAATTAATAAATCAGCTTGATCATTAGCCCTTACAAGGGGCCCAGGAAGATTAGTGTGTGCTCAAATGTGTGTAATATAGAAAGGAAAACGGTGATCATGCACTGCCTTTTGTAAAGAAGAAAACAGCTGATAGAGTTGTTCATCCACCAGATATTTAATGAGTGCAGTTTCTATGTGTTGAGTGGCTTGAACAACATAAGCTGAATCAAAGACAATATTTACAGTTTGCTTAAAGTTTTCGAACACACCTATAACTGCCTGTAATTCAGCCTTCTGTGCCGATTGAAAGTCAGTTTGAATAATTGTGTTTTTAGGTCGTACGTAAGCTGCTTTTCCATTACTAGAGCCATCTGTAAACACAGTCACTGCTCCTTCCAATGGAGCACTACGGGTAATTTTTGGAAGGACCCATGTTAGCTTTAAAAACTGAAAAATTTTGTTTTTTGGATAATGATTGTCAAGAACTCCAATGAAGCCAGCTAAATTTATTTGCCAATTGACCGAATTAACAAAGGCTTGCCAAATCTGATTTTATTCATTGGAATTATAATCTTATCTGGATCTGAGCCACAAAGTTTAACAACTCTAAGGCAAGCTTGCTCAATCAAGATTGCCATCTGATCCAAGTATACTGTGAGTGTTCTAACAGTATTGTGAGGCAGAAAAGACCATTCAACTAAGTCCTCACTCTGAGCTATAACCCCTGTAGGAGAATGGAGAGTAGGGAACACAATGAACTGTAATGGTAAACTTGACTCTATTCTATTAACCTGGGCCTGTTGTATTTTTTCTTCAATTATTTGTAATTCTTTGTCAGCCTCAGGAGTCAGTTATCATTTACTATTGAGAGCAGGGTCTCCTCTTAAAATAGAGAACAGATTAGACATAACATGGTAGGGATTCCCAAAGTAGGTCAAATTCAACTGATATCCCCTAATAATTTTTGAAAATCATTTAGTTTTCAGAGAGTCTTTTCGAATTTGAACCTTTTGGGGTTTAATTGCCCTTTCCTGAACCTGCATTTCCAAATATTGGAAAGGAGTGGCCGTTTGAATTTTATCTGGTGCTATGAGCAATCCAGCATTGGCTAGCACCTCCTGTAAATATGAATAACACTGGATAAGTTGGTCTCGATTTTCAGCCGCACACAATATGTCATCCATATAATGAATGACATATGAATCGGGAAACTGATCTCTCACAGGTTGAACATCCTTCCCCGCAAAAGTTTGACAAATAGTAGGACTATTCAACCTACCCTGCGGCAAGACTTTCCAATGATATCTGGCTGCTGGTTCCTTGTTGTTCATAGCAGGAATAGTAAAAGTAAATTTCTCAAAATTGGACTCTGCTAGAGGAATATTAAAAAAGCAATCCTTCAAATCTATAATTATTAATGGCCAGTCTCTAGGAATCATGGTGGGCGATGGAAGCCCTGGCTGCAGGGCCCCCATCAGCTGGATGACTGCATTGACCGCTCGTAAGTCGGTTAGCATGAACCATCTGCTGGATTTTTTCTTTATTACAAACACTAGCGAATTCCATGGAGGAAATGTGGGCTCAATGTTTCCTTTGTTTAATTGCTCTTTGACTAATTCCTGTAAGGCCCCCAATTTTTCCTGAGAAAGTGGCCCCTGCTCAACCCAAACAGGATTTTGGGTCTTCCATTTTAAGGGAATAGAACTTGGAGACTCAACAGTGACCAGCCCTAAAAATGGTAACCTAATCCTTTTCAGTCATTTTTTACAGTAACTTGTATGGGTTCAATAATGCCAGCCCCCTGTCTTCCTAGGCCTTTTCTGGGAACATAGCCCATGTTTGACATTATTTTTTGACTAGCTTGACCAAACTGGGGAGAAGGGATTGAAATTTCTGTGCCCCATTGCTGAAGCAGATCTCTCCCCCATAAGTTATCAAGAATGGGCATAATTAGAGGTTGTAGTGTGCCTTCCTGTTCTTCTGGACCAAGACATGGTAAGATAAAAGTACTTTGGAAAACTTCTGAAGCAATTCTGACCCCAACAAGACCTACTGGGGCCTTTTGTTTGGGCCAGTTTTTTGGCCATTGATAAAGAGCTATGATCGACACGTCTGCTTCTGTGTCCACCAGACCCTCAAATTGTTTTCCTTGAATAGTAACCATACAAATAGGTCTATTGTCAGAGACTTGATGTACCCAATAGGTAGCATTGCCTGCTGAATTTGTGTTCCAAATCCTCCTGTTCTTTTTTCTGAGCTTTCTCCTAACTTAACATATGGTAAAAGCAACAGTTGAGCTATTCTGTCACCTTGATTAGCACTCCAGGGAACAGTGGAGGAGATAACAATTTGAATTTCTCCCTGGCAATCAGAGTCCACTACTCCAGTATGTACTTGAATTCCCTTTAAGTTTAAGCTGGACCTTCCCAGTATAAGTCCCACCGTGCCATTTCACAATGGGCCATAAACTTCCACTGGGACCTTCCTAGGAGGCTCCCCAGGAAGGAGGGATATGGCTTCGGTACAGCATAAATCTACTGCCCCACTTTTAGCTGTGGAGGGGGACAATTCCTGTACATTCATACAGGGATAGACTGGGCTGAGGACACTCCGTTTGGAGTTGGGGACATCCCATCCTGAATTGGGAATGCCCCATTTTGAATCGGGGCCCAGGGCTGGCCCTTCTGTCCGTTTCCTGGCAAGTTCTGTCTGTCTGCTGTCATCAAACTTTGAATGACATTGATTAGCACAGTCTTTTCCTTTTTTACTTCTAGGAAAGGTACTTGGTTCCCTGCTTTTTCCTCCTGAGTTTTGCCTTTTTTGGCTCTTTGTACACTCTCTTTTTGTATGTCCTATCTGTCCACAATTATAGCAAGATCCAGGGCACACTCATATGTTTTTTGTTACCCTTAGTCCAGCCATTCCTTGAGCAAGGAGGCTGGCCTTATATAAGTGCCTGCCAATGCCATCACAGGCTTTAATGTATACTCTTAAAGTTTTTTCCTCATTTAGATCTGCCTTTCCCTTAATAGGTCTAATTGCTGCCTGACATTCTGTATTAACATTTTCATAAGCAAGTAGCTGGACGATCACTTTCCTGGCATGAGAATCCAAAATAGCCTTTTGAGCCACATCTTGCAAATGAATGATAAAATCTGGATAAGGCTCCCTTCGACCCTGTCAAACTGAGTTAAAAGAAGGATAAGTAGTACCAGGGTAGTGAATTTTTTCCCAGGCTCTTAGGCATATAGTTCTGAGCTGATCAACAGCCTCATCACCCATTACCATCTGTTGATTTAGAGTACCCCATGCCTGTCCACTTCCAAGCAATTGATCAGATGTGATATTAATGAAAGTTTGGGCTTGAGCATTTCTGCATGCCTGATTTATTGCTTCATCCATCCACCAGGTTTTAAATTGGAGAAATTGAGAGGGGGCAGGGTGGATCAGGCTAATGTCTCCCAATCCATAGGTATTAAATGCTGGTTATACGCCACAGATTGTAACAAGGAATGAACATAAGGAGAATTTGGCCCATATTGTCCAACTGCTTGCTTTAAGTCTTTTAATATTTTAAAAGGAAATGGCTCCCAGCACGCTTGAGCATGTTCTCCAGGCTCCTCAGCTGGCGAAATAATTACCAGAAACTGCCAAGCATCCAAATCCCCCATTTCTCATGCCTGGCAAATGGATGCCTGGATTATCCCTGCGCCATAATATGTATTTGGGCCGGTTCACAGCATTCCTCTACCATAATTAACAGGTGGACCAACCTGGATCATTCCCTCACTGTAATTGGCTGTTGGGCAAGACTGAAGCTTCCCTTTGCCATAGTTAATGGTGGGGCGTGCAACAATGGGAGTGGCAAGCTGCGTCTCAGGCTCTCGTTACAAAAATTCATAAGGCTGAGGCAGGGGTGGCCGTTCCGGACCTTCCCCTAAAGGCGCAGTAGGTGGCACTGTTTCTTCAGTAGGTGGAACTGTTTCTTTCATAAGTTTTTGGAGGTTAGCCCATGTAGCTTCCTGTTTCTCCCCCTTTTTTAAACTAGACTGTGATGGTTCACTTTGCTGATCATCAGACTCATGATTATTAAACTTTTGTATGTCATCCTGAAACTCCTCCTCCTCAGTGTAGAAGGGCTCCAGTGCTGTTTTAATTGCTGGCCACACAGACCAAGTGGAGAAGGAAATATCGTAACCCTCTTGTTTTGCTCCTTGTAAGTCTGATCCGACCTTGTCCCAATCTTTTACATTCATGGTTCCATATCCTGGGAACAAAGGAGAATACTTTTCTATGAGATGGAACAAAGATGTGAGATTTTGGGTACTCACAATTACCCCGCTGTGGCACAATAACTGCTGCACCAGGCTTAAGTAATTTGCAAACTTACTTTCAGCCTGACCCATATTTTCCTGAGGTTACCCTGGAATTCTCCGAGCACCCTACTTACCCGTAGAGCCTGAAGTGAAAACGTACTCGGGCAACCTTTGTCAGTCGTCCTCCACTTTCCACGCTCTGGCGTTTCTTCACTGGATTATTTGTAGAGATTATGGGGAGCCCCACGTTGGGTGCCAGATGTTGGGGAAACCAGCCCCACACCACCCAGTGGGTACCCCAAGTCTGACAGACACAAAGGAGTTAGAAAGAGACAGAATAAGCATTTAAAAGGCGGGTTCAGGGGACCAGAGCATCAGAGGCTTGCTCACGGCCCAGAGCTCTTGGGCTTCACGCAATTTATTGGCTTACAAGCTCTTTGTTCTTAGGGCAGATGGGAGGGGGAGGAAGGGATGAGGAACAGGATTAATCAGTGAAGGAGAACTCGTGAGTCATTCGATAAGATGTGTAGCAGTGGTGGTTTCTGTGAATTTCCTTGAGCAAAGATGTGTGTCTAAACTACTTAAGATCTTTAACTTACCAGGACTGAAACAGGTGGAAGTGGGTTTCAGGAGGAGCCAAGATGTTTGATTATACTCCATTGCTTCAAGGGAGTGTAATCTCCCTGACCAACCTGTGGAATGCCGCTGAGTGGTTATGCTCCCAGGGCATAAAGACATGAAGGCAATAAGGAGACTTTTCTCCTTAGAGGCTGCCCATGGCTTCCCATGGGTGTCTCACACAGAGGAGACCAACTCAACTGGCAACCCAGAAACTCTCTTTCCCACAGGGAAATTGTGGAAGAGCAGGTTAGAAGAGTAACCCTCAGGGGTCGATTTTAGTTTTGTTAAATTTGAGATGTACCCAATATTTTTTTTTTTACGATAGGGTCTTGTTCTGTTACCCAGGCTGGAATACAATGGCACAATCATAGCTCACTGCAGCCTCTGCCTCCCAGGCCCAAACAATCTTCCCACGTCAGCCTTCCAAGTAGCTGAGACCACAGATGCATGCCACCACGCATGGCTAATTTTTTGAGGAATTTTTTTTTGAGAGATGGGGTCTACCTAATGTTGCCCGGGCTGGACTTGAACTACTGGGCTCGAGCAACCTTCCCCTGCCTCAGCCTCCCAAAGTGCTGGGATTACAGGAGTGAGCTATTGCCCCAGACTCTGAGATTCACCCTACTTTTGAGTGGGGTGATGAATTCTGATCCTGCAAGATCACATTGAAAAGGATATGTTTAAAGGGATGGGAGGACTTTGTGATAGCATGTAAAATGGTCAGCACAGTTATTACACGGAACTAAATTTCTTTTTATTTAACAAGCACTTACACACTTTTATGTGTGGCAGGCACTATAGGTATAACTCTTTATATAAGCTACTCATTAAATCCCCATTAAAGCCCAAAATGATAGGTCCTATTGTTGCAGTATTTTTCTTTAGTTCAGCTAAAGATGGGGTTTTTTGTCTCACAGCCACAAAAATTCAGGCTCACAGACAATTCGAATGGTGAGTAAGACAGGGTTTTATTGGGTGGAAAGGGAAGAAAAGGGGGAAACAGGGACTCTTGCTAGGTCAGAGTCCCTGCTAGAGCACTTCCCACCTGGCCATTCAAATCCCAGATTCCACACAGAAAGAGGAGGGGCCAGGCTCCTCCCAGCTGCAAAGTCACAAACTTGTGTGGCTCTTTCCAGTGAGCAGGCCAGTTGGAGAGGTTGGAGGTTCTCTGGGGATCCCCCTCCCACCTAGCTGTCTCATTCCCACCTCTAAAAAAGTACATCTAACTGCCATTAGATTAAGGAAAAGGACAAAGACTGATCTTAACTGCTTCCTGCTGACAGGGGATGCTGTTTTGGGGAAATGACAGTCAGAGCTCCCTCAGAGGTCTATCTAAGGGTTCCCAGCAGAAGGGACCATCATCCCAGGCTCCAGTTATATGACTGTTTGGAGTTTGATGGTCTGAAGGCAAGAACAGACAAACTAGGTTATTAGAAAACATGTATCAAAACGAAACAAGGGGAAGGGGAAGGACAGCTCAAAAATTTCAAAGCCTTTTATCAGTTTGCACAGGGAGAGGGAGACCAAAAGCCTGACTGGCAAAAAAACTTTACCTTTTGCCAGCATGTTGGGCTTCTGGGTTCCCTTCCCTTGAGGCCAATCCTAAGCCCACCAGTTTAAGGTTTGGGAAATTAACTCTTTCCAGTTTGGAGGATGCATCTGAGGGGAGTGTCCCATACTATGGAGACACAATTACCTATCAGTGATGAGAGAACAGAGGAGGAGAAAGGAAAAAGAAGGCGTTTTTCAAAGGAGTCCGGGGGCTTCAGGATGCATTTGAAAGGGGTACAGACTGAAGATGAATGGCTATCCATCTAGAAAGAGGGGAGAAGTCACCCCTGGTTCCCTTCTCTTCCTAGCAGATACCTGGGGTACATGAAGGAGAGAGGGAAGAGCGTCTTCTTTCCTCTTCCATCCTGCATTCCCGAGTCCCCATGACCTTGGCAGGCATGGCCATGAGTGCTAAAGCAGTTTGCACCCATGAAGCAGGGAGGGCCTAGAGAATAGGAATTATTCTCTCTCACCTATGCCTCTATCCCCCCTACTGTCAGTAGCCTTGGAGTTCCCTAGACCTCATTTATGCCATGGATTTTAACGTGGCCATTATCCATGAAACAGGAAGCTTGGGGTTGGCTTAATCGTCAGGAATCAGCCATGCTCACCTGCACTGTGCCTTTTAATTACTGTTGTCATTTGACTCTGGATTCCTCAGATTCAGTTTTCCTTTCCAGGGCTTTGACATGATGCTTGGAATTGAGTTTGGGATAAAAATGTGTCTCGGGGGGATTGCATGGACTCCTTACTATAAGCTGAATGCTAAGGTGAAACTGTGGAACTGAGTCCTCCTCCAACAAGGGAAAGAAGAGGATGTCTTGTGACATGCCCAGATAACTGGTGGCTATAGTTATGTTTGCCAGGATTTGGGTGCATTGTGCTTGGCTTTGGTTAGCTCCCTTGGTCTTACTTTCCCAAAAAGGAAACCTCTGGGTGATGGGCACCCTCTTTATTCCCATCACCTGGCAGGATTTGCGAGATAATTGCTCAGAACTAGAATATTGATCCAGATTTTTACATTAGCCATCCCTTTTGCTCTTTCTGAGTTGCAGTCGGAGATTACTGGTTAGTTCACAGGAACAAGCAGGGTTAGTCTAAAATGTAGGTGAAAACTTAAAAACAACTAGTGAGTTTAGAATTTAATGACAAACATATAAGTTTTGACACATGATTTCTCTCTCTCTAGTCCACATGTTTGTTAAAAAAAAAAATCATCATAGGACTGAGTGGTTTGCAGAATAGACTTCAGTCTTATACTTAGCCTGATTATTTGCATAAAGTGCAGCAAGAATAACTATTTCTACATGGCCTTTTGGATTCGCTTTGATGGAAATTTGTTCCACAGGAATCTCAGATAAGAAGACATTTTAAAGCCAAGGCTAGCCATGGATTTATCCTCAAATTCCCGTGAGTTGGGTGATCCTTTCCTCTTAAGGTCCCAAGATAAAGTTGGAGATCCTGGATGTGTTAGAAAGTGACGTTCTTTACTGACCCCAAGTCAGGAACCCTGTACAGGGACTGCGTAAGCAAGGGTATGAAGCCAGTTTCCCCCCTGGGCTTTTATTGGCTCTGCAAGTCGAGATTGACTCCTTAAAGGGAAACATACCCTTCCAGTCAAAGCCTTGGTAAAATAACCACTTTCTCCAATTGTGTCCTGTTGCAAAAGAAAACTGGATTCTTATTTGCACTGATGCAAACAACCATATTGCTGTAATTTAAGAATACTCACACATAGTTTCCAAATTCTACAGGAACCAGGTGGAGAGAAACAGACGTGCTCCAAATTTTGTTTCCAGGAGTATACCTTGCTCAATTATTAAAGGCCATAAATAGTTCAAAATAAGTTTCCTTGACTCTGAAAAACAAAACAAGGATTAGCAATGTTCCAAGCAAAAGTCAGAAAGGTTTCTTCAGCTTTTTGAGTTCAGTCCATTTAGTTAACTCTTGTTTTGCTTGATATTTGTGAACATTTCAGCTCTTTATGAGTCCTATACATTTTCCTTTATCCAATGGTACAATCTCTAAAGTTATCAGAAGTTTGTATTTGAGAGCACCTGTTAAAGTTCTATAGCTCATTATAAACTGTCTTTGAAAAGGATTAAAACAGGACAACAAATGTCTGTGAAGAGCAAAATGTCCAGGGTAGTTACAGTTAGAAACAAAATTGACAAAGAAGTTTGGTTACCTCCATGGTTTACAACAACATAACATAAAAACCTTAATTATGATTGATAGCATATACTCAGACACAAGAATTTTAGAAATCCCATATAATTTTGGAACATATATTAGCATTATTTACCAAAAATATAATCTAAAGAAGATTGAACATCATTTTGGCAATCCCATGTACCTAAACATGTCAAATAATCCTGTTTACCTCTCTTTTCTGGACACTTATGGGCCCTCTGAAACATCTGAAAAGCCAGGTGTTAGGAAAGACAATTTTGAAATTTCAGTTTGATTTTGGGACGCCTTTTAAATATGTTTAAAGCACTTGATATTATGAAATAGAATTCCAGGTTACCATAAGTTATTTATTTTGCCAAAATAATGACTCAGAAATTTAAAAGAAGCAAAAACCTTTTATAACCCTTTATGAATTTTGCCAAAGAGCAGATTGGCATTTTAAGAATACCTTGTTGTGTTTTTATTTCAATTCTCAATTTACAGAAAAACCATATAATACCCTTTTGAATTTAATTAATATGTTCACACAGAGAACCTTTTCTGCAAGATTAATCTCCACAATTCTTCCACCACTTCTTTGAACTTTCAGCTTTTTCCTATCTAATTTAAAACAATCCTTTAACCCTAGGCAAAAATGTATATTTCCATGCCTTCTTATAACCTTTTACAAAAAAAAAAAAAAACCCACATCGTACTGTTCTTACACATCTTGCACGTAAATCTATTTCCAGTAGTTTCAATTACATGTTATAATGGTAACCCCTAGCAATTTTTAACTTTAATTTAAAACCTGGCAAGTTGTTTTAATTGTGTGCTAAGTACAGATAAGTTTTGACTCCACTATAATTAAGGGTATGGTTAGTTGCATAGGTCCCCAGGCCTTACCAGTTGTGAAGCTGGCAAGTCAAATAGTTCTCAAAACCCAAAAAGCAGTTTGTAACCTCAAAACACTTAGCAAACCTAGCATTTGACCTGCATTATTTTGTCCACCTACTCACATTTTAATGACATCTGCTTTTTACAAATAATCTTTAAGACTGTTTTTATTTCTCAAAGATTAAAGTCATGTGAACTGAAAGGTACCACAGCTTTTATCTCCCCTTTAAAAAACATTAGATGCAAGCGCTTGTCTTTCTTTAGGCCAAATTAATTAGAGCTCTTTTACAGACATCACATATAATACACACACAGACAGGCAGAAGAAAACCCAGTCCTCTGGGTAGGGCCCTTTAACAGAAAAGGCTAGGAAAACATGCAAATATCAAACCAGAAAGAAACTTATTCCCTAAGGCAGGACTGCTAAACAAAGCCTTGCCACCACAGTTACAAGCCATGCCCTTGGGATGTAAAACAAGATGGAGGCTTGATTTCACAACTAAAACTTTGCAGAAAATATAAACAGTGATAGCTTTGGGGACTGGCCTAGTAAAAACGATTTCTAAAAGAAAGAAAAAAAAACTTTAAAGGTTAACTGCTGATAGGGTGGACAATAGGAAAGAAAAATAAACAGTTTAAAAATGCCTGGGGAAGAATGTCTTATTCTTATGCAAGTGGTTCCTCCACCAGGGAGACAAGTTTAAGCTTAATTACTGTCTGGTAGAATTAAACTCCTTGGCTAGGGAAAGGGAAGGCCACGGCAGGTGGCACGTGGCTGGGAACCAGCCAGCCAGCTGAACCCTTGGGCCATGCATCCCAGCCCCATGAGGGAGTGGGGAGCAGCGGGGAGCTGCTGCTTTCTGGTGCATCCCAAAAGAGGAAGGAAAAAGCCATGAGCATTAAAAGGCTCGGAAGGGAGAGAGAAAAATAATTCTTGATTTGCATCTCACTCACCACTTCTCAGGCCCCACGTTGGGTGCCAAAAATGTCGCAGGGCTTTTCCTTAGTTCAGCTAAAGATAGGGTTTTTTGTCCCATGATCATGAAAATTCAGGCTCACAGGCAATTTGAATGGTGGGTAAGACAGGGTTTTATTGGGTGAAAAGGGAAGAAAAGGGGAAACAGGGACTCTTACTGGGCCAGAGTCTCTGTTAGAGCACTTCCTACCTGGCCATTCAAATCCCAGTTTCCACACAGAAAGAGGAGGGGCCAGGCTTCTCCCTGCTGCAAACAGCACAAACTTCTGTGGCTCCTCCCAGTGTGCAGGCCAGTTGGAGAGGCTGGAGATTATTGAGGGACCTCCTCTCACCTGGCTGTCTAACTATTATTGCCCTCATTTTACAGATGAAGAAACTGAGGCAGAGAGATTAAGTAATTTGCCCAAGATTATGAAGCTAGTAAGGATATAGCAGACCTGGAATTCAAAGTCAAATAGTATGGCTTCAGAGTCCCTGCACTTAACTACTATGTTAATTAAGTAATTCATTGAATTATTTCTTATTACATGTTGGCTGTTGCTGTCATCATTATTATTTTCTTTTTCACCTTTTAACATTAAAAAAAATTTTTTTTGAGACAGGGTCTCGCTCCATTGCCCAGGCTGGAGTGCAGTAGTGCAGTCATAGTTCATGACAATCTCAAACTCCTGGGTTCAAGCAGTCCTCCTGCCTCAGCCTTCTAAGTAGCTGGGGACTATAGGCCTCTGCCATCATGCCCCCATTATCCTTGATTCTATTTACAAAGCAGAAAAGATCAAATGGACAGATAACTGTATTATATACAAGAAATTAGACTTGCCATGTGACCTCCCAACTTTGACTTTGACTCAGATGCTCACTGAAGCATTATTTCCTTAGGGAAACCTTCCCTGACACTGGGAGAATGCCCCTAATTATAAATTCTTACAACATTATATACCTCTTCTTGGTTGCAATAATCATAATTACATTTATGTCATTGTAAGGACATAATGACATTTCAATATTGTGGTAAAAACACACGTTATTAAATTTACCAGTCTTAATTATTTTTAACTGTATGGTTCATCAGTGTGAAGTATAGGAAGTATTCACATTTTGTAACAGATCTCTAGAATGTTTTCACCTTGAAAAACTGAAGTTCTATGTTCATTGCACACAAATTATCTCCCTCCTCCTTTCTCTAAGCCATTGGCAACCACCTTTCTCCTTTCTGTTTCTATGATTTTCATTGCTTTAGGTACATCCAATGATTGAAATCATACAGTATTTGCCCTCCTGTGCCTGGCTTATTTCGCTTAGCATGATGTCCTTGAGGTTCATCCACGTGGTAGTATGTGATAGGATTTCCTTCTTTTTTAAGGCTGCACAATACTCCATTGTATGTATGTAACCACATTGTCTTTACCCATTCATCTGCTGATGGACATTTAGTTTGCTTTTAATGCTTGACTATTGTGAATAATGCTGCAATAAACATGGGTGTGCAAATATCTTTTGTTGTTGTTGTTGTTTTGTTTTGTTTTGTTTTTGAGGCAGGGTCTTCCTTTGTTGCCTGGGCTAGAGTGCAGTGGCACGATTACTGTTCACTGCAGCCTCCACCTCCCAGGCTCAAGCCATCCTCGTACCTCAGCCTCCTGAGTAGTTGGAGCTACAGGCATGTGCCACCATGCCTGGCTAATTTTTGTATTTTTTTGTGGAAACTGGGTTTCACCATGCTGCCCAGGCTGGTCTCAAACTCCTGGGCTCAAGTGATCCACCTGCCTCAACCTCCCAAAGTGCTGGAACTACAGGCCTGAGCTATGATGCCTGGCCCGGATGTCATTTTGAGACCTTGCTTTGAATTTTTTTAGATATATACCTTTCTGTTTTTGTTTTTTTGCCACTATACTGTTTTCCACGGTGGCACCCAATTTGCATTCCCACCGACAGTGCACAATTTCTCCACATCCTCATCAACACTTATTTTTTGTTTGTTTGTTTTTGTTTTTTGATAGTGGCCAGCCTAGTAGATGTGAGCTGGAAATGTTGCGGGATTTTTTTTTTTTTTTTTTTGAGACGGAGTCTTGCTCTGTCGCCCAGAGCTGGAGAGCGGTGGCGCGATCTCGGCTCACTGCAAGCTCCGCCTCCCGGGTTCATGCGATTCTCCTGCCTCAGCCTCCCGAGTAGCTGGGACTACAGGCTCCTGCCACCATGCCCGGCTAATTTTTTTGTATTTTTAGTAGAGACGGGGTTTCACCATGTTAGCCAGGATGGTCTCGATCTCCTGACCTCGTGATTCGTTGGCCTCGGCCTCCCAAAGTGCTGGGATTACAGGCTTGAGCCAGTGCGCCTGGCCTGTTGCGGGATTTTTAAGGAATCACAGAGACCTATGGGGTTCAGGAGGATATTTATTAATTATTTAGGTGCACCGGCCCAGTCGGATTAACATCCAAAGGACTGAGCACTGAACAAAGAGTTAAGTTAACTTTTAAGCATTTCGTAGGGGTAGGGAGATCTGTGCAGGGGGAAGCATACTACAGAAGCGAGAAACAAAGGCAGTTATTCAATTGAGACATGCATTACATCATTTCTTACTTTTCAAGGAAAAACATGTTTTGTTACTTGAGTTTATCTGTCTAGTGACCTTGCAGCTACACAGCTAGGGAATCAGGGTCTTCACAATGCCTGGGAAAGGAGGGGAGAGAAGGCTCACTAGCCACAGAAAAATAGGCAGTTAGTTTTAAAAGGACTCCAGCTCTTTCTCTTTCTCAGGGGGAATTGAGTTTTCTTACATACAACTGAGTTTCTGCTTATACACTCTTTAATTTCTTTTAATTCCTGTTCCAATATCTCATTATGGTTTTGATTTGCATTTATCTCGTAGTTACTGATAATCATTAGAGGACTTGCATCTCTCAGGATTAGATGATGTGGCTCTTGGCCAGAGTTTTGGAGAGCACAGCCCTGGCCCATGAGCCTGCTGGGTCCTCCGAGCGCCGCCCCACCCAGGCCTGCGCGGCGTCTGGTGGCCATCAGGTAAGGCTGGGTCATGGAAAGAAAGAATGAATGCAGACTACGGGCGGTGAATAGAGGTCTCGGATGCCAGCAGGCGTCCCAACCCAGCAGGAACTGGCTCAATTCTCAGAAGAAAGCGATCGGCCCCGAGGCAGGAAGGCCGGCTCCGGTGCAGGGAGCGCCGCCTGCGGGCTGCTTCGGGCCAGGGTCGACCCGAGGGCCAGCGCAAGCAGCGGCAACAGGAGCGCCAGGAGGTGAGGCGGGTTCGCCAGGAGTGGGGCCAGCGCCCGGGCTGCCAGCCTAGCAGGGGCGTCTTGGCGGAGCCCCCTCGCCGGCTCCCAGAGAGGCTGGGAAGAACTGGGAGGGGTGTCCCCAATGCGGGGCGCCCAAGCGTGGCAGCACGGGCTGGGAGCGGGGAGCCAGCGGGGTGCGGCGCCGGAGTGCGGGGAGAACCACCAGGCGCCGGAATTGGGGAGCACGTGGAGGGGGCAGCGGCTCCAGCCCCAGACCGCCGCGCTCTGTCACTTTGCATTAAGAAAGCTTCCGGGGAATGCACACGGCCTGGCCGCCGCCTTCGTGCAGCCCGCCCTGCAGGTGCAGGAAGAAAAGAATAATCGCACCCGTTTCTCAGGTGCTTACTTCACCATGTCCGATCCGGTAAGTTTTTTATCTGAGCAGCGGCCTGGGTGAGAGCGAACATGAGCTTTGGAAGCGCACTATTTGTGTGTTGTGCATCTCTGGACAGGTTACTTATGCTCTCTGGGCTCCAGTTTCCACACCTGTTTAAAAAAACAAAAGGAAAAAGAAAGGTTAAAATTAGACTTCCCTCACAGAGATTCTGTGAGCCTTGTTTGCTTCCTAAATGTTAGATGTTGTTATTTCTCCTGGGGTAATCTACGAAATAGGGTCTCCTGGTCCTATTTTACCCTTGGGAGATCCAGTTTCAGACAGTTAAGTAACTTGACCACAGCAATTAAATGGAAACTGTGGGATTTGAACTCAGGAAGTCAAACTCCGGAGACTGAATATTATCTAATCCAGGTCCCACCATTTCTCAGAAGGGTGAACTTGGGTTTGCCACTTCTGGGATCCTTTTCCCTATCTGTGAAACAGGTGCAATAATAGTAGCTTGCCTATGGGGTTGTGAAGATCTACTGAGCTAACCCACATACGTGTCCCCCTACTAATGTGTGCATTCCAGAAGGGTAGGATTTTTTTTGTTTTGCTTGCAGATACATCCCCAGTGCCTGGCACACAGTAGATGTCCTATAAATACTTGTTGAATGAATAAGGGGCATGTGTTACCTTTTATCCTTTCAATAACCCCTGCTAGTTCCAGACTGCAGATTAGGAGACAAAGGTTCAAAGAGGTTGAATAAGTCACCCCATGTTACCTGGGTGGTCTGTAGAGGAGTCTGTGTGATCTTGACATGCAATCCAGGTTCCATCACCTCCTAGCACAGTGAATGTGGCAGTTATCTGATTCTTCTGTGCCTCAGTTTCCTTATCTGTAAAATGAGGACAATAATGGCACCTATCCTATAGGGTTTTTGTGGGATTTTTTTTTTTTGAATTGTTGTCTCGCTCTGTTGCCCAGGCTGGAGTGCAGTGTTGTGATTGTAGCTTATGCAGCTTCAACCTCCCAGGCTCAGGCGATCCTCCTGCCTCAGCCTCCCGAGTAGCTGGGACCAAAGGCACGCACCACCATGCCTGGCTAATTTTTTAAATTTTTGTAGAGATGGGGGTCTCACTATGTTGCCCAGTCCAGCCTTGAACTTCTGGGCTCAAAAGATCCTCCTGCCTCAGCCTCCTAAAGTGCTGGGATTACAGGCATGAGCCACCAAGCCCGACTTTCTTTTTTTTTTTGAGACAGTCTCGTTCTGTTGCCCAGGCTGGAGTGCAATGGTGCAATCTCAGCTCACTGCAACCGCTGTCTCCCAGGTTCAAGCAATTCTCCTGCCTCAACCTCCCAAGTAGCTGAGATTACAGGTGCCCACCACCAGGCCTGGCTAATTTTTTTGTATTTTTAGTAGAGATGGGCTTTCATCATGTTGGCCAGGCTGGTCTTGAACTCCTGACCTCAGTTGATCCACTCGCCTCAGCCTCCCAAAGTGCTGGGATTACAGGCGTGAGCCACCGCACCCAGCCCGAGCCCACCCTTTTGTGGGGATTAAAGATGAAACACTCGGAACAGTGCCTGGCACTTAGTAGGTGCTCAATCAACATTAGCTACAGTAAATGCTGTGACCGCCCTCTACAGGAGTGGGGGAATGGCACAGTAGTTGCATCCATAAAGCACTTTTTCCTTGAACCCCTTCTCATCTATTTATTTATTTAGTTTTAGAGACTGAGTCTTGCTCTGTTGCCCAAGTTGCAGTGCAGTGGCACAATTGTAGCTCACTGCAGCCTTAAAGTCACGGCTCAAGCGATCCTCCCACCTCAGCTTCCTGAGTAGCTGGGACTACAGGTGCTCGCCTCTACACCCAGCTGATTTTTTAATTTTTTGTAGAGACAAGGTCTGGCTGTGTTGCCCAGGCTGGTCTCAAACTCCTGGCCTCAAGCAATCATCCTGCCTCAGCCTCCCAAGTAGCTAGGGCTTTAGGCGCACCCTACCACCCGCTTCTCATCTAGACAGTCACCTTGCAGGGATCTCCACCTGTCAAAGTTTTGGAGAGTTCTGTGTTCTGGTAGGACAAATGCTGCCTTTAAGTGTGCCAGGGCAGGCTGGGCATGGTTACTCAAGCCTGTATTCCCAGCACTTTGGGAGGCCAAGGTGGGCAGATCACTTGAGTCCAGGAGTTCCAGACCAGCCCAGAGAACACGGCAAGACCTCGTCTCTACTAAAAGTACAAAAATTAGCTGGGTGTGGTGGTGCATGCCTGTGGTTCCAGCTACTCGGGAGGCTGAGGCACAAGAATTGCTTGAGCCCGGGAGGCAGAGATTGCAGTGAGCTAAGATTGCGCCACTGCATTCCAGGCTAGGCGACATTGCCAAACCCTGCCTCAAAAAAAAAAAAAAAAAAAAAAAAAAAAAAAAAAAAGCCAGGGCAGTTTCTGGGGACAGTAAGGCTGGCATGGGATGGGAAGGGCATTGTGCTTTCCTCTTAGTGGGAGGCACTACATCCTTTAATATGGTACTTGGTGGATGAGGAATCCTAGCCTTTTAACATAATCATAGTCTTTCATGCCTGTTCTGCTTACCATGTGTCTGATATTGTGCTTAGTCCCAGCCCTAGTCATCTACAGAACTCAGGCTCCAGAGCCAGACCTCCTGGGTTAAAATCCTGCCTCTGCCACTTTCTTGCCTCTGCCACTTTCTTGCTGTGTGACCTTGGGCCAAGTTACTTAACCTCTCTGTGCTTCAAATGACTCATCTGTAAACTGGGATGATTCTAGTAGTACCTAACTCATAGGGCTGCTGTGAGGATTAAATACAACCCACACATAGACGGTGACAGAACAATGTAAGGATAAATGTTGGCCACTTACGTATTACAATGACTTCCATTTTATAGCTGAGGAAACTGAGTCAGGCTCAGGGAAATTCATAACCCATCCAATGACATAGAACTATCCTTCCTGTTCCAGCGTCTGCTCATTTATTTTCATTTCCCTCTTAATTCATGCCCCCCTCATTGTACCCCCTAATTCAATCATCAGCCTCTATCTAGGGTCCCTGCTTTCTGTGTCTGGGGCTCCCACATCTGCTGCTTCCAGAAGGTTCTCCCTCTTTCTCACTTCCCAAACTTGAGGAGCTCCCAGTGACCTTGGAAATAGATCTTTTTCTTTGACTGTTCCTGTTGTTTTCTCCAATTACTAACACAATACTCATGCAAATTATTTTAAAAATTTATTTATAAAAATATTTTCATAGAAGGTGAAAAACTCTGCTAATTCACCCTCTGGTGATAACTGCTGCTTGGAGTTTCATGTGTGTTATTCCAGATTTCTCCCTCTCCTCCTGGGTGTAATAATACAGATTATTTTTACTTATCTTTTAAAAAGATGTGACCGTGCTATTCATACTGTGTGCAATTCACAGGAGACAATTTTCAAGATTTCACTTATTTTTTGAAAAAGTTACACTGCCACGTGGTATAAAACCCCAAAGAGACCAGGCACAGTGGCTTGTAATCCCAGAACCTTGGGAGGCTGAGGCGGGAGGATCGCTTGAGATCAGGAGTTCGAGACCAGCCTAGGCAACATAGGGAGACCACCCCCCGATCTCGACAAAAAAGAGAAATTAGGTGGGCATAGTGGTGAGTTCCTGTAGTCCCAGAGCCTTGGGAAGCTGAGGCAGGAGGATCGCTTGAGGCCAGGAGTTCGAGACCAGCCTAGGCAACATAGGGAGACCCCATCTTGACAAAAAAGAGAAACTAGGTGGGCATAGTGGTGAGTTCCTGTAGTCCCAGCTGCTCAGGAGGCTGAGGCTTAGGCAAGAGGATCGTTTGAGCCCAGCCTGGGTGACAAAGCAAGGCTCTATCTCTAAAAAAGAAAAATGGAAAAAATCCAAAGGATATCTAAGCAAATACTGAAAAGTATCTCCCTCCATATCTATCTCCAGCCACCCAGTTTCTCACTCTGGAAGCAACCAGTATTGCCAACTTATTGTCTACCTGCAGACAAGAAACGTATAATTACAGTTTATAGGGCATATATGTGTCATAAACCGAAATATGTAAAAATATGGTATAGTTTCTAGAAGAGGAGAAACAGAGGGGAGAAAACTCTATTAGAGAAAATGTTGAGTTGCTGATTTCCTTGTCCCACGCAATGGAGAGCGAGGAGACACTGTCCATGGAACTAGGTAACATTTAGAGCAGTGGTTCTCAGGGGGAGGCAGTTTTGCCTCCCAGGGGATATTTGCCCATTCCTGAAGACATTTTTGGTTGTCGTAGCTTGCAGATGGGGTGGGGTTGGGGTGTCCTCCTGGTATCTAATAGATAGAAGCCGGACATACTGCTAAACACCCTACAATGCACAGAGCAGTCCCCCCAGCTCCCCACAACAGGCAGTTGTCTGGCCCCAAATGACAGTACTGCCAAGGTTGAGAAATCCTGACTTATAGCTACAAAAGAATCAAAATCACTGCTTTGACTTCTTGCCAGGAGCTCGTTTGGCGCAGCTCCACAATGATTGGCAGGCAGAACCGCACGATCCAGGTGTTCCTAGAGTCAAATGCTGCCAGGTACTGCCCTTTCACCCCAGTAATGACAGCTCTTGGGGCAAACCAAACTGTCTTCTTGGAAACCACCACCCTCCTCCTCTCATTTCCTCTGATCATACAATTTATAACTCAGGTCTCTTCCACAGGAGAAAATTCCATTTCTCCATTGGAAAGCCACTGTTTTGCATTTAGTGCTAATACATCAAAGATTGGGGCTGGGTGCAGTGGCTCATGCCTGTAATCCCAACACCTTGGGAAGCCAAGGTGGGATGATCACTTGAGCCCAGTAGTTTGAGACAAGCCTGGGCAACGTAGAGAGACCCCATATCTATAAAAATTTAAAATGTTAGCCAAATGTGGTGGTACATACCTGTAGTCTCACCTCCTTGGGAGGCTGAGTGAGGCAGGAGGATTGCTTGAGCCCAACAGTCAGAGGCTGCAGTGAGCTATGATTGCACCACTGCATTCCAGCCTTGGTTGACAAAGCAAGAGCCTGTCTCAAAGGAAAAAAAAAAAAAAGAGGAACGGTAACTATAGACCCCAATACTTTCTGTGAATTATAGAACTAGGACATTCTTTTTTTCTTTTAAATGATACTCCCCCAAATGCAAATGCCATAGGAAACAGATTTTGTTTGTTCTGGTATTTGTAAAAATACAGAAATTTGATCCAGCCCTCAATTGTCTACCTCCTTCTTTATTTCTGTATGAATATAAAATCTCCTTCTCAGAGAAAACCCTTTGTGATGGATTAGCATCCCATCTGCTGGGGTTTATCCCTGGGAATGTGAGTCTTAGGTGGCTAGAAATAATCTTAGTCCAAACTTTCTCAAATGTTAACTGATGTAGCCCTTATCAACACTAGGAGGAGGGAGTGTATATAGTTCCCACTTTGTAGGTTAATGGGGAGGAAATTGAGGCTCAGAGGAGTTGAGACATTACAGTCTTAGAGTGCCAGAGTCAGCATTTGAATTCGAGTCAACTGTCTTGAAATGTGGGCTGGTTTTATACTGCCTGTCCTTTGTTTCCAGAAGGGACATGCCATTGGTGATCATAACTACAGAGTTAAACCTGTATGGTCCGCATGTTGCCAAAGGGGATGTATCTATAGAAAAATGTGGCCAGGCGGCCAGATGCAGTGGCTCATGCCTGTAATCCCAGCATTTTGGCAGGCCGAGACAGGTGGATTACCTGAGGTCAGGAGTTCAAGACCAGCCTGGCCAACATGGTGAAACCCCATCTCTACTAAAAATACAAAAATTAGCCAGGTGTAGTGGCAGACACCTGTAATCCCAGCTACTCGGGAGGCTGAGGCAGGAGAATCACTTGAACCTGGGAGGCGGAGGTTGCAGTGAGCCCAGATGGCGCCATTGCACTCCAGCCTGGGCGACAGAGCAAGACTCAGTCTTCAAAAAAAAAAAAAAAAAAAAGAAGAAAAGAAAAACGTGTCCAGGCCAGGTGCAGTGGCTTACGCCTGTAATCTCAGCAGTTTTGGAGACCGAGATGGGTGGATCACTTGAGCTCAGGAGTTCAAGACCAGCCTGGGCAACACGACAGAACCCCAGCTCTTCAAAAAATACAAAAATTAGTCAGGCATGATGGCTTGCACCTGTGGTCCCAGCTGCTTGGGAGGCTGAGGCAGGAGGATCCCTTGAGTCCAGGAGGCGGAGGTTGCAGTGAGCTGAGATTGTGGCACTGCACTCCAGCCGAGGTGACAGAGGGCAACGCTGTCTCAAAAAAAAAAAAAAAAAAAAAAGGAGCCAGTGCCCGGGGGTGTCTAGTGGAGCATCACGTTCCATTCTTTGTTGGATTAATGAATTCAGGTAGTCTCTTCCCACACCACCTCACACTCTAGGGTTAAAAAAAAAACACAAAACGAATCTATTTACTTCCTTATGGTGTCCAAGAAATAAAATAACCTCTAGAAAGGACTTTGATATTTTCATTGAGCTGATAACAAAAGAATATTAATGAGAGGGAGGAGTTAGGGCTTAGGAAGAAGGAAATGCACAACTTGGGACCTGAGTTAGGCCTTCATCGTCGCGGACTCAGTAGACAGAGGCCATAGGTGCAGCTGTGATGGTAGAGGTGGAAGACTGATTTGCATTTTCACCAGGTGAGACCTGGTTACTCATTGGTTGATGAGGAAAGAGATGATAGCCAGGGCGGCATAAAACGGCAATGAGCTCAGTAAACAACCCCCTTCCCGTGATCTTCGTGGCTTCCCGCCCAGACGTGTGACCAAGATAGCAAGGAGCAGTCTTTAAGGCGACACGGCAGAGAGGCAGAAAAAGATGGGCCTTACCGGTTAGTTAAGAAAAAAAGAGGACCTGTTGCCTGTCCCTCTAGCTTTGAACTACAAAGTGGAGGGGAAGTTTGTCTGGATTTTCCTGTAGAACTGAGGGCAGGTAAGTGAAAGTGCTTTGAAGGAGGGGTGGGAGGTCATGGGAATAATGCGGAATGCTTGGGAACGTGTCAGCGAAGGAGGACGGAAACTGAGGCTGTCGTATTGCTTATTGCCAGACGAGGGTACAGAATTGAGGCACAACAGATGTTTGTTAGAGGAAAGAATGACCAGGGGAAATGGGAGGCAAGAGAGTGTTGATTATGAGAACAAGCCCTAGGGTTATCTGCTTGAGTTGGAATCTGGGCTTCCCCAGGTCTAACTGTGGGATTCTGGGTCAGTTATTGTATGTTTCTGGCCTTGGTTTCCTTGTCTGTAGAATGGGTAGTATGCCAAAAGCTCCCACTTCCACAGGTGGATATCAGAGCTAATAAAATACGGTGCACGACAAACACGCAATAAATGTGACCTCTATGTCTGGGGGTGTCTCCTGGAGCATCATGTTCTAGAAGAATGCTTTGTTGGATGAGTGAATTCAGGTGGTCTCTCCCAATGGTATTTCATTTTCTGAGATTTAAAAAAAAATCTATTTACTTCTTTATGGTGTTCAAGAAACAATAACTTCTCATTTTTCTCATTCTTCTCATCCTTCTCATTTTTCTCATCCTTCTCTTCTTCCTCTGATAAGTGATTTTTGTGTTTTTTTTTTTTTTTTTCGAGACAATATCTCACTCTGTTGCCCAGGCTGGAGTACAGTGGTGAAATCATAGCTCACTGCAGCCTTGATCTCCTGGGCTCAAGCAATCCTCCTGCTTCAGCCTTCTGAGTAGCTGAGACTATAGGCACATGCCACCATGCCCGCCTACCTTTTATGATTTTTAGTAGAGACAAGGTCTGACTATATTGCCTAGGATGGTCTCAAACTCCTAAGCTCAAGCGATCCTTCTGCCTCAGCCTGCCAAAGTGCTGGCATTACAGGCATGAGCCACCATGCACTGCCAACAATGATGTTGTTGATGATGATGATCCAAGCCCAGCGTATGCAATCAGAGAGGTATGGGTTTGAATCCCATTCTGCCTCTGTTTAGCTGTGTGACCTTGAGTGAGTTACTTAACCTCTCTGGGTCTCAATGTAATCATAAAATGGGGATAATAATACCTCCCCATAAAGTTGTTTGAGCATTCAGTTGCTGATACATGTGAAGGGCATAGCCCTGTGCCTGGCATGCATGTCAGCACTCAATAAATAGTGCTGTCTTCATGCTTATTACTGTTGTTGTTATTATTATTAACTTATTATTATTGTTATTGTTTGACTAGATTCTTTCTACACTAGAGAGGGGAAAAGAAGCTCAGTGGAAATGAATGTGTTGGTTTTTTTTTTTTTTTTTTTTTTTTTTTTGAGACAGTGTCTTGCTCTGTCGCTCAGGCTGGAGTGCAGTGGTGCGATCTCGGCGCATTGCAAGCTCCGCCTCCCAGGTTCACGCCATTCTCCTGCCTCAGCCTCCGGAGTAGCTGGGACTACGGGCGCCTGCCACCATGCCCGGCTAATTTTTTGTATTTTTAGGAGAGACGGGGTTTCACCGTGTTAGCCAGGATGGTCTGAATCTCCTGACCTCGTGATCCATCCGCCTCGGCCTCCCAAAGTGCTGGGATTACAGGCGTGAGCCACCGCGCCGGGCCACTAATGTTAAAAGTAGGGTTTATTGTCATACTTTGCCAGAAAAGGTCCTGTCCCCAGAAGACAGGGTCAAGTTCAAGCTATAGAGTATCTTCATAAACACTTAATGAATAACGCAATGAATCATATTTGCCAAGATTTTTCGGGATGACGTGGCAGGAGGTGACGCTATTATTGCTCAGGTTATTTCTAGTCACCCAACGTTCATCATTCCCAGAGATAAATCACAGCAGCTAGAATGCTAATCATCAGTTATGGTCATTTCTGCGAAGGCATTCATAGGGAAAGGAATATTTATAGGGAGTGTAGTGGTGTGATCATAGCTCATTGCAGCCTTGAACTTCTGGGCTTGAGTGATCCTCCTGCCTTAGCCTCCTAAGTAGCTGGGACTACAGGCGTGCACCACCATTAATGATTAAAAATCAACTAATTTTAGGCCAGGTGTGGTGGGTCACGTCTGTAATCCCAGCACTTTGGGAGGCCAAGGAGGGCAGATCACGAGATTAGGAGATCAAGACCATCCTGGCCAACATGGTGAAACCCTGTCTCTACTAAAACACAAAAAAAAATTAGCCAGGCATGGTGGCACACACCTGTAGTCTCAGCTACTGGAGAGGCTGAAGCAAGGGAATCACTGGAACCCACGTGGCGGAGGTTGCAGTGAGCTGAGATCATGCCACTGCACTCCAGCCTGGCAACAGAGCAAGACTCCGTCTCAAAAAAAAAAATAAAAAAAATTAAAAATCAACTAATTTTAAAATTTTCTGTAGAGACAGAGTTTCACTCTGTCCCCCAGGCTGGAGTGCAGTGGCATGATCATAGTGCACTGCAGCCTCAACTCCCTTGTTTCAAGTCATCATCCAGGCTCAGCCTCCTGGGTAGCTGGGACTAACGGCTGCATGCCACTGTGCTCAGCTAATTTTTAAAATTTTTTGTAGAGCCAGGGTCTTGCTATGTCACCTAAGCTGGTCTCCAACTCCTGGTTTCAAGCAATCCTCCTGCCTCAGCCTCCCAAAGCCCCAGGATTACAGGATTGAGCCATCTCGCCTGTCTGAACATAGGTATAATTTAAAAGAAAAAAAGACAGTCCTGTGTTTAGAATTCACCAGAAGAATTGGAAGCCCATAGTTACAGTTCCCAGCCTTTGATGTGTTAGCACCCACATCCAAAGCAAAATAGTGGCTTTCCAAAGGAGAAATGGAATTTTATCCTGTGTCAGAGACTTGAGTTATAAATTACACGATCAGAGGAAAGGACTTAAAATGAGAGGAGGTGAGTGGAGATCTCCAAGAAAATGGTTTAGGTCACCCCAAGAATTGTCATTCCTGAGGTGAGATAACAGGACCTGGCAGTATGAGACTCATGGACACCTGGATCGCAAGGTTGTGTCTGTCAGTCAGTGTGGCACTGAGAAAGATCAGAGCTGGAGCCAAAAGCACAAAGCAGTAATTGTGATCCTGTCTGTTTTGAACATGTTGATTTTTTTTTCATCATGGGTTTTTTGCACTTATTTTTATTTTTAAAAGTATCATGTTAAAATATTATTTATTTTGATGATATGGTGTGTCCCCACCCAAATCTCATCTTGAATTATAGCTCCCATAATCCCCACATGTCATGAGAGGGACGCTGTGGGAGGTAATTGAGTCATAGGGGTGGGTTTTTCCCATGCTGTTCTCATGGGAACACGAGATCTGACGGTTTTATAAAGGGCAGTTCCCCTGCACACACGCTCTTGCCTGCCGCCATGTAAGATGTGCCTTTGCTCCTCCTTTGCCTTCTGCCATGATTGTGAGACCTCCCCAGCCATGTGGAACTGTGAGTCCATTAAACCTCTTTTTCTTTATAAATTACCTAGTCTCAGGTATGAAAATGGACGATACACTTGATTACTGGGATTTTTGGCCCCCTTTAAATTTGCACCTCAGCTCAGCACTTATCTTACTCCCTCACCCTAGTCCTGGCCCTGCTGCAAACAGCATTGAATCTAGAAACTTCCCAAGCTTGATGTCATACTTACCCAGCATGGGAGAAAAGGTAGCAGAATTCAAGAGGTGAATGTGGAACAAATCAGAGTTGAAAAAAGAAAATTTGAGCCAGGTGTGGTTGGCATACACCTATAGTCACAGCTACTCAGGAGGCTGAGGCAGGAGGATGGCTTGGGCCTAGGAGGTTGCATCACTGCACTCTGGCCTGGATAACAGAGTGAGACTCCATCTCTTAAAAAAGAGAGAGAGAGGGCCGGGCGCGGTGGCTCACGCCTGTAATCCCAGTACTTTGGAAGGCCGAGGTGGGCGGATCACGAGGTCAGGAGATCAAGACCATCCTGGCCAACATGGTGAAACCCCGTCTCTATTAAAAATACAAAAAAATTAGCTGGGCATGGTGGCACATGCCTGTAGTCCCAACTGCTCAGGAGGCTGAGGCAGGAGAATTGCTTGAACCTGGGAGGTGGAGGTTGCAGTGAGCCAAGATCACACCACTATACTCCAGCCCGGGCAACAGAGCTAGACTCCATTTCAAAAAAAAAAAAGAGAGAGAGAGAGAAGACAGAATTTGCTATGACTCAAAGATATTTAAAGGGGGGGAAAAGAGAGAGAGAAAGAATTTGCTTTTCTGCTTCCCTGAATGGGGTGAAAAGAGGGACATTTAGGATACTGTATTTCAAAGGAAACTCCAATGCCCTGCTTCCAAACCACTTTCCAGGTGTCTCCGTTTACTTAGGGACCTGGATTGCTCGAGAACCTCCATAATCATATGTTTGCATTTTTAAGTACTTACTTAATTTATCTTTTTTATTTGGAAATCACATTTTTTATTTTCAAAACATTGTAAGCAGCTGGGTATGGTGGCTCACGTCTGTTGTAGCCCAAGCACTTCGGGAGGCCAAGGTGGGAGGATCTCTTGAGCCCAGGCATTAGAAATCAGCCTGGGTGCAACAATGTCTCTACAAAAAAAATTTAAAAATAGGCCGGGCCCAGTGGCTCACCCCTGTCATCCCAGCACTTTGGGGGGCCGAGGTGGGTGGATCATGAGGTCAGGCCTGGCCAACATGGTGAAACCCCATCTCTAATAAAACTACAAAAAAATTAGCTGGGCGTAGTGGTGGGCACCTGTAATCCCAGCTGCTTGGGAGGCTGAGGCAGGAGAATTGCTTGAACCTGGGAGGTGGAGGTTGCAGTGAGCTGAGATTGAGCCATTGCACTCCAGCCTGGGCCACAGAGCGAGACTCAGTCTGGATGTTAATTAATTAAAAAATAAAAATTCAGCCAGTCGTGGTGGCATGTGCCTGTGTTGCCAGCTACTCACGAGGCTGAGGCAGGAGGATCGATGGAGCCCAGCAGTTAGAGGCTCCAGTGAACTGTGGTTGCACCGCTGCACTTACCCCTTCTCCTTTCTCTTCCTTCTCCCATTCTTTTCTCTCCCAATTTTGTTTCATTGTTTATAATTTGTTGTTTCCTTCATAGCGATAAATCAAGATATCTCAACTTTTGTATGACTGACACATTGGACCAGATCATTCTTGGCTGTGGGGGCTGTCTTGTGCATTAGAGGATGGTTAACAGCATCCCTGGCCTCCACCCACTAGATACCAGTAGCACACTCACTGCAGTTGTGACAACCAAAAGTTTGCCAGACTTTGCTCAGTGTCCCTTGAGGGCAAAATCACTCTCAGTTGAGAACCACTGCCAATGATGATGTACTTACAGTTCCTTAAACTTGGACAGCGTCGCTGACTCTCCACTTCATAAGAGAAGGAATTTAGCACCTCAACATTTTCCCCTAATAAAGTTCTACCCCCTGCATTTCCCCACTTCTAAAAATTATTTTTTACATATTGTGGTTTATAAGCTTGCGTTTTGTGTCTTATAAACTACAATTATATGTTTCTTGCATTGTAGGTTGAATACTAGGAAAAAAGTTTTTTCCCACTGTACTTTCAACAAAGAACACTTCTGTGATCAGATATTGGCGGGGGTTGAGAGGTCCACACTGACCAAGTCTCCAACACCAGCTGGGTGCCCCACAATTTTATTGTTATTATTATTATTATTATTTTGAGACAGAATCTTTCTCTGTTACCCAGGCTGGAGTGCAGTGGTGCCATCTTGGCTCACTGCAATCTCCACCTCCCAGGTTGAAGCGATTCTCCTGCCTCAGCCTCCTGAGTAGCTGGAACTACAGGCATGTGCCACCACACCTGGTTAATTGTTTTTTATTTTTAGTAGAGACAGGGTTTTGACATGTCGGCCAGGCTTGTCTCAAACTCCTGACCTCAGGTGTTCTGCCCACCTCAGCCTCCCAAAGTGCTGGGATTACAAGTGTTAGCCACCACACCTGCCACCACAGTTTTATTGAATTCTAACATAATGTGACTGGAGTTAGTGTCAGAACCCACAGGTTAAGGGCTCAGCGCCACAAGACTGCCTCCCAACTTTAGATATCAATTTCAAGTCCTGGCCTTGGGAACTTCTGACCAGCTGGCTGTAAAGTAGAAGTTTTTGTGACTTTTCCACAGGTTCAGTTATTTTCTAGAATGGCTCACACAACTCAGGGAAATCTTTACTTAGGTTTACCTGTAAACCTATAAACCATATCATATTATGGTAACCATATCATATTACCCGTAAACCGTATCATATTATAAAGAATATGATATGCTGGGAGTGGTGGCTCATGCCTGTAATCCCAGCCCTTTGGGAGGCCAAGGCGGGTGGATCACCTGAGGTCAGGAGTTCGAGACCAGCCTGGGCAACATGGCAGAAACCCGTCTACAAAAAATACGAAAATTAGACGGGCACGGTGGCGGACCCCTGTAATCCCAGCTACTAGGGAGGCTGAGACAGGAGAACCACTTCAACCTGGGAGGCAGAGGTTGCAGTGAGCCGAGATGGCGCCATTGCCCTTCAGCCTGGGTGACAAGAGTGAAACTCTGTCTTAAAAAAAAAGAATATGATAAAGGATACAGGTGAATAGCCAGGTAAAGAAGTACACAGGGTAAGTTCCAGAAGAGTCCCAAGTTCAGGAGCTTCTGTCCCAGTGAGTTGGGGTGTGTCACTCTCTAAGAATGTGGATGTGTTCAACCTGAAAGATCTCCAATCTCTTCATTGAGGGTTTTTATGGAGGTTCCATTGATTATTAAATCAATCTCCAGTCCTTCTTTCGTTCCTGGAGGATGAGGGGCAAGGCCGAAAGTTGCAAGCTTCTAACCCTGGCTTGGTCTTTCTGGTGAGCAGCCTCCATCCAGGAACCCCTGTTGAAAGCTGCCTCATTGGAACAAAAGACATTCCCGTAACCCAGGAATTTCCAAGGGATTAGGAGCTCTGTTTTAGGAACCGGAACCAAAGACCAAATACTAGAACAAAAGACACTCCCATCACCTAAGAAATTCCAACGTTTTAGGAGCCTGTGCCGGAAACCTGGAATAAAGACCAAAGATATATTTCTTATCACAAATCACAATATCACAAGTAGATTATAAAAGATGAAAACTACCTGGCTTCAAAGCTGTGGTTATGTGTGCATTAGAGAAGTTGACTTCCTAGAAAGGGACATCTAATTCTATGTCACTTTATGTCACTTAATCTGAGCCATTGGTCCAGGTGAGTTGAGTTTGCTTTTTTTTTTTTTTTTTTTCCTGTGCACCCTTGACTGCTCACAGACAGGCCAGAGTTTAGTTTATTCATATCTGGTTCTGACTTTCTTTACAGCTTTTAGAGGATTGCTTGTTTTGGAGTTTCTATTTGTCTTTGTTTTTTTGTTGTTGACAGAGAAAATATACACAGCTTTACTGTGTCTCTGAGATCACCCCAGTTCTTACTCATTCTCTTTGTTGGGTGGTATAATTTGGACCGACTGCTTTCTAGAGCTGGCGCACAGCTGTTATCCTGGGATTTCTTTCCATTGTCTCTTGAATATCATTTCTCCCTTTCTCTCAAATACCTTCTTCATCTTGCTTTAGCTTTTCCTCAAGCAATTTATTTTTTTATTTATTGAGATAGAGTCTCACTCTGTCATCCAGGCTGGAGTGCAGTGGCGTGATCTCAGCTTACTGCAACCTCTGCCTTCCAGGTTCAAGTGATTCTCCCACCTCAGCCTCCCAAGTAGCTGGGATTACAGGCATGCACCACCACGCTCAGCTCATTTTTGTATTTTTAGTGATGACAGGGTTTCACCATGTTGGCCAGGCTGATCTCAAACTCCTGACCTCAGGCAATCCACCCGCCTTGGCCTCCCAAATTGCTGGGATTACAGGCGTGAGCCACCGCACCCAGCCAATAGCACCTATTTCTAAGGCTATGGTAAGATTTAAATGGGTTAATGCCTGTCCAGATCTTAGAACAGTGCCTGGCACTGATATATAAGTTGTTTTGTTATCATTGATTTCTATTTGTGTTTTGCTGTCTGCAAATCCAAGCAATAATACTTGGGTTGTGTTATATAATACTTGTTTAACTAAGCATTATAGGACTATTATAAGAATCCGAATTAGTCTTATAAAGAGCTACGCTTCTGACCTCCAAGGTGGATCCAGAAGGAGGTTCTTTTTCCTCTAAAAGAGGGAGACTTGATGCAGACCCATACATGCAGGGTGCATAAAAGTCACCCCAGCTTCATTGCCTCCTGCCACCTTTCCCAGACCCGGTGGTAGAGAATAGGGAGGATCCCTAGCCAAAGGGAGCATTAAACTTTATCATTTTTCACTGTTCCTGGCAGGATTCTGAGCACACTGACAGTGGGGAAGGGAAGAGGACAGGTTTCTGTAGCCTACGGGTCTCCAGTAAGCAGCATCCTTTCTTGTTGGATAGCAGAGGAGCCCACTCCTAGTAGATCTCAGTGGGTGCAAGAGCCAGGATGTGCACCTTGACTTGTCTCCATCTGTCCCAGAGACGGGCGTCCTCCTTCTTCTGGGTTGGGATCCAGCCATCCAGCCAAGCAAGAAGGGGGAAACTGCTGAAGCACAAGTAACCCACAAACCCACTTTTTGTTTTGTTTTGCTTTAAAAAGCAATTTAATCATCTTAAAACATTTTTTATTGCTTCTCTTTTCTTTTTTAAATGCTCACCTTCTCTGTGATGGTAACAAATCAACTTTTTTCTTCCCTCCTCTCTCCCTGCTCCTCGCTGGCTGATCTGCAGTGATTCTTAAACTTTGGCGCATAAAGGAATCACTTGGGAAACCCGATAAAAAGCTAAATTCCCAGGTCCCACTTGAGGTTTAGTGAATGAAAACTTCTGGGAATGGGACCTGGGCTGGGGTGGTCTTCCTGGGACTGATGGGGTTTTAGCACAGAACTTCTAGTGCCAAAACTGGGGAAGTCCTGGGCACACTGGGACAAGCTGGTCACCTGAGGATCCATGTGCCCCCCTCTCCAGCAGGCTCCCAGGTGACTTTCATGGGCACCCAAGCTTGATGTTGTCAGATGCACCCTCATCAATAATGTTTTAAATGTTGGAGTTCCGGCTGGGCACAATGGCTCACACCTGTAATCCCAGCACTTTGGGAGGCCAAGGCCAGCGGATCACTTGAGGCCAAGAGTTCAAGACCAGCCTGGGCAACATGGTGAATTAAAGTTAATTAAAATTAAATTTAATAGTTGGGCACAGTAGCTCACACCTATAATCCCAGCTACTCAAGAGGCTGAGACGCAGGAATCACTTGAGTCCAGGAGTTCGAGGCTGCAGTGAGCTATCATCGTGCCACTGCACACCAGCCTGAGTGACAAAACGAGACCCTGTCTCTGAAAGAAGAAAAATAAATAAACAATTTAGTTTCTCAATCTAGTTCCCGAGCTGGCCATATTTGAAGTGTTCCATAGCTACATGTGGCTAGTGGCTGCCATATTGGACATGCATGTAGAGAACCATTCCATCGGCATAGAAAGTTCTGTTGGACAGCCTTGCCCTAGATCAAGTTTTGTCAACTTTGGCACTCTTGGCATTTGGGGCCAAATAATTTTCTATTGTGGGGAGGCCAGTCTTGTACATTTTAGGATGTTTAACAGCTACCTACTAGATGCCAATGTCACACCCCCTGCTACAGTTGTGACAAACCAAAATGTCTCCACACATTGCCAAATGTGCTCTCAGAGGCAAAGTCGCCCCCACTTGAGAACCACTGCTCTAGATCCATAGTTTCTGCCACTCTCTTTCTTAAATAGAATGAAAGCCAGCCGCACACTGCGTACTTCAAACAGAACATCAGCCCCTGAATGCAAACATTGTACTGCGATTCAATTGCATCGACCAGCTTTACATCTAAGGCCTGTGAGCTTCACCCACCTTGGGGACTGTCTTAGGAGAAGGAAAGTCTTGTTACAAAGTAGCATTAATCAAGTGGGCTTAGAGTTATAGTTAGGGTAAAACTGCTGGGAGGGGTTTAGTCCATGAACTTCCTTCCAAGAAAGGATCGTGGTAAAAGAGGAGGAATCTTAGCTAGCGGAAAGAGATTTGATAGGCTTCAAACATCCATGTAAAATAAAATAATCTTCTCATTCTAGCTTTTTTAAAAACAAATTTTACTTGTGAAGATTAATTGGTGACTTGTGAAGATTAATTGGTGACATTTGCCAACTCTTTCTTCTCAAATTTCCCAATTCTTTTTTTTTTTTTTTTTTGAGACAGCATCTTGCTCTGTTGCCCAGGCTGGAGTACAGTGGCATGATCATAGCTCATTGCAGCCTCGAACTCCCAGCCTCAAACGATTGCGCTGGCTTAGACTCTGAAAGTACTGCGATTACAAGCTTGAGCCACCTCACTCAGCCCCAATTCTCATTTAAAAAATACATTAGAACTCATGTTAATTCAGTGTTATAAGACGCATTTGTTACTTCAGTAGTAAACACTATACCTTAGACCATTTCCTTGAAGGATTTTTTGCCATGTTTAGGTGATGACTTTCAAGCGATTAAAATTCATTTTTCTTTTTCTAGCTTCTGACTCTTTCTCACTCATTTAACAAGCTAAAAATCTTACATTCTCTTTACCTTACCTTTCCTTGAGAATTGAATAAATATCTTGAAAACTTAGTAAATTCCTTAAAGAAGGGAAAACAAACAAACAAAAAGGACAAGAGGATGACTATTTTGCTGTATTTATATTTTCCTTTTTTGTTTTGTTTTGTTTTGTTTTCTTGAGACAGAGTCTCTCTCTGTTGCCCAGGCTGGAGTGCAGTGGCATGATCTCGGCTTACTGCAACCTCCGCCTTCCAGGTTCAAGCAATTCCTGTGCCTCAGCCTCCCAAGTAGTTGGGATTACAGGTGCGAGCCACCACGCCTGGCTCATTTTCTTATTTTTAGTAGAGATGGGTTTTCGCCATGTTAGTCAGGCTGGTCTCCAATTCCTGGCCTCAAGTGATCTGCCCATCTCAGCCTCCCAAAGTGCTGGGATTACAGGCATGAGCCACCATGCCCGACCAGTATTTTTATTTTCCTATTCATAGGTTTGATCTTGCTGTCTTGAAACCACAGACCTTATTTTCTAAGCATAGGCCTCATTTTCTTAGGCTCCAAGGAGTCTAAGTGTATGGCTGTGAATGTGCCTGACACTCTGAAAAGCCAACATGGATCTCAATACTAACAAATGTTTATTTACAGGAAGGCTTTGTTAATTGAGTGATGGAAGCTATTGCTCTCACTTGCTATTTAGAGACTATTGACATTACCTTTATTTCCTGGTCCTAAACATTACACACTGCAGATAAAGGAGTTCCTGGCATTTATTTGTCATGGCATCGAGGCTGACAGCCAAAGTAATCATTACACTAATACACATTCCCAGAAAGAGCAATCAAGAGCAGGCAAGCAAACGAAATCAATGTCTCTGCTGAAATGTGCCTGTGTGTGAGCGTCCCATGACCTGGTGCTCTGGCAACCACTCGTCCATGTGTGGGGGCCATCATCCTTGTGTTGGAGTTGTCTGTCCAAGATCAGGTGCCTGCAAAAAGAATGGGAGCTTCCAGAACCGCTAATGTGAAACTTTGGTTGAAATGAGGTGCCTGGGAATGAGCGATTTCTTCTTTTTTAAATTCTTTTTCATAGCCTTTCAAGAATTTTTAGAATTAGCCAGTCTTGAACTCCTGACCTCAGGTGATCCACCTGCCTCGGCCTCCCAAAGTACTGGGATTACGGCGGGAATCACTGTGCCTGGCCCAAAGTTCCCCTTTTTATAAGGACACCAGTCATGTTGCATTAGGTCCCACCCCAGTGAACTTATTTTAACTTGATTACCTCCACCGAGATCCTACTTAGAAATCAGGTCACATTCTGAAGTACTGCGGACTGGGACTTGAACATACCTTTTTGAGGGGATGCAACTCAACTCATAACAGTGGTCACGGTATGAACAGCATATGCCCTGGAAAGTCACACACCACATTTACGATAGTGGCACCTTCCAGACAGGGAAGAGGACACTGGAAAATTGGATTAGGAAGAGGTATTAGAGAGCTTCACCAGAAATGTTTTATTTCCTTAAGAAAACAAATGCAAGTCTGGAATTCATATGAAAAAGATTAGTATGAGTTAATATTTGACCTTTTCTTCTCTATGCTTCACTGTAGTCTAATGTTTCAAGTTTTTAAGAGAAGAGAAAACAGGAAGCCATTTGAGGCAGTGTTTTCTGCTTCCAAATGCACAGGATTGGGTTGTACAGTATGAGCCCATCTTTTATGGAAGTTTAAGTCCTCTGTCTTCTGATTTTCAGGACATGAGGCTCTGCCTGCAGTCAGCAACTTGGAATATTCAGACTTCAGACCAGCATCACAGATTATAACCCTCCGTAAATCATCTGCATCCCAGCTCCCATCAAAAGCCAGCCTGAAGGACCCATGGACACGTGACTCCAGTGTTCTCAACAACATCTTAAGATCAAGTTGGTTTGCACAACATTTGCATCTACTTGGGACAAAGCAAGAACAATAAGGGCAAAAAAGTAAGTTTTCATACAGCTGAATTTATTCGGTTAAATAAACTACCCTTCTTTTTGAGATGGGGTCTCCCTCTCTTTTTTTTAAGTCCATAAAATGTTTTATGAGATAATGGTGATAGTCAATTGTGATAGCTGCCATTGCCTTTAATATCCTTAGATGGCAAAACAGAATTTTATTGGGACTAATTTCTTTCCTTCTCTCCACTCTCTGCAATAAAAACAATTTTTTTTTTTTTTTTTGAGACTGAATCTCGCTCTGTCGCCAGGCTGGAGTGCAGTGGCACGGTCTCAGCTCACTGCAACCTCCCACTCCCTGGTTCAAGCAATTCTCCTGCCTCAGCCTCCTGAGTACCTGAGATTACAGGCACGCGCCACAACAAAAACAATTTTTTAAAAATTATTTGGTCTGTTTTAAGTCAAATAAATGATGGTTCATTGGAACTAGTTAAAAACTTCTGTAGAATCATTTTCATAATTTTAACTGTGGGTCTTAAGTATGTAGGGATCTTACATTATTTACAGGATCATCACTAGCATATAGAACATTGATTTCATTTATGTTAAGAGGTTAATCATGGGTTTTCATGACAAAGTTCACCCCGTTAGAAGATAAAACGTGGGGGCCGGGCGCGGTGGCTCACACCTGTAATCCCAGCACTTTGGGAGGCCAAGGTGGGTGGATTGCCTGAGGTCAGGACTTCGGTAGCAGCCTGGCCAACATACTGAAACCCCGTCTCTACTAAAAATACAAAAAATTAGCTGGGCATGGTGGCAGGTGCCTGTAATCCCAGCTACTTGGGAGGCTGAGGCAGGAGACTCGCTTGAACCCAGGAGGCGGAGGTTGCTGTGAGCCGAGATCGTGCCATTGCACTCCAGCCTGGGCAACAGGAGGGACCTTCCATCTCAGAAAAAAAAAAAAAAAGAAGAAGAAGAAGACAAAATGTACGGCTGAAATTGGACTTTGTGGCCTTGTTTTGCCTCTCTCGGGGCAACTTCCTGCTCTTGGTGCTGGTCAATTTGCTGTTTTGTAAGGCCCTGGTTTCTCTTTCCTGTCTTTCAGGTAATAAATGGCCTCAATTAGAAAAATTAACCTTTGGACAATTCACAGGCTTCATGATCACATGTTCTAGCCAGGCCCAGGGCAGGAGATGGGAAAAGGAGATTAAAGATAAGAATCACAGCTGGCCATCTTCTGCTGGCACCTGTAGATCTAAAGCATTCTTTGTGACGGTTCCATGGTATTCCACTGTGCAGATGTCCTGTGACTGATTCAGCCCATCCCCTGTTGATGAATTTTTGAATTGCTCCCAGTTTTTTGTCATTATACACAAAGCTTGGCCTGACAATCCTTAGCAATTCTGGCTGAGTGTCTGGGTTTCGTGAGATCATTTTGGTGGTGCAGAACAGAACTCGTGGGTGGCTGGCCTGGCCTTATGTTAGCTTGAGGCGGGGAGAAGTGGGAGGCGGCAGAGAGCCAGGTAAATAGCTTGACTGTGACCTCATCCATATTCTAGGATGTAATTGATCCCTAGAAGATTTCTGAATTAGCTGAATGACAAACACAAGATACTTAGATGACCCATTCGAACCAGGAAGCCTTGCAACATCAAGTAAGGAGTCCTCAATTAACAGCCTTAGAAGACATGTCATTGCTTGGGCATGTGATTGAAAACCATTCAAATGGTGAAGTGAGAAACCCTAAATGGGATATGGAAAGGAGGAATTGAAATAGATGGTTCAATAGCCCTTATTGAGGAGGTGCTAGAGAAAAACCAGGAAGAAAGAAAGTAGGATAGTACCCTCTTTGTGCTTTTTCCAAGGCAACAGGAAACAGTATCATTCCTTTGAACCTGCAGCATACCTCATTTACTCCTCTAATAGTTAACAGGAAGCTAAGGGTAAGGTTCTCAGAAGGCCACTCCCACTTCATGTGACATCAGTGTGAGAGACTATTTCCTTATGGCCATTTCCTCCTCTCTCTTTCCCAATCCTTTTCTGTGGGTTTAGCTCTTTGTTTGTTTAGGTATTTGTTGCAGTGCAGGTGGTATGGTTACAGCATTTGTTCCCAACTGTGAAACAGATGTGCAATACACAAGCTCTTGTCAAATGGCAATGGAACAGAGAACTGTCCAACAGACTTGAAGCTAATTGTTGGCTGATCACATATAACATCCATCTTTCTATCTATCTATCATCTATCTACCCATCTGTCTATTTATCTGTCTATCTAATCTATGTGTGTTTTTGTATGTGTGTTCTATGAATGTGTATATATAATGTATATTATATGTGTAGATCTATTATATATGTAGATATGAATAAATATATACATAAATTGTATGGATATCTTTGTGTGTATATACATATAATATACACATATAATACACATATACGCATACAATATGAAGTTATATACATACATACATATATATAAATTTGTCAAAGATTCAAAACAAAGACCAAAATGATTTGTATCAGTCAGGCTAGTCTAAACTCTGCTGCATCAAAATAACACTATCTCAAAATCTAAATGTCTTAAAACATAAAGGTTTGTTTCTTGCTCATGAAAAGCTACTGTGGGTAGGTGCAGGTGGGCTGTGAGCCATGCAGTCATGCAGGAACCCGGGCTGGTGACTGGGTCCCCTTTGGGAATATCACTGGTTCCCATGGCAGTGGAAGGGGAGCTAGAGGGTCTCATTTTGGCTTTTGAATGCTTTCTCTTGGAAGTGACACAGTCACTTATGCTCACAGCCCACTGGCCAAAGATAGCCATATGCGATTGTCTTCCTGCAGCACAATGACCTGGAGGGGACTCCAGAGTCTCTCCCCAACTCCACTCCTGCAGCCCCTCTTGGAGTTAGAGCTTCTGAGTGCTTTGTTTGCTGGTGACCCTGAGTCCTGGCTTTCATTACATTGTTATTCGATCCCTTTGAAAGAGTTCTCATGATAAATTATTTTCAGAAATTGATCTTGGGAGGAAGTGTAGTCCTCTTGAAAAACTGGTATACTTCCTTTTTATTGCCACACATAGTGAGTATTAGATAACTTGTCATGATTCCCTTTTAGTCTTGGCTAATAAGAAGCTCAGGGCAAAATTTAGTTCTCAGTTACAGTCACTATGTTGGCCTGGGAATTTTGCAGGATTGCTCCTTCCTCTACCTGATTATAAGACATTTCCTATTTCTTTCTTTCTTTTTTTTTGAGACAGGGTCTCATTCTGTTGCCCAGGCTGGAGTACAATGGTGCGGTCATAGCTCACTGCAACCTCAGCCTTCTTGGCTCAAGCGATCCTCCCGCCTAGCCTCCTGAGTAGCTGAGATTACAGGCATGTACTACCATGCCCAGCTAATTTATATATATATATATTATATATATAATATATATATAAATCTATATATTATATATATAATATATATAATATAAATCTATATATATTATATATAATATATATATATCTATAATATATATATTATATATATATCTATATATCTAAAATATATATATCTATAATATATAGATCTATATATGATATATAGATCTATTAGATATATAATATATATATCTATATATCTATAGTATATATATCTATATATATAATATATATCTATCTAAAATATATATATCTATAATATATATAGATCTATATATAATATATATTATATGATCTATATTATATATATAATATAGATCTATATATAATATATATTATATGATCTATATTATATATATAATATAGATCTATATATAATATAGATATAATATATATATCATATATATCTATATATAATATGTATATATCATATATATCTATTATATATCTATATCTATAGATAGATAGATAGATAGATAGATAGATATAGAGAGAGAGAGAGATGGGGGTCTTGCTATGTTGCCCAGGCTGGTCTCAAACTCCTGGCCTCAAGGAATCCTCCTGCCTTGGTCTCCCAAAGTGCTGGAATTACAGATGTGAGCCATCATGCCTGGCCCATTTCCTATTTCTTTAATCATGTCCTGGTTGAGTGTGTGACTTTTACTGTGTACTCACTCCTATCTCTTTTGGAAGTTGCCAGGGTTTACATTGTACATAAATAAATATAATATCACATAATAGCTTCCATTCAGTGACTGCTTCCTTGATGTTGGCCACCTTCTGTGCCTTATCTTGTTCATTCCTTACAACAATCCTATGAGATATTATTGTCAGTATTGTATGGTTGAGGAAACAGACTCAGAGGGGTTAAGTGACTTGCCCAAGTCCACACAGCCAGCAAACGGAAAGTAAGCCCAGTTCTGACACCAAGGGCTGGGTTCCCAACCACTTTCATTTCACAGCATCACATAGACAGATGATTCCATTCAGGTAACGTATATTCACCTAGAAGACCTGTCTTCACGTAGGTTTTGTTTTCATTGGTTCCGATTTTCTTTGATTTATGTATAAGAAAATTGGAAATATTTGTGAGCCAAAACCCTACCGCTTTTTTCAACTGGTATAATGGCTCCTGGGAGAATCGGAAGGTTTTATGTTACAGCTTCTGATTTCTCATTTTCTTTTTAAAATTTAGGAGTATAGGCCAGGCGCAGTGGCTCACACCTGTAATCCCAGCACTTTGGGACGCCAAGGCGGGTGGATCATGAGGTCAGGAGATTGAGACCATCCTGGCTAACATGGTGAAACCCCATCTCTACTAAAAATACAAAAAAAAAAAAAAAAATTAGCCGGGCATGGTGGCGGGCACCTGTAGTCCCAGCTACTCGGGAGGCTGAGGCAGAAGAATGGCGTGAACCCGGGAGGCAGAGGTTGCAGTGAGCCAAGATCACGCCACTGGACTCCAGCCTGGGCGCAGAGTGAGACTCTGCCTCAAAAAAAAAAGAAAAAAATTTAGAAATATGTATTTACAGAGATGTGCACAACTCTTAAGTGTGCAACCTGATGGATTTTTACATACACACACACACACACACACATGCCTCCCTTTAACCACCGCTCAAGATCATCAGCCAGCAACCCAGAGATTCCCTCCTGCAATTCCTAGTCATCACTCACCTCTTTCCTTCCTCAAGGTAGCCACTATTTTGACTTCTGTCACCATGTATTACTTTGCCTGCTTTTGAACTTTGTAAAAACATTATGCAGTATGAACTCTGTTGTGTCCAACTCTTTTTCCTCATCCTTGCATCTGTGACATTCATCCATGACGCTGCGTGCAGCAGAAGTTCAGTCTTTGTTGCCTCTCTGTAGTATTTCATGGGATGAATATGCCACAATTCATTCACTTATTCCACCGTTGAATGACATTCAAGTTGTTTTCAACTTTTGACTCTTATGAAAAATAGTTTCTGGCCAGGCACGGTGGCTCACGTCTGTAATCCTAGCACTTTGGGAGGCCGAGGTAGGTGTTTCACCTGAGGTCAGGAGTTCGAGACCAGTCTGGCCAACATGAGGAAACCCCCTCTCTACTAAAAATGCAAAAATTAGCAGGGCATGGTGGCGGGCACCTGTAATCCCAGCTCCTCGGGAGGCTGAGGCAGAGAATTGCTTGAACCCGGGGATGGGGGTGCGGAAGTTGTGGTGAGCCAAGATGGCGTCACTTAACTCCAGCCTGGGTGAAAGAGCAAAAGTTCGTCTCAAAAAGAAAAAAAAAAAGAAAGGAAAAAGAAAAAGAAAAACAGTTTCCGTGAACATTTTTCTTATCTTTTGGTAGAAATACTCATTTATTTTGGGCCAATACAGCTGTATCTGTTTTCAATTTCTTGAATTTACTAGGCATCGTTCAGCTGGTTAGATGTAATAGCTTTGGGCTTTGTTAGGCTATGGAAGTTTCTGGAGCATAAATGTAACTTTCTAGTCTTAGAATACAAGTAAACAAATGCGATAATTTTTCTTGTTAGGAAAAGTAATTTGCAATGAAGCACAGCATTTAGTCTTCTTAGCACTACAGACAGTTTATATAGGTGTTCTTATTTGCAAAACTGGCATATTTGTCAGAATTCTTTTTTTTCATTTGCAAATGACAGACACCCAACTCAAACCAGCTTTAGTCAAAAAGAGAATGTAATGACTCAAGTATCCAGCTGCCTTCAGGTTTGGCTGGATTCAGGTGTTTAAATGATGTCATCAACATCTGACAATGTCATCAACATCTGGCTCCTCTTTCTGTTTATCTCTTGGTTCTGTTCTCCTCCCTGTTAGCATCACTCTTAGGCCCTTCTCTACTGGTGACCACTGGCAGCTTCAGGTTTAAAATTTCCTAACTTTGGCCGGTTGCAGTGGCTAACACCTGTAATCCTAGCACTTTGGGAGGCCGAGATCAGATTGCTTGAGCTCAGGAGTTTGAAACCAGCCTGGGCAACATAGAGAAACCCTGTCTCTATAAAAATACAAAAATTAACCAGGCATAGTGGTGCACACCTGTAGTCCCAGCTACTCAGAATGCTGAGGGAGGAGGCTCACCTACGCTTGGGAGGTCGAGGTTGCATCGAGCTGTGATCATGCCACTGCACTCTAGCCTGGACGGCAGAGTGAGACCCTGTCTCAAAAAATAAAATAAAGTAAAATTTCCTAGCTCCAAGGCCGGCAGAAGGCAGAGCTTCTCTCTTCCCTACAGTTCTGATAAAACTCCCAGAATTGAATCTCACTGGCTTTAACTGGGTTGTATGCTCTGACAGAATCACTGTCTCCAGGAAGAAAATAATTCTGATGGGTCATATTCCACACCTGGCCCACAGGGACTGACTGTGTGGGAGAGGTGTTACCCAGGGAAAAGTGTTAACCACAAAAGCGAGAAATGGATGCTGTGCAGGGACACAATAATGAAACACAGATGTCAACTATGCTGAGAAATTTGGATGTGGGTTGGCACACGGACATTCTGAGACTGTAGGTGTTGGCAGAAAGTTAATATTATCGTAGCTCTGATTACTCAAGTCTAACCCTTGTCATTTACATAGAGATAAACTTGTAAAAGTTGGCTGAGCTTTAAAAATGTTCTACTTCCTTATTTCAAAAATATTGCCGTTCATCTCATCATGCTGGCTTGAAACTGTAGAGATATGCTTGACTTTTATTTTCCTTCTCATCCTTTCCCTACTGGATCAGCCAACAAATCCTATTGATTCTTTCTTTAAATTTTCTGCCCTACTAATTACTCTTTTTCTCTATTCCCTCTGACATGACATTGGAAGCTCCAGGCTTATGTATATATTCTATCCCCTTAGCCACCCCAGTGAAATAAGAGCACCTCTTTCCCAGTAAGCCTTGTCCTGGTCCTGGAGGACTGACTGGGTTTACATGCCCATTCTTGAGCCAAACTCTGTGGCCAGGGGGATGGTGGACACCTGAGTCATGTGACCATCCTGACCAGCCAGTCAGGAGTACAGTCAGCCCTTCCTGAATCACCTGGACCAAGAGCGAGGGAGAGTAGGCAAGTAAAAACAACAGGTATCCAACACACTTAGAAATGAAAACTGGAGGCCAGGTGCAGTGGCTTACGCCTGTAATCCCAGCACTTTGGGAGGCTGAGGCAGGAGGATCACTTGAGCTCAGGAGTTCAAGATCAGCCTGGGCAACAACATAGGGAGACCCCATCTCTACAGAAAATGAAAAAATTAGGACCACAAGATGCATGCTTGTGGTCCTAGCTACTCAGGAGGCTGAGATGGGAGGATCGCTTGAGTCCCAAGAGATCGAGGCTGCAGTGAGCTATGATTGTACCATTGTACTACAGCCTGGGTGACAGAGTGACACCCTGTCAAAAAAAAAAAAAAAAAAGAAGAAAGAAAAGAAAAAGAAAGAAAGAGAAAGAAAGAAAGAAAGAAAGAAAACTCAACCAAGCATGGTGACTCATGCCTATAATCCAAGCATTTTGGGAGGCCGAGACGGGTGGATCACCTGAGGTCAGGAGTTTGAGACCAGCCTGGCCAACATAGTGAAACCCTGTCTCTACTAAAAATACAAAAATTAGCTGGACATGATGGTGCACGCCTGTAATCCCAGCTACTCAGGAGGCTGAGGCAGGAGAATTGCTTGAACCTAGGAGGCGGAGGTTGCAGTGGGCCGAGATTGCACCACTGCACTCCAGCTTAGGCTACAGAGTGAGACTCCATCTCAAAAAAAGAAAAACGAAAAGAAAAGAAAATTAAAACTGCATCACCTCTTATTTCAAAGTGTTAAAAGAAAAACTTTAGACAAACTAGAGGTAACAGGGTTTAATCAAACAAAGAATGATTTGCTAATGGGACAGCCTCCCCAGCCAGAATAGGTTCTGAGGGACTTAGGTGCTGCCACATGCTGGGTCAAAGAAGATTTATGGACAAGAAAAGGGAGATGACATAGAAAAAATGGAAGTGAGGTTCAGGAGCAATGGATTGGTTACAGCTCAGCATTTGCCTTATTTGAACACAGTTTGAACAATTGGTTGCCTGTGATTGGCCAAAATTCAGTGATTGGTACAAGAGTAGGTTATAGTCTGTTGACACCTCTTAGTTAGGTCACAGTTCATTATGTACAGAGAAATCTTTAGGCCAAACTTAAAATATGTTAGGAGGTAGCTTTGGGCTAAATTTGACAAAAGTATCCTGTGGTCTGTGGATCAGAGCTGGTGGAGCTCATAAAATCTTATTTTCAAACTGGAAGGGGTCATAGCAATTGTCTACTTACCCTAGTCCTCTAGTTTCCATTAACCATTCTTCTTTTATGCACTTATATTAATTTATGCTTTGAACCCTAGAACCTCAAGTGTAATCAAAAAGCACAAAAAGTCCTTGTTTCTTTCAATCCTTTGGTTCACTGGTCCCCTCCCCCATAACCAAGGGAATATATTGTTCAAGATGAAAGCTTAGTTGCATGTGTTAAAGACCACAAAAACAGTGGTTTAAACAAGATAATTTTATTTCTCTCTCACATAATAGTCTTAGCTGATACAATGGCTGTGCTCTGTGAAGTCACCAGCAACCCAGCATCCTTTCCTCTGTTGTGCATTTATCCCAAATGCAGGTCTTGGCTTTGTGTGCATGACCCAAGATGGTGCACCGTCATTTCCGCATTCCAGCCCAGAGGAAGCAAGATGGAGAAAGGGAGAAATAACCTCTTTCCTCTAACAGCACAGCTGGGAAGTTGTGGGTATCACTGCTGCTCTCATCCCATTGACCATCCTCATGTTCATACCTTGGTGCAAGAGAATCTAGAAACATAGTCTTTATTCTAGGCAGTTGTGTACCTGACTACGAACGAAAGGAGAACAGATACTGGAAGATAACCAGCAATCTCTGCAGGGAAGAAAGGGAAAAAAATCTGACTTTTTCTTTTCTTCTTGTTTTTCAGGTGAAAAAAAAAAAAGATCCCTGAGTAATTGCAAATGCTGGGACAGTTTACCACTCCAGGGTGAAGAGTCCATACCAACATGTCTGCCTACTACAGGAATAACTGGTCTGAGGAAGACCCAGATTACCCTGACTATTCAGGGTCTCAGAACCGTACGCAGGGGTATTTGAAAACTCAAGGTTATCCAGATGTTCCAGGTCCTCTGAACAATCCAGACTACCCCGGCACCAGGAGCAATCCATACTCTGTAGCCTCCAGAACACGTCCAGACTATCCTGGGTCTCTGGCAGAACCAAATTATCCTAGATCTCTGAGTAATCCAGACTATTCTGGCACCAGAAGCAATGCATACTCTGCAGCCTCTAGAACAAGCCCAGACCATCCTACCTCTCTACCAGAGCCAGATTATAGTGAATTTCAGAGTCATCCCTACCACCGAGCATCATCCAGACAACCAGACTACCCTGGATCTCAACGAAATCCTGATTTTGCAGGCTCCAGCAGCAGTGGAAACTATGCAGGCTCCAGAACACATCCAGATCATTTTGGCTCCTTAGAACCGGACTACCCTGGAGCTCAGAGCAACTCTGATCATCCTGGACCCAGAGCCAATTTGAACCATCCAGGATCCAGAAAGAATCTGGAACATACAAGTTTTAGAATCAATCCATACGCAGACTCTCTGGGAAAGCCTGATTATCCAGGCGCTGACATTCAACCTAACTCTCCACCCTTTTTTGGGGAGCCAGACTATCCCAGTGCTGAGGACAATCAGAACTTGCCAAGCACTTGGAGAGAACCTGATTATTCAGATGCTGAGAATGGTCATGATTATGGCTCTTCTGAGACCCCAAAGATGACCAGGGGGTAAGTTCAGATATATATCCCTTCACTGGGAGTGGATGCTGAGTGCTGAATCATTAAGTCAATGGAATTTGGTTGGTGTGGTTTAGATTAGGGATATATATGACGGTTTCTATGACCTGAAGTTGTGGTGAAATGCGCATACCTATCTGTAGACCTTACCTGGGCCATGGACTCTCAGTTTGAGGCTTCAAGCCCTTACTTGAACTTAATCTTTCACCATCTCTTCCTTGGATCACCTTCCCATTATCCCACCTCTTCCTAATTCAATCCCTGTAAGACATCTAGATCCACACTGTTTTGACCCTGCTACGTAGCCAACAAGGTTAAGACTTGACGCTCATAAATCCAAACACTTTAATTAAAATTACATCAACAGTGATGAATTGTTATCCAGAAAATCTTTTGGAGATCTAACTCCGTGAAGTCGATTAGTTTTTTATATGAGATGTTTGCACCACTTCTTTGTTTTTTTTTTTGGTCATTTTTTTTTCTTATTTTTTTTATTTTTCTTGAGACAGGGTCTTGCTATGTCACCCAGGTTGGAGTGCAGTGGCACAATCATAGCTCACCACAGCCTCAACCTTCTGGGCTCAATTGATCCTCCCACCCCAGCCTCCCAAGTAGCTGGGACTACAGGTGTGCACCTATTATGCCCGGCTAAGTTTTTATTTTTGTATAGAGATGGTGTTTTGCCATGTTGCCCAGGCTAGTCTTGAAGAAGGCTCCCAGCTGCTGGGATTATAGGCATGAGCCACCATGCCCGGCCATGTTTGCACCACTTCTGATTTTTACACTTTTATTTCTATTTTACTGAGATTATCAGAATTGATGACTTTTCACCAAAACTTTACTGCAGATTTGATTCACTGATTATCTGCACTATTTTAATCTAATTTTATCAATTATAGTTTTCACCATTTTCAGTATTCCTTTAAGGCCGGTTTTTTGTTGTTGTTGTTTTTTATTTATTTATTCATTCATTCATTCATTTTTTGAGATGGAGTTTCGCTCTTGTTGCCCAGGCTGGAGTGCAATGGCACGATCACAGCTCACCACAGCCTCTGCCTCCCGGGTTCAAGCGATTCTCCTACCTCAGTCTCCTGAGTAGCTGGGATTACAGGCATGCGCCACCACGCCCAGCTAATTTTGTATCTTTAGTAGAGACAGGGTTTCTCCACGTTGGTCAGGCTGGTCTCAAACTCCCAATCTGAGGTGATCCACCTGCCTCAGCCTCCCAAAGTGCTGGGATTACAGGCGTGAGCCACTGCACCTGGCCTAAGGCCATTTTTAAGTAGCAAGTCCAGTTTTTCCAGGTTTAGATTCTGTAGATCTAAATTTTGTCTAAAAGATTTTGATCTTCTGTCAATTTTTGTTCCTTGACAAATTTTACCAAATGCAGTTCTGGACACCGACAGCATTAGTCTGGGTTACTTAGTTCTACCAAATCTAATTTTTCCTGGGTTAAGATTTTTCATGTTCACGTTGCCAACAAAATGTAATTTTTTTTTTTTTTTTTTTTTGAGACAGCGTCTCACTCTGTCATCCAGGTTGGAGTGCAGTGGCTCAGTTTTGGCTCACTGCAACCTCCATCTCTTAGGTTCAAGTGATTCTCCTGCCTCAGCCTCCCAAGTAGCTGGGATTACAGGCATGCACCACCATGCCCAGCTAGTTTTTGTAGTTTTAGTACAGACAGGGTTTCACCATGTTGGCCAGGCTGGTCTTGAGCTACTGACCTCAAATGATCTGCTTGCCTCGGCCTCTCAAAATGCTGGGATTACAGGCATGAGCCACTGTGCCCAGTCTAAGATGTGATTTTTTAAAGTCAGTTTGTGGTTTAATCAGTAACAATGTTTGTCATGTGAAGTTGTAACCAATATGAGTTTGATTTTGCATTTACTGTTTCTACTAGTAATATTTATGAATTTGATAAAAAACTGGTGGCTTGTATTTATCTCTAGGAACAAGGATATAGGACTTGGGCGTGCAGCAGTCCTGATGTCTTTAGAACCCAAATAGTAGGGTTAACAGGACCAGGTGAAAATGTCCTCCTTGGTCTTATCACCCACTGCCTGATTCATCATTCCAAAGCCCACCTTTGATCCTATCACTCCTTTGCTTTTCATCGTCCATGGGTCCCCATAACCTTTGGAGAAAGGCCACCCAACTTCACTTATAGAATGTTTATGAATAAGGATACGTCGTGTTAATGTAAGATGCCAGCCAAAGACCAGCCTGACTGATCTCCTCTTAAGTCTCCTGTCTGCCCCCTGCCTTGACCTTATACTCTAGGTCAGTGGTTCTTGACTTTGGCTGATCCTTAGCATTACCCAGTTATCTGGGGAACTTTAAAAATAATACAGATGCCTCAGTCAAACCTTCAGAACTTCTGATTCAATTCTCCAGGACAAGGCTTGGGAAGTGGTATATGTAGTAAATTGAGAATCATTACTCATCAGTTGATTTTCATAGCATTTCCTTTATATATTCAGCACTTTCTGGCCTCACACCTTTTTTTATGCTGTTCTTCATCCTTGGAATGCCCTCCCTTTATGTATGAATGTGTCTTCTCAATCCCTGCTCAGATGTATCTTTTCCATGCAGATTTCTCCCAAAACTCTCAGCAAGAATTATCTTTCCTCCGAACTCCTTGGGCCTGTCTTCAGATACTCACCAGTTTCTACTTGTAGTATAATTGCTCATAGCTGTGTCTAAGAAGCTGTACCAACTTGTACTGTGAGCTTCTTGAGGGCAGGTACCCCATGTTTTCCTCTTTGTATTCTCACCTTCTAGCCCATGCCTAACTCAGGGTTGGCATTTAGTCTGCATTTGTGGAATGGAATGGAATGGATGGATGGATGAATACATTAATGAATGGATGGATACATGGATGGATAGATGAATACATGGACGGATAGATGGATGGATGAATGTATGTATGGTTGGATGGATGGATGGTAAATGGATGGATGGATAAATGGATGGATGAATACATGAATGAATGGATGGGTACATGGATGGATGGATGAACAGATGAATCAATGGATGGATGAATGGATGGATGGATGGATAAATGGATGGATAAATACATGATTGAATGGATGGATACATGGATGGATGGATGGATGGATGGATAAATGGATGGATAAATAAATGGATGAATACATGATTGAATGGATGGATGGATGGATGGATGGATGGATGACAATCCTTACTATACTCTTGGTTGGATAGTGATCCATCATTTTGGATTTTAGGGTGCTCAGCAGAACATCTTCAATCCAGCCCTCATTTCGTCACAGGAGTGATGACCCCGTGGGCAGTCTTTGGGGAGAGAATGATTACCCTGAAGGCATTGAAATGGCATCCATGGAGATGGCAAACTCATATGGCCACTCTCTGCCAGGTGCTCCTGGAAGTGGCTATGGTAAGCATTTGTTAAGCCAGGATCATATCCTGGGAAAAAACTGAAATCACTGGATTTAGGGGTGCAATCATTAAGGAGACTTGGCAATAGGAGAATTGGTGTATCCTTCCAATCTCAGAGACCCTTGTTTTTACATACAAAAGTTGAGAATTCAGTGTTTAGAGAAGCCAAGTTAATTGTCATCAATTATAAAAAAAATGCTAGGTAAGAGTTGTGGAAAATGGGGACCTGTGCACTCTGTTCCTACCAGAGTTGGTGAAGCTCAGTCCATGGTGGTTATGTGGCAATGTGGGCTCAATGTGGCAAGATCTTCATATTTTTCAGAAGCCGTGTATTTGGGGTTTTATGTGAAACCTGATGTTGATCTGTTCCAAAATAATTTTTAAAAGTAAAAACAGTGAGCTGGGCAAACAAAACCACATTTTTTGTTAGCTGCCAGTGGCCACCTGTAGTTTAGCATATCCTAAAGGCATTCAGGCAATCAGCACGTATGTGTTCAGAACCTACTGGGGGAAAAGGGAGTTAAGAGGTAGCTCTGCCCTCATGTTATTTAAAGCCTAAATAGGTCAACAAAAGTGCCACATCAAGACTAAAGAAAAGGCTGGGTGTGGTGGCTCACGCCTGTAATCCCAGCACTTGGGAGGTCGAGGCGGGCAGATCACCTGAGGTCAGGAGTTCGAGACCAGCCTGGCCAACATGGTGAAACCCCGTCTCTACTAAAAATACAAAAATTAGCCAGGCATAGTGGAGGGCACCTGTAATGCCATACTCGGGAGGCTAAGGCAGAAGAATCACTTGAACCCAGGAGGCGGAGGTTGCAGTGAGCCAAGATCGCACCACTGTACTCCAGCCTGGGCAGTAGAGCGAGACTCTGTTAAAAACAAACAAAAAAAAGACTAAAGAAAGTTAGCAAGCAAACTATTAATATTTGAAAAATCATGTTGTCCTCATAATTTGTTGTGTGTATAGATAAGATGCTTAGCTCCAGGAGGCAAAGGAAATTCTAAACAGTTTTTTTTTTTTTTAAGACAGTGTCCTGCTCTGTCACCCAGGCTGATCATAGCTCACTGCAGCCTCAAACTCCTAGGCTCAAGCAATCCTCCCACCTCAGCCTACCCAGTAGCAGGGACTACAGTTGCATGCCACCATGCCTGGCACTTTTTTTATGCTTGAGAAAGATGGGGTCTTGCTATGTTGCCTGGGCTGGCCTTGAACTCCTGGCTTCAAGCAATCCTCCAGTCTCGGCCTCCCAAAGTGCTGGGATTACAGGCTTGAGCCTGGGCCAATTCTGAACAGTTCTTACTTTCTAGGAGGAAAAAGAGACATGTTCCAGGAAGCCGTTTGATGGCACAAGAGAAAAAAAAAATCCAGGCCATGTTAAAGGAATTTGGAACCTGTGGAAGTCAGAAAAGGGAGAAGGTGTTCAGCCAATAAGAAGAGAACAAGAGACCCAAGTGCTGGGAGGTGCAGATGGAGGATTGATGAGCCTTGAGGAGTAGATGGGGCAGGTCTGGAAGAAGGCAGAGAGGAGGGGACAGGATGCATAGCCATGTACTAATGAAAACACTGACTGTTAACACATAGAAAATTTTCATTCCGGGCCTAATTTTAAAAATTAGCTGGGCGTGGTGGCACACACCTGGGGTCCCAGCTACTTGGGAGATTGACACAGGAGGATCACTTGAGCCTGGGAGGTTGAGGCTGCCGTGAGCCATGACTGTACCACTGCACTCTGGCCTGAGTGACAAAGCGAGACCCTGTCGCAAAAAAAGAAAGGACCGGACAGGACAGGACAGGAAAGGAAGGGAGTGGAGGGGAGGGGAGGGGAGGGGAAGAGTTGGGGGGAGGTGGAGGGGGAGAGAGGGAAGGAAGGAAGGAAGGGAGGAAGGAAGGAAAAAGAAAAGAGAATATTCCTTTGGGAGCACAGACATCAGATAGCCCAGGGCTATTCCAAACCTTTATTCCAAGCATTCCTCCACAGGGGCAATAGAAATCCCAAGGGGGGAATATCTGCTCTTGAAAGGCCAGAAAAAAATCTCACTCTTGATGTATAAAGCAGGGATACACATGTAGTACACAAACGGATACAGTATATCTTTGGTATTAAAACTTCTTAGAGGACGGCAATGAGGAAAAAATGTCTCCCCTGCTTAAGGGGCTGATAATGAAACAAGATTGAGACATACTGTGCTACTCCAGTGCAAGTGGAACGTATAACTGCAAGCAAATCTTGAGTGTTTCCTATGCCCTGGAGTCTCTGTCCAGCACTTGACTTTTATTATCTCATTTAATCTGTACAACTGCCTTTCAGGCAGGCACTGCCACTCTCCCTGTTTTAACAGATGGGAAAACTAAGACTTAGAAAGAAATATGCACAAGGTCACTCACTTACTAAATTGACAGAGCCAGGATTGAATCCCGTCTCTCTACCCAAAACCTGACCTCTTATTTACCCTGCATTACTGCTAGGTTGAATCAGGGCAAATACAAACAGATTCCTGACCACAAAGCTCTATAGAACATTGGAAGATAAAATACTTAAAAAACAAAAAAAGCAGGTCAGTATAGCTCACTTCTCTGGGATCTTTTGTAGGGCAAAGTTTGCAGCCCTTGGCAATCACTTGTCCAGTGTCACCCCATCCTGATAAAGTGTTCACTCCTTAAGGAGAACCTGTATTCATCTATGTACCCTCCAAGGCTCTAGGTGCTCTTCCTAGTGTCACAGTGCCTGGCCCACAGTAGGTGCCTGAAAAATATTAACTGAGTTAATAACAACAACAACAACAACAACTATAAGAGTTGTATCAGCTAGCTATTGCCACAGGAATGCTGCATAACAAACAACTCCAAAAATCCAGAGTCGTACAATAAACAAGCATTTTCTTCTTACGGGTCTGCAAGGTTGGTTGGCATTTGGCTGAACTACGCTGAGTTTGTTGTGCTTGGCTCTACGTCATGGGTTCTATTTAGTTCTAGTGTCCCTCTTCTTGGACCAGTGAGTGACCTAGGGCAATGTCTTCCCATGCCGTAAGCTGAAAGTGCTCAAAATGGCAAGCAGAAACACACGGTATCTTTAAAAGCCTTGGCTTGGAACTGGCACACTGTCACTTCTGTCATATTCCATTGTTCAAAGCAAGTCACACGACTAAGCCCAATATCAATGGAGGTAGTCAAGGTAGGGGAAATGTAATATTTGCTGAATAACAATTAATCTACTATAACAGTTAATATATATTAGAGTTTAATATGTTCGAGGATTATTTAATCATTTCACATGTGTTCACTGATTCAATTCCCACAACAATCCTATGTGAAGGTCCTATTATTATCCCTATTTATTTATTTATTTTTCAGACAAAATGCCCGCTCTTTAGTGCAGGCTGGAGTGCAGTGGTGCAATCTCAGCTCACTGCAGCCTTTACCTCCTGAGTGGCTGGGACTACAGGCACACTACTACCATGCCCAGCCAATTTTTTTATTTTTTGTAGAGACAGGGTTATGCCATGTTGCCCAAGCTGGTCTCAAACTCCTGTGCTCAAGCGACTGTCCCACTTTGGCCTCCCAAAGTGCCGAAATTACAGGCATACACCACCACACCTAGCCTGTTATCCCTATTTTAGAGACTAAGATATTGAAGCTCAGAGATGCTAAGACACACACCCAGGGGGCGCACAACTAGGAAGTAACAGGGCTGGGAGTTGATTCCCAGGCAAGAAGCTCCAGAAGGTCTTGCAATGTAATTTTGCATATTGTCCCCATTAAAATGTGCTCCATTTTCTCCATTTCTCCCAGCTAATTGGGAGGCTGAGGCTGGAGAATCACTTGAACCCGGGAGGCAGAGGTTGCAGTGAGCCGAGATTGCGTCACTGCACTCCAGCCTGTGTGACAGAGCAAGTCTCAAAAAAAAAAAAAAAAAAGAGTGGACTAGAGTAAGGCTATGTTAGAGTGCAGTTTATATAGTCAAACAAAGTATTATTTTGTAAAACTTGCTTTTCAGTTCTATATGTATAGGTGTGTCCTGGATCTCAGTGCAACCATTATTTACACACACACGCACACACACACACACACACACACTTTTTTACTGGGCTCCATGACTCAAGCCTGTAATCCCAACCCTTTGAGAGGCCAAGGCTGGCAGATTGTTTGAGCCGCCCAGAAGTTCGAGACCAGCCTGGATAACATGGTGAAACCCCCTCTCTACAAAAAATACAAAATATTAGCCAGGCATGGTGGTGCATGCTTGTAGTCCCAGCTACTCAGGAGGCTGAGATGGAAGGATTGCTTGAGCCTGGGAGGTCAAAGCTGCAGTGAGCTGAAATCGCACCACTGCACTCCAGCCTAGGTGACAGAGTGAGAACCTGTCTTAAAATATATATTAATATATATATTTAATGTAATTTTTTATATTATATTTTATATTAAAATATATATTTATAGATAATATATATATTTTAATATATTATATTTATTTTTATATTATATAACATATAAAATATAGATTACATGTAACATATAAAAATAAATATATTAGAAATACAAAAAATATATAAAATATATAGTATAAAATATATATTTATTTTTATATCATGTAGTTTATATGTATTTTTTTCTTTTTTTTTTTTTTTTGAGTCAGAGTCTCGCTCTGTTGCCCAAGCTGGTGTGCAGTGGCGCGATCTCGGCTCACTGCAAGCTCCACCTCCTGGGTTCATGCCATTCTGCCCCAGCCTCCCGAGTAGCTGGGACTACAGGCGCCCGCCACTACACCCGGCTAATTTTTTTGTATTTTTTTAGTAGGGACGGGGTTAGCCAGGATGGTCTCGATCTCCTGACCTCGTGATCCACCTGTCTCGGCCTCCCAAAGTGCTGGGATTACAGGCGTGAGCCACTGTGCCCGGCCACATATACATATATTTTTAGAGACAGGGTCTCATTATGTTGCCCAGGATGGTCTTGAACTTTTGGGCTCAAGTAATCCTCCCACCATGGCTTCCCAAAGCACTGGGATTACAGGCGTGAGCTACCTCACCTTGCCAACAATTATTTTTAACTATGGCTTAGTCAAATGAAAAACCATTGATCTAGGCTGATTATATTTAACAGCACTGTTTTTGTATTTTTGTCCTAGTTTCCACCCAAGTTCTTAATCAGTAGTCTGTTAGAACCTCAAAGACCAGGTCTCAGTCTTATTAGCCGTTACGAACCACTATTAGCACATCATAACTATTGCATGCCAGGAATGTCTAGTGTGGTGAGACTAATCGGCAATATCTCCTTCCTCTTCCCTCCAGTGAACCCTGCTTATGTAGGTGAAAGTGGTCCTGTCCATGCTTATGGAAACCCACCATTGTCTGAATGTGATTGGCACAAGTCACCCCAAGGTAAGTGATATGGTTTGGCTCTGTGTCCCCACCCAACTCTCATTTCAAATTGTAATCCCCATGTGTCGGGGGAGAGACCTGGTGGGAGGTGATTGGATCATGGGGGTGGTTTCCCCCATGCTGTTCTCATGATATTGAGGGAGTTCCCTTGAAATCTGATGGTTTAAAAGTGACAGCTTCCCCTGCACCCACTCTCTCTCCTGCCCCCATGTAAGATGTGCCCTTCTTTCCCCTATGCCTTCCACCACGTTTGTAAGTTTCCTGAGAAATGCCCCCCAGCCATGAGGAACTGTAAGACAATTAAACCTCTTTTGTCTATAAATTATGCAGTCTCAGGCAGTATTTTTATAGCAGTGTGAAAACAGACTAATACAGTAAGACTTAAAGGACAGTGACCAAAAAGTCAACCCTGGAGAAGGAACATGTCCAAGACAATCCACCCATTGCCATTTCCTTTGACCTCCAGTGTGGTTACTGATGCAGAACCTGCTTAACATATCATAATGGAGTTTTCTTTTAGATGTATAGTTTGTTGTCTTCTGGGGATCAGGGTGTCTTCATTAGGAATCTTCTGGTTGCAAGTGACAGAAACCCAACTCAAACAGGCATTAGCCCAGGGGGAATTCATTGGCTCATGTGGTAGAAGCGTATGGGGGAAACTTAAAGAAATGAAAGTAGAAGTATTAGTACCTTCCAGCACCTAGTACAGTGCCTGGCACGTAGTAGGTATTTTAGGGATATTTGTTAGATTAATTTGTTGAATGAGTACAGAAATCAGGACCTCAGTCTGAGGTCAGGGAACTCAATGTCACCTGGACTCTGGTTTCCCATCCATTTCTCATCTTTGTAAAACTTGCTTTTCAGTTCTGTATGTATAGGTATGTCCTGGATCCTCAGCACCTCTTTAAGTTAGACCTCATTCATCTCCGTCAGAGTCAGGACTTGTCCACAGGCCAGAGAACACGGCCAATAGCAGGCCCACGTGAGCCCTCTGCTTAGCCACCTCATTAGGAAGTCTTGCTTCCTCCCTGGGTCCATCTCTAATGCGGGGGAAGGACTCTGGCCAGTCTAACTGGAGCACATGCCTACACTTGAGCCAATCATTTTTACCACAAGGGACAAGACTGGGTCACCTGTCTATTCTGTGGCTAATGCCTGTGTTGGTGGGGACAAGATGCATTGATCAAAGTTTTTGTGAATATTCATATAATTATTATGATAATGGAGTGTGGAAGCAGTCAGACTGGTGAAAGATAGAAGGCGCTGCAATCAGTTAGGAAGCTCTCTAAGGATCACTGTGTGTGGTGATGAAGGTTGAATCAGAGGCAGAGACTGAAAAATAAAAAGGAAGCAACAAGCCAGGCACGGGGGTTATGCCTGTAATCCCAACACTTTGGGAGACCGAGGCGGTAGGATTGCTTGAGCCTGGGAGGTTGAGGCTGCAGTGAGCTGTGATCACGCCATTGCAGTCTAGCCTAGGTGACAGAGTGAGACCCTGTCTCAAAATCAAACAAACAAAAACAAAAAATGAAGCAACAGAGGAGAGAGACTAGACTAGGGAGTGCTGGAGCCACAAGGCAAATCTGTGAGCAACAAGGAATAAAGTAATGAGGTCCTCTATACAATGATGCGTGTGGAGAGAAGCCACTTAGAACTCTCACCTTTCAGCCCCATCGCCTATAAGATAACCGTTAGCCTCATCCTTCAAGAGATGTATGCCTTTTCAGGGAGGGTTAGATATTGCTACTTGGAAGGGAAAACCGTTGGGATATAAATGATCACACTGTCTATTTGGTCCCCACTGGGGCACAGAATGGCTTTAATTATCAGGGAGAATAAATATGTTTAAATGTTATGACTGCTCTGTCTTGCCAGCATGAGGTTTGGAGACTGTATAGAAAAAAACACACTCAGAGTGTTTTTTCTGTTCTCTTACTCAACAACCATCAACACAGAAGGCTTCTGTGAACAAATGGGTGGGGGTTTCTCCCCACACACCAAGAAAGCGATCAATTTTACAGCAGACATCGCTGGGTATCCTCCAATTCAATTCTGACACTATCTACCTGGAGATAGTGTCAGATCCCATAGGACAAAGGCGCAGTCCCCAAGACTATATACCTCCTTCAGACCCCAGCCACATGTCCAGGCCGCCGGAACTTTTTCTTTTTATTATTATTATTATTTTTAAGGATCTCACTCCGTTATTCAGGCTGGAGTGCAGTGGCACCATCTCAGCTCACTGCAACATCCGCCTCCCAGGTTCAAGCGATTCTTGTGCCTCAGCCTCCTGAGTAGCTGGCATTACAGGCATGCGCCACCACACCCAGCTCATTTTTGTATTTTTAGTAGAGACGGGGTTTCGGCATTTTGGCCAGGCTGGTCTCAAACTCCTGACCTCAACTGATCTGCCCACCTCGGCTTCCCAAAGTGCTGGGATTACAGGCATGAGCCACCGCACCCAGCCCCAGAACTTCTGACCAACCAGCTTCAAGTTGGGGTTCCCACGACCTCCTCCTTTGGTTTGGTTAATTTGCTGGAGCAGCTCACAGAACTTCGGGAAACTTATGTTTACTGGCTTATTACAAAGAATATTACAAGGGACATAGATGAAGAGATGCATTAGGTGAGGTATAGGGGAAGGGACACAGAGCTTCCATGCCCTCCCTGGGTGAGCCACCCTCCAGGAACCTCCCCGTCTTCAGCTATCAGAAAGCTACCTGAACCCAGTCCTCTTGGGCCTTTTATTGGGAGGCTTCATTACATAGACATGATTGACAAGCATGTAGAAATGAGACTGGATGGCCGGGCATGGTGGCTCTCACCTGCAATCCCAGCACTTTGGGAGGCCGAGGCAGGTGGATCACCTAAGGTCAGGAGTTCGATACCAGCCTGGCCAACATGGTGAAACCCCGTCTCTACTAAAAATACAAAAATTAGCCGGGCATGGTGGCATGTGCCTGTAGTCCCAGCTACTTGGGAGGCTGAGGCAGGGGAATCACTTGAACTCAGGAGGCGGAGAATGCAGTGAGCCGAGATCAAAGGGTGTATGATCTCATACTAATAGACAGGTTGGGGAAACCCAGAAAGCTGTGTCTGTTCAGATCCTTCTTGGGCTTTCTGTGCAGCATTCCTTCCTCCAGGGTTTGGGGCAGGACCCCTTCTGAAATGAGGGAGAATTTCTTTATGGCCAACTCCAAGACAGAAAGGTGGGGAAAGACTGGAATCCTGCCTTGGGGAGAAAATAGAGCAAATGAAAAGAGGCAGGAGATCAGAGAGAGAGATTCTGTTTTCTGAGGCTTAAAATTCTAACATTATAACAAGGGCTATGGTAGTTATGAGCCAGGAACCACGGGTGGGAAAAAATTATATATATATATTATATATATATATATCACAGGAACCCTGGTAGAAGAGGAGTCCCCAAAAGGCAGAGAGTAGTAAAGAAATAGAGGACCAAAAGATGAACCTGGCTGTCTTCATCATTTTGCTTTGTGTTGAATCTGATTCACAAACCACATGCAATTAAATAATAGCCCAGGCTGGGTGCACTGGCTCACACCTGTAATCCCAGGACTTCTGGAGGCTGAGGCAGGTAGATCACTTGAGTTCAGAGGTTTAAGAACAGCCTGAGCAACACAGTGAAACCCCATCTCTATGAAAAATAGAAAATTTGGCCAAGCATGGTAGCTCATGCTTGTAATCCCAGCACTTTGGGAGGCCTAGGCGGGTGGATCACTTGAGGTCAGGAGTTTGAGACCAGCCTGCCCAACATGGTGAAACTCCGTCTCTGCTAAAAATACAAAAGTTAGCTGGGCATGGTGGTACATGCCTGTGATCCCAGCTACTCAGGAGGCTCAGGCTGGAGAATCACTTGAACCCGGGAGGCGGAGGTTGCCGTGAGCTGAGATCATGCCACTGCACTCCAGCCTGGGCAACAGAATGAGACTCTGTCTCAAAAAAAAAAAAAAGAAGAAAAAAGAAAAATTAGCCAGGCCTGGTGGCGTGCACCTGCAGTGCCAGCTACTCTGGAGGCTGAGATGGGAAGATCCCTTGGGCCCAGGAGGCAGGCACTGCAGTGAGCCAAGATCACCCTACTGCACTCCAGCCTAGGGGACAGAGTGAGACCTTGCCTAAAAAAGGAAAGAAAGAAAAACAAAAGATAGCCTGATAAAGTATAGCTTTGATGAATTAATTATGCTGTGTCCCTAGGAAGCACCTGCCACATAGTGTGCGTGCTTATATTCATTCATTTATGAATGAATATTTTGAGATGGAATCTCACTATATTGCTCCGACTGTTCTCAAATTCCTGGGCTCAAGCAATCCTCCCGCCTCAGCCTCCCAAGTAGCTGAGAATACAGGTGTGAGCCACCACCTCAGTTGGCAAGAATGAATGAATGATACACCAGCATCTTTTTTGTTGTTGTTTTTGAGGCAGAGTTTCACTCTGTCCCCCAGGCTGGAGTGGAGTGGAGTGACCTCGGCTCACTGCAACCTCTACCTCCTGAGTTCAAGCAATTCTCCAGCCTCAGCCTCCCAAGCAGTTGGGATTACAGGCCCCTGCCACCACACCTGGATAATTTTTGTATTTTCAGTAGACAGAGTTTCACCATGTTGGCCAGGCTGGTCTTGAACTCCTGGCCTCAAGTGATCCACCCACCTTGGCCTCCCAAAGTGCTGTGATTAGAGGCATAAACCACCACACCTGGCAAGAATGAATGAATGATATACCAGCCTCTTGTTACAGGAAGGGGCCAGAGTGAAATGACTAAGAGTTCTGCTTTGGGTTCAGAGCAATCCGGATTTGACCCCAGCTCTACTGCTTGCTGGTTTTGTGACAAATTATTTCATGAAGCATCAGTTTTCTTAGCTATAAAATGGGGTTGATTTTAATATCTACTTCATAGCGTAAATGTTGTGCTCTATTTAAAGTACTTGGCCTGCAGTAATGGCAGGTATCATTACTGTTAATTATCACTGTTGGGAGAAGGAATACATGGGTTCTAGTTCAATTTTGACATTTAATGAAAGTGTGATGAGGAGGAACAGTGTCCGTTCAGCTCTCTGCACCTCAATTTCTACAACTATTAAATAAACAACTAGGCCTAGGTGATTTGAAATTAGATCTATTGGATAGGAATTGTGTTTATGTGCCTGGCACTGGAACAGAAATGTGGCTTAGCAATAAAGGGGTTTATTTTTCTCATGTACTGAGAAGTGTGGGTTAGGTGCAATGGTTCACACCTGTAATCCCAGCACTCTGGGAAGCCAAGGTGGGAGAATTGCTTGAAACCAGGGGTTCGAGACCAGCCTGGACAACAAAGTGAGACCCTATGTCTTTAAAAAAAAACAAATAGCTGGGCATGGTGGTGCCCCTGTGGTCCCAGATACTCAGGAGGCTGAAGCAGGAGGATTACTTGATCCCAGGAGGTCAAGGCTGCAGTGAGTTATGATCACACTACTGCACTCCAGCCTGGGAAACAGAGCAAGACCTCATCTCTAAAAAAAAAAGTTTAAAAATTTGTACTTTTTTTTACATGCGGTGGCTCATGCCTGTAATCTCAGCACTTTGGGAGGCTGAGGCAGGCGAATCACTTGAGGTCAGGAGTTCAAGGCCAGCCTGGCCAACATGGTGAAACCTCGTCTCTACAAAAAATACAAAAATTTGCCAGGCTACTCAGGAGGCTGAGGCAGGAGAATTGCCTGAACCCAGGAGGCAAAGGCTGCAGTGAGCCAAGATCATGCCACTGTACTCCAGCCTGGGCAACAGAGAGAGACTCTGTCTCTAAATAAATAAATAAATAAAAATTTTTAAAAAGCAAAAAAACAAGAAGCATGGAGGGAGGAAGTGCAAAGTTTGTACAGCAGCTCCACCCATGATGCCCTCAAGGACTGAAGCCCCTTCTGCAGCCTTTTTCTCTACCATCCTTAGCAGGTGAACGTTCGTTCTCTTCTTTTCAAAATGTCTGGAGGAAGACTGGTGAAGGGCAAATTGTGAACCCAGGCAAACTGTCCCCTTAGAAAGAGCATTCCTGGAAGCCACAAGTCTCATTGGCTAAAACTGAGTCACAGGCCCACCCTTAGCCGCAAAGAACACTGGGAAACTTTGAGCACTATGTCTGCACAGGAAATGGAGCTTTTGCTGGTGTGAGAAAGAAGAAGATTAGAGACTGAGAGCCAGACAAATAGCAGAGTCCACTACCTAAGGCATCAGGAGATAATAATTGTATCACTGTAAACCCATGTGGATTTCTACAGGCAGATAAAACTACAGATATAAAATATAAGTTCAGCCAGGTGCTGTGTCTCACGCCTGTAATCCCAGCACTTTGGGAGGCCGAGGCAGGAGGATCACGAGGTCAGGAGATCGAGACCATCCTGGCTAACGTGGTGAAACCCCGTCTCTACTAAAAATACAAAAAATTAGCCGGGCATGGTGGCGGGCGCCTGTAATCCCAGCTACTTGGGAGGCTGAGGCAGGAGAATGGCGTGAACCTGGGAGGTGGAGGTTACAGTGAGCTGAGATCGCGCCACTGCACTCCAGCCTGGGTGACATAGCGAGACTCCATCTCAAAAAAAAAAATATATATATACACACATTTAGAATATATATATGTATATTTAGAACATATATATGTATATTTAGAACATATATATATGTATATATATAAGTTCTAGGCCAGAGGCACTAAATTATAAAAAAAAATCTTGCCCTTTGACTATGAGTCATTTAGAAAAATATCTTCCTTCTGTTTCTAGAATCCCATTGTCTTAAATGAAAGATTCTGTTTTCGATTTCTTGCCTAGCTACCAAGACAGAATTCTCTGCAGGAAAACACTCCTTCTCCTGAGAAAACTCCTCAGGGGTTAGATGCAGGGAGTTATGTTGTGATTTGTGTAGGGGTGGCTTTGGTGAGCTCATCCTGGCATTTTAAAAATAATGTGAATGGTGTATCCCTTTGTGATCATCATCACTTTTTCCCTGCGAGTCCCAATCAATGCGGGTGTGACTGCTGTATGAAGTCTCAGGAAGCCCACCCCAGTGGAGAAGAAGGCTTGCAGGAGGCAGGAGATGCTGTCCGATGACCACGTGAATGAAATCATCATACAGGTTGAGAATGTTTCCTCTGGGGTCCAAAGCCACCCATCCTCAAATCAGATTTTTCAAGAAAAGGTGCTGCTAGACTCAAGCATCAACATGGTTTTGTCAATATCTGACATTGATGTGATAGACTCTCAGACAGTCAGCAAAAGGAATGACCAAAAGGGTAACCAGGTGCTGCGGTTTTCAACATCTTTGAATGAGTCGATGTCTCAGACCCTTCATAGCCTAGAATGCATGGGCATAGACACTCCTGGTTCTTCACATGAAACTGTTCAAGGTAGTGAAATGCTGGGGAAGAGAAGTAGGGGAGTAGGAAAAAAGGCTTCCTCGTTGTCCACAGCATATTTTACTTTTTAGATATCAAGTGGGGCCAGGCGTGGTGGCTCACACCTATAATCCTACGGCTTTGGGAGGCCAAGATAAGAGGAACACTTGAGCCCAGGTGTTCGAGACTAGCCTGGGCAACAAAGGGAGACCTCATTGCTACAAAAAAATTTAAAAAATAATAACCAGGCATGATGGTGCACACCTGTGGTCCCAGCTACTCAGGAGGCTAAGGTGGGAAGATCACTTGAGCCTAGGAGTTGGAGGCTGCAGCAAGCTCTGATGGCACCACTGCAACCCAGCCTGGGTGACAGAGTAAGATCCTGTCTCTAAAAGAAGGACATTGAGTAATATGGAAGGGCGGAAGGTTTTGTGGTTGAACTAAGGAAGCCAAGGACAAAGGAAGGGATCAATTTAAGACATCCCTAACAAGAGCTTATTTTTATCAAGCTTATTTTGTATGCCTTGTGCTCTGCAGAGCACCTGCTTTTTGTTATCCATCGAATTTTTATGTACTCCCTGCACTCCACACCTTTGAGGTGGCATTTCCGTTTGCTTGATGAGGAAACTGAAGCTCAGATAAATTTAGTGACCTGGAAGATCTGGGGCCCAAATACAGGTCTATCTGATTCCCAAGACTACATTCTTTTTTTTTTTTTTTTTTTTTTTTTTTTTTTTTTGAGACAAAGTCTTGCTGTCACCCAGGCTGGAGTGTAGAGGCACAATCTTGGCTCACTGCAACCTCTGCTTCCCAGGTTTAAGTGATTCTCATGCCTCAGCCTGCTGAGTAGCTGGGATTACAGGTGCATGTCACCACACCCATCTAATTTTTGTATTTTTAGTAGAGATGGGGTTTTACCATGTTGGCCAACCTTGTCTCGAACTCCTGGCCTCAGGTGATCTGCCCACCTTGACTTCCCAAAGTGCTGGGATGGATTACGGGTGTAAGCCACCACATCCAGCCTCAAGCCTGCATCCTTAATCGCTACACTGTCTCACTTTGGGCTAATTCCTCCTCACCCTGGTCAGGCAACAGATAGGATGTCTCTTGTTGGCAAGATCATCAGGAAACCAGATCTTAGCTGAGACCTTCCAGCCTCTCTGCTCCTGAGGCCAATGGAGATGCTGTTTCTTTTAATTTAATTTAATTTAATGTATTTATTTGAGACAGAGTTTCACTCTTGTTGCCCAGGCTGAAGTGCAATGGCATGATTTTAGCTCACTGCAGCTTCTGCCTCCTGGGTTCAAGCAATTATCCTGCCTCAGCCTCCTAAGTAGCTGGGATTACAGGCACCTGACACCACGCCTGGCTAATTTTTTTGTATTTTTAGTAGAGACAGGGTTTCACCATGTTGGCCAGGCTGGTCTTGAACTCCCGACCTCAGGTGATCTGCCTGGCTTGGCCTCCCAAAGTGCTGGGATTACAGGTGTGAGCCACCATGCCCGGCCCAGAGATGCTGTTTCTGTTTCACCCCCACAGTATTCCAGGCATAAAGTCAAGCAGCTCTCAATGATTTCAGGGAGAAGAAAAATATCCCTTTACTCACACAAAGCATTTAGTAGGTTTAGCCCCTTTACTGAAGAAGATTGGGGCATCACCTCTCACACTGCTGGCTCCCTGGATCTCTGTATATTTTCCTCTTCCATCTTTCTTCCTCTCAATCTACTCACCCTTCCTACCCAGGAAGAGGCACAAATTCCTCATCCTCAGCAGAGAGATTTGGTGGTCCTCTTTTGGGAATTCCCCTTACACCTCAAGTATGTCATTACGATGAACATTGTATTTCCCGGCGGGCCATTCTAACCCTGTGCTGTGACCAAGGAGCCAGCTTGCTCCCTCTGTCCCTCAGCCACCCTCGGCACGGTATCGCTGCCCCGCCTGCTGGCTTCTTTGCTACAGGATAGCAATAGCACTTCTCACATCACATGCAGACACAACAATAATCAGAGGAAGAGACATCTGTCTTTTTCTTGTTTTTTGCTTTTTTTTTTTTTGAGAAGGAAGAAATATTTTCCGAGAAATTTCTCAGCACACACCTCTCAGAGGACATTGGCTAATGCTGTGTCACATGCCTGTGCTTAAACCAGTCACCTGCAAGGGGACAGGACCGTGAGGATTGGTTCACTCAGACTAAAACTTGCTCTTTGGGCCTAGAGATAGGCTCCACCTCAAGGAAGCTCAGGGCCATGTGAGGGAGGCAGGTAGATTCCTAAACACAATTGGAATTCCATTAACAAGGAGGAAATGAATTTGGGGTAGACAATAGCATCTGCCACATTGACTGCAAATGTGAATATGAGTTAGCAGGAGAAAAGGAGGGTGTACTTCTAGGAAGGTGGAAGGGCATTCAGCGATAGTCAAGGAATGTGAGAAGTCTCTCGAACCTGGGGTCAGGGGCAAAAGGAAGTGATGTGGGATATTAAAGCAAGAGAGCCAGGCGTGGTGGCTCACACCTGTAATCCTAGCAGTTTGGGAGGCTGAGGTGAGAAATCTCTTGAGGTCAGAAGTTTGAGACCACCTTGGGCAACATAGCAAGACCCCATCTCTACAAATAATAATTTTAAAAAATTAGCTGGTTGTCGTGGTGTGTGCCTGTAGTCCCAGCTACTCTGGAGGCTGAGGTGGGAGGATCGCTTGAGCCCAGGAGTTCAAGACCAGCCTGGGCAATGTAGTGAGACCTCAGCTTTACAAAAAAATAAAAAAATTAGCCAGACATGGTGGTGCATTGTGGTAATCACAACACTTTGGGAGGCTGAGGTGGGAGGATCGCTTAAGTCCAGGAGATCAGTGTTGCAGTGGGCTGTGATTGTGCCACTGCACTCTAGCCTGGGTGACACAGCAAGATCCTGTCTCAAAAAAAAAAAAAAAAAAAAATAGAAGAGGTAGGGTGACCAAACACGCAGGATCTTATTGACTTTGCTAAATGTTTTTTGTTACAGGAAAGAGAAAAACACTGAATTGGAATAAAGTGCAGCCATTATTCATTTGCTCTCACTTTGAGCTTTAACACATATATGTGTTTTTTTTGTTGTTTTCCTTTGTGATCTTTGAGATCCCCAACTCCATAAACTTCTTCCCTTGTGTTACGTGCTCTGACTTCAGCACCACATTTCAGTGTTACGATTCTGTTAAAGAAAAAAGAAATTAAATTCCATTAATTTCTTTCATAGGACAGAAGTTAATCGCATCCCTTATACCCATGACATCCAGAGACAGAATTAAAGCCATCAGGAACCAGCCAAGGACCATGGAAGAGAAAAGGAACCTTAGGTATGGACTAAAGGCTTTTCTTCTTTCTCAGATTTCATGCGAACCTCAATCCTCTACTTTTGCCCCATCTCAAAAAGATAAGAAATAAATAAGCACAATAGAAGAGACAAATATTCCTGACAGAAAAATTTCAAATGCCCTCTGTAGGTACTCCTTTCTCCAGGGGCTACAGCTTAATTCCTGCTCCTGGGCTGGAGTGTGGGCTCTGCTTGGTGAGCTGCTTTCCAAAGAGTAGGGCGTGGAAGGAAGAGAGGGGTGTAACTTTCCAGTGGAGAGTCTGCCTAATACTGCCTTGGCCAAGACTCAAGGTTAACATCCCCAAAGATAAGTCATGTGATGGGGGAAACATGTCTCCTCTGTGCTACTCTCTCCTAAAACCCACAACCCCAGTCTAAACAGCGAAAAACATTAGGCAAATCCCAACTGAAGGATATTCTACAAAATACTCAACCAGTACCCCTTGAAACTGTCAAAGTCATCAAAAACAAGGAAAGTCTGAGAAACTATCATGGAGTGGAAAGTTCTACAGAGACGTGACAGGCTGGGTGTGGTGGCTCACGCCTGTAATCCCAGCATTTTGGGAGGCCAAGGTGGTGGGATTAGTTGAGCTCAGGAGTTCGAGACCAGCATGGGCATCATAGTGAGACTCCATCTTTACAAAAAATGAAAATTAAAAAAGAGAGACATGACAAGTAAATGCAATGTGGTATCCTGGACGAGATCCTGGAATAGAAAATGGACATCGGTGGAAAAACTGGTAAAATCTGAATAGTCTGGAGTTTAGGTAATAGTAACGTACCAGTACTGGTATCTTAGTTTTGATAAACCTACCATGGAAATGTAAAATATTAACGGGGAAACTAGCGAGTGGTATATGGAAGTTTTCTTTACTGTCTTTGCAAGTTTACTGTAAATCTCAAACTATGATAAATAAAATCTTTACTTAAAAAATAAAGATCAGACTAGTGCAGTGGCTCATGCCTGTAATCCCAGCACTTTCGGAGGCTTAGGCGGGCAGATCATGAGGTCAGGAGTTTGAGACCAGCCTGGCCAACATGGTGAAACCTTGTCTCTACTAAAAATACAAAACTTAGCCGGGTGTGGTGGCATGCGCCTGTAATCCCAGCTACTGGGGAGGCTGAGACAGGAGAATCGCTTGAACCTGGAAGGCAGAGGTTTCAGTGAGCCAAGATCACACCACTGCACTCCAGCCTGGGTGACAGAGCAAGACTCTGTATCGGAAAAAAAAATAAACTAAAATAAAAAAGAAAAAATACATAAAGACCTTAGGAGTTTTATAAGCTCAGGAATTCAAAACCCGAGGGTAAGGGCTGTTTTAGCCTTCAGAGTTTACATTAATTGTTGCTTAATCTTTTTTTTTCTTTTTTTCAATTTGATATAGTTGGCAGAAAGTAGTAGAGTGGATGCAACAACAATTACTAGTAAGTGATTCATGGATGTAGGATTTTCTGAGGTTTCAAAGACAAATTTCAAATCCTGGCAGGGTGGAATAGATTTGTCAACAAGTAAATTACAAATGGCAGAAAGTAAATCAGGCCAAGTCAAAATAGAGATTGCAATGGGAGGACCAGAAAGGTCTGCCCTCCCTGACTTTGCTGGGGAAAAATGGAGAGAGGGGGCATTTGAGCTGGGCCTTGAAAGACAATTGACCATGACATTGGGATGGGCCTTCGAGGTGGACCAAAGAAAGCTAGGAAAGAACCAGAACAAAGCAGATGTGGTGAGTTCATGGAAGGGTAAGGAGACCAACTGTGACTGTGTCTTTCTGAAAACACTTCCATTTTGAACTCTGTATGGCTGCCTCTGTCACTGAATATGGGCTCCAAAGACCTTATAGCAAGATTTCTTAATATCAGTACAAGTAACATCTGAGGGCTGGATCTTTCTCTGTTGTGGGGGCTGTTTTGTTCATTGTAGGGTGTGTAGCAGCATCTCTGATCTCTATGTACTTGATGCCAATATCACCCCCTCTCCACTCCTTAGTTTCACAACCAGAAAAGTTTCCAGACATTGCCAATTGTGTGGGGGCAAAATCCCCCTAGGTTGAGAATGTGTATTAGTCTGCTCTCACTCTGCTAATAAAGACATACTTGAGACTGGGTGATTTATAAAGGAAAGAGGTTTAATGGACTCACTGTTCCACACAGCAGGGGAGGCCTCACAATCACGACAGAGGACGAAGGAAGAGCAAAGGCACATCTTACGTGGTGGTAGGCAAGACGGCATGTGCAGGGGAACTGCCCTTTATAAAACCATCAGATCGGCTGGGTGTGGTGGCTCATGCCTGTAATCCCAGCACTTTGGGAGGCCAAGGCAGGTGGATCACCTGAGGTCAGGAGTTCAAGACCAGCCTGGCCAACATGGTGGAAACCCCATCTCTACTAAAAATACAAAACTTAGCTGGGCATGGTGGGCGCCTGTAATCCCAGCTACTCGGGAGGCTGAGGCAGGAGAATCGCTTGAACCTGGGAGGCAGAGGCTGCAGTGAGCCGCCATCAGGCCACTGCACTCCAGCCTGGGTGACAGAGTGAGACGCCATCTCAAAAAAAAAAAAAAAAGAAAAAGGAAGAAAGAAATGAGGTCTCGTTCAGTTGCCCAGGCTGGACTGCAATGGTGTGATCATAGCTCACTGCAGTCTCAAACTTTTGGGCCCAAGTAATCCCCCCACCACAGCCTCTGGAGTAGCTGGGACTATACAGGCAGGCACTACCAACACACCCAGCTATTTTTTGTTAATTTTTTTCTTAATAGAGACAAGGTCCCACTATTTTGCTCAGGCTGGTCTTGAACTCCTGGCCTCAGTGATCCTCTTGCCTCAGCTTCCGAAGTGTTGGGATTACAGGCATGAGCCACCATGTAACTATTTTTTGAATGAATGAGTTGCAACATTTGTATCTCTCATTTTCTCTTGCTGTTCCCTACAGGAAAATAGTTGACAAAGAAAAAAGCAAACAGACCCATCGTATCCTTCAGCTCAATTGCTGTATTCAGTGTCTGAACTCCATTTCCCGGGTAAGTCAGTAAAACAGGCACAGCAAGAGGGTGAAAACAGGGAGGGAGGAGAGTGAGGATGAAAGGGGACTCAGGGGGAAGATGAACCAAAAATCAGAGCAATTTCATTGCCCAGAGCCAACGGTTAGTACAGGTGTGGAAAAGCGAGGTGGGCATGGGGAAGAACTAAGAGGTTGCTGAGTTCATTGGCCAACTTGGCCATTGTGAGTGGCACCTTCAACAGCAAACCTGGGAAGGTCATAATAGCTCCACCTTAGAGTTGACATAACATTTGTAAACATGCCTAGCATGGTGCCTGCACTTAACAATACTCCAGACATGGTGGCTGTTTCTGTTATTATGGCACCTGCTCAGTCGATATTTGTTGAGTCAACAGCAAGCCACACCTGCTTTGAATCCTGATTCCAGGCTTATCGGAGATCCAAGAACAGCCTGTCGGAAATTCTGAATTCCATCAGCCTGTGGCAGAAGACGCTGAAGATCATTGGAGGCAAGTTTGGAACCAGCGTCCTCTCCTATTTCAACTTTCTGAGATGGCTTTTGAAGTTCAACATTTTCTCATTCATCCTGAACTTCAGCTTCATCATAATCCCTCAGTTTACCGTGGCCAAAAAGAACACCCTCCAGTTCACTGGGCTGGAGTTTTTCACTGGGGTGGTAAGTCCTCCACTTCCCCTACCCCAAGTGCACCAATCACCTCGGAAACCCAGGGACGTGCCTTGCCGGTCACCCACTCACACCTCTCATTTTGCCTGGGGGTCAACTGATGGGGAAAGTGGATGTTTGAAATGTTTTCCTGGCTGAGTGTGGTGACTCATGCCTGTAATCCCAGCAAGCTGGGAGGCCAAAGCAGTGGAGACCAGCCTGGGCAACATGGCAAAACCCCGTCTCTACAAAAATGCAAAAATTAGCAGGGCATGGTGGCACACACCTGTAATTCTGGCTACTCAGGAGGCTAAGGTAAGAGGATTGCTTGAGCCCAGGAGGCAGAGATTGCAGTGAAGCAAGATTCCCCCACTGCACTCCAGCCTGGGCAACAGAGCGAGGCCTTGTCTCAATCATCAATCAATCAATCAATAAAGTGTTTTCCTGCAAAGTAACATACACACATCGTAGTAGAATTTCTGTCTCCAGAGGCAACCATCTTGAACAGTTTGTTTTTATCCACACACTTTTTTGGCAAACATATGGACACTTCTGTGCACGTACAGAGGCATTCTTTTCTTTTCTTACAAAAGATGAATTATTCATTGTATATTATCTACAACTTGCTTTTTTTTTACTTAGCAATATGTGGTGGGCATTTTCTTGTGTTGGTGTTTATAGATCTATGTTTTCTTTCTTTTTAATTTTTATTTCTACAAAATACAATGTTCCTTTTGAAAAATTCCTACTATAGAAGAAAACTAAGAGAAAGTTCATTTTATATTTTTTTCTTTGTCCAACTCCCCATTTTGAGATATATCTTTGTAGACTGTTTTTTTCTTCCTGTACAAACGTTGATAGATACATACTTGATAAAAAAAAAACCAAATAGATGACAGGCACATAGATTATTATGCTTTTAAAAATAAACAGAGGATAGGATTGTACTATAAGCCCTTCTTTCTTTCTTTTCTTTTCCTTTCCTTTTGTCTTTCTTTCTTTCTTTCTTTCTTTCTTTCTTTCTTTCTTTCTTTCTTTCTTTCTTTTCCTTCCTTCCTTCCTTCCTTCCTTCCTTCCTTCCTTCCTTCCTTCCTTCCTTCCTCCCTCCCTCCCTCCCTCCCTTCCTGGACCCCAAAATGTCTTTCATAACTTGCTTATTCAGACTAGGATTCAGTCAACAATCAGATTTTACATTCTGTGTCCGCCCCCGCCTTAAATCTCTATTAATCTAAAATAATCAGCCGGGTACGGTGGCTCACTCCTGTAATCCCAGCACTTTGGGAGGCCGAGGCGGGTGGATCACTTGAAGTCAGAAGTTGGAGACCAGCCTGGCCAACATGGCAAAACCCCATCTCTACTTAAAATACAAAAATTAGCCGGATGTGGTGGCAGAAGCCTGTAATCCCCACTACTAGGCAAGCTGAGGCAGGGAGAATTGCTTGAACCCGGGAGGTTGCAGTGAGCTGAGATCTTGCCATTGCACTCCAGCCTGAGTGACAGAGCGAGACTCCATCTCAAAAAAATAAATAAATAAATAAATAATCTCCCCAGCCCAGCCCCTTTTTTCTTGACATTGGCTTATTGCAGAAATTGGGCCTACTGCTATGTAGATTCCAACATCCTACCTTCTGGAATTGTCTGATGATTTCCTAGTGGTTTCTAGAATTTGTTTCTCTGGCTTCTTATTTCCTGTGCACTGAAATGTAGGCCTATAGGCTTGATTCGTTTCCTATTAAGCATGTTTAGCCATAATACTGGTGACAGAGGCACATAATACTGGTGAAACGAGAGGCCTGGCTGTCGTGTTCTTGCTGATGTTTCACTTGATCACTGGGCCAGGTGGTAACAGCTCAATGTCTCCATTGTAAAGTTACACTGGATTTCTTTTCAAGTCTGAGAGCCCAGTGACACAATGTCCAAATTCTCAGTGCCCCTTTCCTGGAAAACAAAATGTCTAAACTGACTGGCCCAGGCTTCTTGTATTCAGGAGAGGTCAACTCTCATGACCATAATCGTTTACCTTTTTTTTCAGGAGATCCACCTGACCTATGGTTTATTGTACCTTTCAGGGTTATTTTAGGGACACAGTGATGTACTATGGCTTTTACACCAATTCCACCATCCAGCACGGGAACAGCGGGGCATCCTACAACATGCAGCTGGCCTACATCTTCACAATCGGAGCATGCTTGACCACCTGCTTCTTCAGTTTGCTGTTCAGGTATGGAAGCATCTACATTTCCTGATTCTGAGGGTCATGTTAGATTTCAGCAAAAATCCAAGAAATTCAAAAATTACCCAGGTAACAGTTTCTCTGCAGTCCTCTCCTCTCCTCTCCTCTCTTTTCTTTTCTTTCTTAGATAGAGTCTCGCTCTGTCACCCATGCTGGAGTACAGTGGCGCAATCTGGGCTCACTGCAACCTCCACCTCCCAGGTTCAAGTGATTCTCCTTCCTCAGCCTCCCGAGTAGCTAGGATTACAGGCACCTGCCACCACGCCCCGCTAATGTTTGTATTTTTAATAGAGATGGGGTTTGACCATGTTGGCCAGGCTGGTCTCAAACTCCTGACCTCAGGTGGTCCACCCGCCTCGGCCTCCCATAGTCCTGGGATTACAGGCGTGAGCCACCGTGCCCAGCCTGCAGTTTTGACTTTCCATTGCTGTCCAATTATTCCTTGTCCTGCAATATAAAAATAGGAGTTTGGACAGAGGAAGAGAGGTTTTTCTGTGCTTTTAAAGAAATTGGTCAGCCTGATAATAAGGGTGCAGTTACCCCAGCAATGATATGAAGGGAAGAACATGATAGATAACTATCAGAGAGGAGGTACAAATGGAAAATACACATATGAAAGGCTGGGCACGGTGCTCATGCCTGTAATCTTAGCACTCTGGGAGTCTGATGCAGGCTGATCACTTGAGTCCAGGAGTTCGAGACTGGACTGGGCAACATACCAAAACCCCATCTCTACTAAAAATACAAAAAATTAGCCTGGCTTGGTGGCGCACGCCTGTGTTCCCAGCTATTCGGGAGGCTGAGGTGGGAGAATCACCTGAGCCCATTAGGTCGAGGCTGCAGTGAGCTGAGATCAGTCTACTACACTCCAGCCTGAGCAACTGGAGATCCTGTTTCAAAAAAAAAAGAGAGAGAAAGAAAGAAAAGCAACATGCAATCTCTGTATTAGTTTGCTAGGGCTGCCTAGCAAAGTACAGCAGACCATTGGTTTAAACAACAGAAATTTATTTTCTCATGGTTCTGGAGGCCTGAAGTCCAAGATCAAGGTGTCAGCAGGCTTGGTTTCCTCTGAGGCCTCTCTCCTTGGCTTGTAGACGGCCACTGTCTCCTGCCTGTGTCTTCACATGGTTATCCCTCTGTGTCTTAATCTCCCTTTTTTATAAAGATGCCATTTGTACTGAATTGGGACACAATTTAATGACCCCATTTTAAAAAAATGTAATTACCACTTTAATTAATTAATTAATTTATTTTGAGATGGAGTCTCACTCTGTTGCCCAGGCTGGAGTGCAGTGGTGTGATCTCAGCTCACTGCAACCTCTGTCCCCCAGGTTCAAGGGATTCTCCTGCCTCAGCCTCCCTAGTAGCTGGGACTATAGGTATGTGCCACCACGTCCGACTAATTTTTGTAATTTTATTAGAAACGGGGTTTCACCATGTTGGCCAGACTGGTCTCAAACTCCTGACCTTAAGTGATCCACCCGCCTCAGCCTCCCAAAGTGCTGGGATTACAGGCGTGAGCCACTGCGCCCGGCCTGTAATTACCACTTTAAAGACCCTACCTCCAAATACAGTCACATTCTAAGGTACTAGGGGGTTAGGACTTCAACATACGAATTTTGGGAAGTACACAGTCCAACCCATAGCAACCTGACTGCCAGCATACTAATTCAAACTAAAGTGAGATTTTGTTTTGTTCTGTCAAAGTAGGAAATGATTTTATTATTATTATTATTATTAATATTTTGAGACAGAGTCTTGCTCTGTCACCCAGGCTGGAGTGCAGTGGTGTGATCTTGGCTCACTGCAACCTCCGCTTCTCGGGTTCAAGTGATTCTCCTGTCTCAGCCTCCTGAGTAGCTGGGATTACAGGCTCATGCCAACACACCCAGCTAATTTTTCTATTTTTAGTAGAGACAGGGTTTCACCATGTTGGCCAGGCTGGTCTTGAACTCCTGACCTCAGGTAATCCCCCCTGCTGGGCCTCCCAAAGTTCTGGGATTATAGGTGTTAGCCATCATGCCCGGCCAGAAATGATTCTAAAGTTGCTGTTACTGAGTGGTGGCAAATTTCAGAACAGCAGCATCCGTCCATCTTGTGCAGCATTTTTGTGTGTGTGCTCAGGGCTTCCTGGGCCTGAGACAGCCCATGACCATAACAGTGCCTTCATCAAGTGCTTGCTGCTGTAAGCACTGCATAGACTCTTTGGAAGGCTGAATAATCTCCCCCGACCCCCCCCAGAGAAGTCTACATCCTAATCCCCAGAACTGGTGAATATGTAACTTCGCATAACAAAAGGGACTTTGCAGATGTGACTGAGGATTTTTAAATGGGGAGATTATCCTGGATTATCCCAGTGGGCCCAATGGAATCACAAGGGTCTTTATAAGAGGCAGGCAGGAGGTCAGAGAGTAGCAGGGAGATGGGAAGATGCTACCCTGCTGGCTTTGAAGTTGGAGGAGGTGGCCACAAGCCAAGGAAAGAGGACACCCTCTAGAAGCTGGAAAAGACAAGGAAATGGATTCTTCCCTAGAGCTTCCAGAAGGAACATAGCCCTGCCAACACCTTCATTTTAGCTCTGTGGACTCATTTTCTGATTAGCTGGGTGTGGTGGCATGTGCCTGTAGTTCCAGCTACTTTGGAGGCTGTGGCGTGAGGATGGCTTGAGCCCAGGAGGTGGAGGCTGCAGTGAGCTATGACTACACCACTGCACTCTAGCCTGGGCCACACAGCAAGACCTCATCCCTAAACAAACAGAAAACACAAAAACAAGAAAAGACATTTTCTGACTTCTGATCTCTAGAAGGGTAAAAGAACAAATTTGTGTTGTTTTTAGCCGCTAAGTTGGTGGTCATTTGCTATAGCAGCAACAGGGAACTGGGTGGATTACTTGAGGTCAGGAGTTCAAGACCAGCCTAGCCAACATGGTGAAACCCTGCCTCTACTAAAAATACAAAAATTGGCCGGGCGTGGTGATGGGCACCTGTAATCCCTGTTACTTGGGAGACTGAGGCAGGAGAATCGCTTGAACCTTGGAGGTGGAGGTTGCAGTGAGCAGAGATCACACCACTGCACTCCAGCCTGGGAGACAAGAGTGAAACTCTGTCTAAAAAAAAAAAAAAAAATTCTGTGAGGTGAGTTTTATTGTTATTCCCTCTCTACAGATATGGAAACTGAGGCTGAGAATCAGAACCATTCACAAGACAAAAATCCCCCAGTTGGCAGATCCAGGGTTGCAAGCCAGGCCTGTGCAGCCCCAAAACCAGTGCTTGTTTAACCACTGTGTGGTGACCACACCGCTCCAGGCCAACAGCTTGGGGCTAAGTCTTCACGTTGCCTTTCACCATTAATAATAGGGCTGCCCTTTGTTGAAGCCCTGCACTCCCAGTGACGGCCATAATAACCTTCAGGTGTTCTGCTTTCTGCCTTCTCTAGCATGGCCAAGTATTTCCGGAACAACTTCATTAATCCCCACATTTACTCCGGAGGGATCACCAAGCTGATCTTTTGCTGGGACTTCACTGTCACTCATGAAAAAGCTGTGAAGCTAAAACAGAAGAATCTTAGCACTGAGATAAGGGTAAGGCGAGCTCACTTTACTCATTTGCCATCGGCTGGTCTCCTTCCCTTCTCCAGTATACCTGTAACTTTTCTTTTTTTTTTTTTTGAATTGGAGTCTCACTCTGTCGCCCAGGCTGGAGTGCAGTGGCGCAATCCCGGCTCACTGCAGGCTCCGCCTCCCGGGTTCACGCCATTCTCCTGCCTCAGCCTCCCGAGTAGCTGGGACTACAGGCGCCTGCCACCATGCCCGGCTAATTTTTTGTATTTTTAGTAGAGACGGGGTTTCACTGTGTTAGCCAGGATGGTCTCAATCTCCTGACCTCGTGATCCACCCACCTCAGCCTCCCAAAGTGCTGGGATTACAGGCGTAAGCCACCGCGCCCAGCTGTTTTTTTTTTTTTTAACGGAATCTCACTCCGCCGCCCAGGCTGGAGTGCAGTGGCATGATCTTGGCTCACTGCAACCTCTGCCTCCCGGGTTCAGGCGATTCTGCTACATCAGCCTCCCAAGTAGCTGGGATTACAGGCACCTGCCACCTCACTTGGCTAATTTTTGAATTTTTTAGAGATGAGGTTTCACTATATTGGCCAGGCTGGTCTCAAACTCCTAGCCTCAAGTGATCCACCCGCCTTGGCCTCCCAAAGTACTGGGATTACAGGCGTGAGCCAGCCAAGGCAATGATTTTCAACCCAGAGAAATCTGGCCCCTCAGGGGGACATTTGACAACCTCTAGAGACTTTTTTGATTGTTACAATTGGGAAGAGGGGTGCTCTTGGTATCTAGTGGGTAAGAGGCCAGTGATGCTGCTAAAAATCCTACAATGCGTAGAACAGCACCTGCAGCAGAGAATTATGCAGCCCACCATGTCAATAGTGCAGAGGTTGAGAAACCCTGGTCTATAGACACAAACTTATTAAAAAAAAAAAAAAAAAAAAAAAAAAAAGCAGCTGGGCATGGTGGCTCATGCCTCTAATCCCAGCAATTTGGGAGGACGAGGCAGGCATATCATGAGGTCAGGAGTTCACGACCAGCTTGGCCAACATGATGAAACCCCATCTCTACTAAAAAAAGGACAAAAAAGTAGCCGGGCGTGGTGGCGGGCACCTGTAATCCCAGCTACTCAGGAGGCTGAGGCTGGAGAATCGCTTGAACCCAGGAGGCAGAGGTTGCAGTGAGCCAAGATCGCGCCACTGCACTCCAGCCTGGGCAACAAGAGTGAAACTCCATCTCCAGAAAAAAACAAAGAGCAAGCTGATTTTATAAATAAAGGGGCTTTAAATTTTTTTTTTTTATGATTTTCGAGACAAGGTCTTGCTCTGTCACCCAAGCTGGAGTGCAGTGGTGCAATCATAATTCACTGCAGTGTCGACCTCCTGGGATCCAGTTAGCCTCTCCCACCTCAGCCTGCTGAGTAGTGGGGACTATGGGTGCACACCACCATGCCCAACTAATTTTTAAATTTTTTGTAGAGAGAGAATCTCACTATGTTGCCCAGGCTGGTCTTGAACTCCTGGGCTCAAGTGATCCTCCCACCTCGGCCTCCCAACATGCTGGAAATTCAGGTGTGAGCCACCAAACCCAGCCAAATAAAGGGGCTTCAACAAGAGGGTTGCAGATGTGAGCTTCTTTCTCAGTGTAGATACCCAACCTTATTCTTCAAGAAAGAATTTTGTGACCTCAGTGTGCTTTTCTTAAGAACATGGTCCCGATCTATTAATTCCAACTGTTTCTGAAAGATGGAAGCAGTGTTTGGAGATTCTTGGCCCATTTCAGAGTCCTCTATGGGTCTCCCATAATCCATGTTCATCATGAATGTTCCCCCTCTCTCTCACCTGTGGATTTGGGCTGGATTCATGTCTCTGGATGTGGCAAGCATTCCCTGGGGATCTTTGCTAGCAGTGGAGAGGGATCTCTGGATAAACTTGACTTTCATTTATTTTTATTTATTTGTTTATTTATTTATTTGTTGTTTGAGACAGAGTCTCACTCTGTCGCCCAGGCTGGAGTGCAGTGGTGCCATCTCTCCTCACTACAACCTCCACCTCCTGGGTTCAAGTGATTCTCCTGCCTCAGCCTCCCGAGTAGCTGGGATTACAGGCATGCACCACCACGCCCGGCTAATTTTTGTATTTTTGGTAGAGGCGGGGTTTCACCATGTTGTCCAGGCTGGTCTCAAACTCCTGACCTCAAGTGATCCACCCGCCTTGGCCTCCCAAAGTGCTGGGATTACAGGCGTGAGCCACCATGCCCAGCCATAAACTTGACTTTCTTATGTTTCTAGGAGAACCTGTCAGAGCTCCGTCAGGAGAATTCCAAGTTGACGTTCAATCAGCTGCTGACCCGCTTCTCTGCCTACATGGTAGCCTGGGTTGTCTCTACAGGAGTGGCCATAGCCTGCTGTGCAGCCGTTTATTACCTGGCTGAGTACAACTTAGAGGTAACCAACACCAGGGTCCAGGGCAGAGAGAACCAGGTGAAGGGATGAGATGCTGGAGGGGAAGGGTGGTGTGCAGCCTACGGTTCAACCCAGGATCTATGGCCAGCAGCATCAGCACTAGCAGAGAACTTGTTAAAAATGCAGGGGTGAGGCACAGTGGCTTACACCTGTAATCCCAACACTCTGGGAGGCCGAGGCAGGAGGATCACCTGAAACCCAGGAGTTCGAGACCAGCCTGGGCAACATGGAGACTTCATCGCTAAAAAAATTTTAAAAATTAGCCTGTCACGGTGGTGTGCACCTGTAGTTCTGGCTACAGTGGTGGTCATTCATTGGTGACTACAGTTTCACATGAATGGAGCTCAGCTGTGTCGTTTCACAGCCCTGGGGCCAGGCCTTGCCTTGTTTGATCTCAGTTAATTCTTGCAACATCTCTATGAGTCATGTGATCATCTCTCCATTGTACAGATGGAGAAAAGGGGCTCAGAGAAGCTAAGGATCTGGCCCCAGGCCTTGCAGCTTACGTGTGGGGAGGGAGCCGCATTGGAACCCAGGTTACCCTGGCTCCAAAACTACCACCAAAAATGCAAGTGGTGCTTTTGAACCATCCAGAGGTAGACGGAGGTAGGGTGAGGCCATGCAGGGAGGATATGGGAATGTGAGATATCAGATAAATTCATTGGAATCCCTGACTCCAAGGCCCATGGAAGGATGCCTAGCAGAAGTGCAGTCCCGGCTCCACTCCCAGCCAAATGCCAGAGTGCTGCCTCCTCCTGGAGGCCCAGTGCCTCTCCCAGCCTCACACAAAAGTGCAGCACAGGGCCAGGCACAGTGGCTCACGCCTGTAATCCCAGCACTTTGGGAGGCCGAGGCAGGCAGATCACTTGAGATCAGGAGTTTGAGACTAGCCTGGCCAACATGGTGAAACCCCGTCTCTACTAAAAATACAAAAATTAGCTGGGTATGATGGTGCACCCCTGTAATCCCAGCTACTCGGGAGGCTAAGGCAGGAGAATCACTTGAACCTCGGAGGCAGAGGTTGCAGTGAGCCGAGATCGTGCCACTGCACTCCAGCCTGGGCAACAGAGCGAGACTCCGGCTCAAAAAAAAAAAAAAAAAAAAAAAAAAAAAAAAAAAACCAGCAGCACGGGCTAGCAGAGACACGCCAACCCCCTAATTCAGAACTCAGAGAGAGGTGAAGCCTGGTGAAAATGAACAAGGCCACTTATGCTAAACAGGAGGGAGCACATCCTCATTGCCCTGGGCATCTTGGTAAAAAAGGGAAAGCCACAGAATGATTGTTCGAGCTCAGGCTCCTGAGTCAGACACACCTAGGCTCCAATCTGCCACTTCCTTGCTGGGTGACCCTGGGCAAGTGTCTTCCCCTCCCTGAGCCTCAGTTTGCTTGGCACGGGGTAAGGAAATTAATGGTAGCTTAACAAAATAGTTAACCTAGCCGGGCGCGATGGCTCATGCCTGTAATCCCAACACCTTGGGAGGCCGAGGTGGATGGATCACCTGAGGTCGGGAGTTAGAGACCAGCCTGGCCAACATGGGGAAACCCCATCTCTACTAAAAATACAAAAATTAGCTGGGTATGTTGGTGCGTGCCTGTAATCCCAGCTACTCTGGAGGCTGAGGCAGGAGAACCACTTGAACCGAGGAAGTGGAAGTTTCAGTGAGCTGAGATCGCGCCACTGCAGTCCAGCCTGGGCAACACGGTGAGACTCCATCTCAAAAAAATTAAAATAAATAAATAGATAAATAGTTAACCGCAGAGGAGCTACTTCTCGGGTTTTCTATCATGGGAGACTTTTGAGTGAAGCAGAAAGGGGTACAGTGTACAAGTCAGCCCTCCGTTCTCTCCCCCATCCCCTGCAGTTCCTGAAGACACACAGTAACCCTGGGGCGGTGCTGTTACTGCCTTTCGTTGTGTCCTGCATTAATCTGGCCGTGCCATGCATCTACTCCATGTTCAGGCTTGTGGAGAGGTACGAGATGCCACGGCACGAAGTCTACGTTCTCCTGATCCGGTAGGTGATGTGTCGCGCCCAACACCAGCCTCTATTTCCACAGAGAGAAGTGGGATGGCAGCTAGAAAGGATTATGCTTTAGTATCAAAGTTTTTTCTCCAGAGAGGAAGAATTTCAAAAGTAAGGTGTGGCTGGGCGTGGTGGCTCATGTCAGTAATCCCAGCACTTTGGGAGGTTGAGTGGGGAGGATCACTTGAGACCAGGAGTTCGAGAACAGCCTGGGCAACATAGCCGGATGCTGGCTCTACAAAAAGCTGGATGCAGTGGCATGCACCTGTTAGTGCCAGCTACTCAGGAGGCTGAGGTGAGAGGATCACTTGATCCCAGGAGTTTGAGCTTACCTATGATTGCACCACTGCACTCCAGCCTGCGTGACAGAGCAAGACCCTGTCTTAAACAACAACAAAAGAGTGAAGTGTGTTTGTGTGGTGTGGGCTTTTGCTCAAAGTCATGGCTTGATTGCTTTCCTAATTGCTACCAGCAGGGGATTGATGTAGTTCTCAAGTATGGGATGTACAGATGGGCAGGCAGTGCACGCACAAAGGCTCCTGGGCTGAGGACGGGACTGAAATCATCCAGCGTTCCCCTTAGTCAAGCTGTGAGTCCTGGTACCCACTGCCTCAGGCGGGAGGAAGGGCCCATTTTTGTAATTCCACCACCCAAACAAAGGTGGGAGGAGTGCTTTGGGCAACTCACTGGCACCCATGGGGTGCCTTTTTGTGATTCCCACAAAGGCATCATACGTGCTAGAAGTGATCCCAGAGTTTTGATACACAAAGCCTGGAACTGCCCAAATTTTGTCCCTCTAGTTTCTTCCCTTACTCGTTCCTGGTTATGGTGGGGTTTATAAGTACAGGTCTGTAGGCCGGGCATGGTGGCTCATGCCTGTAATCCCAGCACTTTGGGAGGCCAAGGCAGGTGGATCACCTGAGGTCAGGAGTTTGAAACCAGCCTGGCCAACATGGTGAAACCCCGTCTTTACTAAAAATACAAAAATTAGCTGGGCTTGGTGACGCATGTCTGTAATCCCAGCTACTTGAGAGGCTGAGGCGGGAGAATTTCTTGAACCTGGGAGGCGGAGGTTGCAGCGAACCGAGATCCTGCCACTGCACTCCAGCCTGGGTGACAGAGAGAGACTCCATCTCAGAAAAAAAAAAAAAGTGTAGGTCTGTACAATGCAGACTGAGTTTCTTTGCTGATCAGTTCCAGAGCCCTTGCCTTACCACGGTCTGTGAGATCCGGCTCCCGGCCAGCGCTCCAGCCTCATTTTCTCCCCATCCTTCCTGCTCACTGCCTGTCCCCGTCACAGACCTCCTAAGCGTTCACAAATATGCCAAACCATATTCCCACCTCTGGACCTTTGCATGGGCCTGGAATGTTCTTCCCACACATGACCACATGGCTTGCTTCTTGACTGCATTTTGCGTTCTTCAAACATCACCCTCGTGTTGCACTCTTCCTTGCACACCCCATTAAAAATAACAGCTCCCTACCACCTTTTCTCCTCTGCAGTATAATTTTCTTTCTTTTTTTTTTTTTTTTTTTTGAGATGGAGTCTCATTCTGTCGCCCAGGCTGGAGTGCGGTGGCATGATCTCTGCAGTATAATTTTCTTACCACTTCCTGACATATTTGTATTTATTTATTATCTTCCTCTCCCACAGTTTATGGGGAAATCTTTGCCTTGTTCACAGTGTCTGGGATATCATAGGTGTCCAAGAATGATTGGTGAATGAATAAGCAAATTGGTCAGTCAGTTGATTATATCCAATTCATATTATGAAAATTCCAGCCAGGTGCAGTGGCTCGTGCCTGTAATCCTAGCACTTTGGGTGGCCAAGGTGGGAGGATTGCTTGAGCCCAGGAGTTCAAGACCAGCCTTGGCAACATGGTGAGACTCCATTTCTATAAATATTTAAAAATTAGTCAGGCATGGTGGATTGCACCTGTAGTCCCAGCTACTCAGGTGGCTGAGGTGGGAGAAGTGCTTGAGCCCGGGAGGTCAAGGCTGCAGTGAGCCATGACCACACCACTGCACTCCAGTTTGGGTAACAGAGTGAGACCCTGTCGGAAGAAAGAAAGAGAGAAAGAGAGAGAGAGAAAGAAAGAAAGAAAACTCTGACTATATTCCTATGCCCTCATTATTCCCCACATCCCAGCCACCGATCCATGGTGCCACTTTTAAAAGTTTGTATAGAAGGGGAAATGTTAGGTCTCACTGCACCCCATAACCTTGCATATTGAGTATGATGGGCATAAAATACCATCTACTAGATGATGGAATTGTAAAGACTGAGGGGGATGATTCAATAAAGAGGTTGGCAGTGTACGCTGGGTCAGCACCCAATAAACATTATGTACATTTACTATCATTATAATGGGAAGTGAAATCAGATCATTTGGAGATGCAACAAAAGAGAATGTATCAGTCAGAATAAGTTAGGTTATACTGCAGTAACAACCCCCCAGATCTCAGTGGCTTCGAACACAAAGGTTTATTTCTTGCTCGTGTTATATACACAGTGTGGATTAGCAGGAGGGACCTTCTTATGTTAGTTACTGAGGGATCCAGGCTCAGAGAGAAGCAGCCATCTTGAATATCGTTGATCGCCATTCCAAAGGGAAGATGAGGAGTTCTGGAGAGTCTCACAGGGGCATTAAGTGCTCCAGCTTAGAAGTGACACACATTAGCTGGGTGTGGTGGCTCACGCCTGTAATCCCAGCACTTTGGGAGGCCGAGGCGGGTGGATCACGAGGTCAGGAGATCGAGACCATCCTGGCTAACATGGTGAAATCCCGTCTCTACTAAAAATACAAAAAAAATTAGCCAGGTGTGGTGGCGGGCGCCTGTAGTCCCAGCTACTCGGGAAGCTGAGGCAGGAGAATGGCGTGAACCTGGGAGGCGGATCTTGCAGTGAGCTGAGATCGCGCCACTGCACTCCAGCCTGGGTGACTGAGCAAGACTCCGTCTCAAAAAATAAAAAAAAAAGAAGTGACACACATTGCTTCTGTTCACAATTCATTCACTGGAACTAGCCATGTGCCCCCCTCCAACCACAGGGGCCAGGAATTTCTATCTTACCATGTGCCCCAAAGGAGCTATTTGCAGACAGAATGAAAGACTGCCATTGAAGGTAATCATAAATGTTGTCTCTTCTGTTTAGAAACATCTTTTTGAAAATATCAATCATTGGCATTCTTTGTTACTATTGGCTCAACACCGTGGCCCTGTCTGGTGAAGAGGTGAGATTCTATGCTTCTCTGCCTTAAGTTTGGTTTCTTAGCATTTGACCAACAGGGAGGACAGGGGTTTCTCAAGAGCCATCACACTCCGTATTTGGTATTAATCCCTTGTGGGAAGAGAATGAAAACTAATCTGGAAAGCAACATAAGGCAAAATGGGTCTCAACAAAAAAGCTCAGGTTCTAGAGTCAGGAGGACCTGATTTGAAGGCCAGCTGTGCTGTGTCATCTTCCGAGTCACTTAATCTCTTTGAGCCTCAGTTTTCTCATCTGTAAAATTGGGATTAAATGATATCATGTGTAGTATAAGTTCAGTGCCCAGCATATGCAATAGACACTAGTAATTTTAGTGCTAGTCTGTCCTAACAGCTTTGGGGTTGGACAAAATTCTTTTTGATCCTTGATGTTCTATTTTTCCTGTAACCTAGATACCCTGGGCTTTACCAATATGTAAACTCATAAATGCTGGCAGTAACAATTATGTCCTAATGCTGACTGTTTCTGGCCGTCCTTCACTTAACTACAGTTTCTAGTCTTCACTGACCTCAGAGAATGGGTGCCTGAGGGTGGTGTCCCATGTGGATTTAGGAACAAGCCAGCCTCCCTGGCCTTCTCATTGGGATGCCTCTGCCCCTGCTACTGCATCCCCCATGAGAATGTGCCTTCACATCACACAGCAATCCTTAGCTGATGGTCATTGTGAGCTCTCAGATACCCAGGATGCCCTGGGGTTGGAAGTAGAGTCAGGAATCAGGAGTCTCTCTCTATTTCTCTGTCACCCATTATTCCTGGGCCCTAAAATAGCTCTGTTGTGTCTATACTCAAACCATCTTACATGAACATGGCACCCTCAACTTCTCTCCCTAATTGTCGAAGAGATTCAAAATCAGCCCTCCAAGTTAGTATGGTTAGAGCAGATACCATATTCTTCTTCCATGCATTCATCCATTCATGCATCCATCCATCCATTCCCCCATCATTCATTTATCCATCCATGCATCTATTCATCTGTCCATCCATGTATCCATCTATCCATTCATTCATACATCCATCCACTTATCCATTTATCCATCCATGTATGGATCCATCCATCCATCCATATATTTATCTATTCATTCATGTATTCATCCATCCATTTATCTAACCATCCATCCATTTATTCATCCACGTATTCATTCATGCATGCATCCATCTATCTGTCAATTCATGTATTCATCCAGCCATCTATTCATCCATCCATTCATCCATCCATCTATATACCCATCTATCCACTCATCCATCATCCATCCATTTACCCATCCATCATCCATCCATCCTTGGGCTGTGCACCCAAAAGTTTCCTCTCCTCCTTCAGCCAAATCTAAAAGCTCCCAGTCTATCAGCTGATAGCACTGACTTCCTGCAGAAGTTCCTAGCCACTAGTTTCATAAACTGACTAATTTGAGCTTCCAGTTTACACTAGCCTACTAAACCTCTAGGCCACTTTCTTAATCAAGCAGACATTAATTGATTTTTTGTAAGGTAAATAAGCAAAAAGAGTGAAGGCATTCTTAGCCATTGGCACTTCTGGCTCTGTTGAAGAAACCGATTACCCTTGGCTGAGAAATGGGATCCAGAGGGGATAGGGCAGGGAAGAAAAGTTTTACGGGGAGAGATCATGAACAGGGAAAGTTTGGGTATGTGTGGAAGGCAAGCTTTAATGGGGGAAAGAAGGAAACCCAAAAGAGAACAACATCCCTGGGAACAAACTCAGCTGCATTTTTTCAGAGTGGGTCTACTTTTTTGAGTACACAAGGACTTGGTCAAACCCAACCATTAGCTATGTCCTGATGGGTACATAGAGCCAGGAACAGAGGAGAATTGAGCTGAGGCCACAGCCCCTTCCCACATCCTGACTCTTGTTTGCCTTCCAGTGTTGGGAAACCCTCATTGGCCAGGACATCTACCGGCTCCTTCTGATGGATTTTGTGTTCTCTTTAGTCAATTCCTTCCTGGGGGAGTTTCTGAGGAGGTAAATATTTGCCATTCTTAAGTAATTAGGGCCTGATGCTGTAAACAGAACCTGATTCCTGGCTGAGTGGGACATACAGGTGCCTGACATACTCAAAGCGTGCGTTGTTCCAAGTCTGCCTGTTGTCCTTGGGGATACTGTTCACTTCTAAATTAGCTAAAATTTCACCTTAACCTGACAGTTCTGTTGTCATAGTTCACTCGGTTCAGTTGACCTTTTACAACCTTTTGAAAACAAATTCTAAAAATAAAAGACAGAAACTGAGCCATTTGAAATCTTATCCAGCCGAGGGCAGTGGCTCACGCCTGTAATCCCAACACTTTGGGAGACCGAGGCAGGAGGATCACTTGAGGCCAGGAGTTTGAGACTAGCCTGGGCAAAATAGGAAGACTCTGTCTCTATCCAAAAAAAAAAAAAAAGAAGAAGAAGAAGAAAAAGGCAAAGAAAGAAAAGAAGAAAAAAAGAAATCTTATCCACTGTAGATAATTTCAATATTCTAGTATATATTCCTCCAGATTTTTCTATGCACACATTGCTCTGTGTGTGTCTTTACTATATAATGCTATATAATTTTCAAAAGCAAAAATGGAGTCACACTGCAACATATTGTAGAATTTGCTTTTACTAATCTGTCACTATGCCTTGACATCTTTCCATGTCAGTACATGTAGATTTATCTCATTGTTTTAATTGAATTAATGTATTAATTTTATATTAGATATCTATCTATCTATCTATACAGAATTGAGGCACTGTCACTGTCCCATGTCTGGTTTTTTAAATTTAGTAATTCATTTTTTTAATAATATGATGAGCCTCTCATTCCTTATAGACATTTATGTATTTCCGCAAGCTGCTCTAGTAATAAGATGGTCTGATGTTGATTATTTTCTCAGTGGATAGATTCAATGCCAAATTTCCTCATTCATTTTTGCCAAAATGTGCTTTTATTCTAGCCTCTGTCGAGGGCCTGGACATAAAGGTGAAAAGGTTTGGCCGGGCACAGTGACTCATACCTGTAATCCCAACACTTTGGGAGGCCAAGGCGGGTGAATCACCTGAGGTCAGGAGTTCAAGAGCAGCCTGGCCAACGTGGTGAAACCCTGTCTCTACTAAAAATACAAAAATTAGCCGAGCATGGTGGTGTGTGCCTATAATCCCAACTACTTGGGAGGCTGAGGCAGGAGAATCGCTTGAACCCGGGAGATGGAGGTTGCAGTGAGCCGAGAGGGCGACATTGCCCTCCACCCTGGGTGACACAGCGAGACTCCATCTCAAAAAAAAAAAAAAAAAAAAAGTGAAAAGATTTTTTTTTGACAGATCTTTTTTTTTAAATTGGCAACTCATCTTTATGAATAAATTAATATGAAATCAAGTTTCCCCAGAGTAAATGGAAACTTGGTTTCCTTCTTGTGGATTTAGAACACAGGGAAACATAATTTGATAGCAGCAACCAAAAATTTAAAAATGTTTATTTGAGTTGAGAGGTGCTGAGTTCATCTGGTTCATGAAAAAATAAGGTTTAATTAGCAAAGAGGGGTATAAGATAATAGTGGGATAATTTAAATGTTCAGGGTAACAAATATTCTCTAGAATTTTTTAAATCACTTTAGCAGTACCCCCACTAGACTGCATTGTGTTAAATTAGTTTTCCCTCAATCCCTTCAATTACTTCTTCAAAAACATGCTTATAGATTTAGAACTTTTGAAAAATTTTCAAGGGAACTTACGACTTTATTTCAAGCTGGGGAGGGTCTCTTTTGTTGATTGTCCTAGTCTGTGGGGGATCTTCTGAAAGTGGGAGTTATGGTTTGGGTACTAAACTCAGTATGTTTTCACAGAATCATTGGGATGCAACTGATCACAAGTCTTGGCCTTCAGGAGTTTGACATTGCCAGGAACGTTCTAGAACTGATCTATGCACAAACTCTGGTGTGGTAAGTTTTGTGACTCAGCAAAATGCCCAGTGGTTCCCACATGACTGTGGAGCTGGTGTTTTGGTGGCAAAGTCCCAGAATCTGTTGTTTTTAAAGCTGCAGGGGTGATAACCCATCCAGCCAGTCTGAGAACCATGAATTTAGCATTTAGACTATCATTTTCCTTTATGAGAGCTTAAGGACTTCAGACAAGAATCAGCATAGAGCAGGGATCGCAACCTGGAAGCCCACAGGTCGTGTCCAGCTTTGCAGGTGTGTTTCTTTTGTCCCTAAAAATATGAATTAACCACTGCTATGGTCTCAATGTTTGGGTCTCCCCTCAAATTCATATGTTGAAACCTTACTTCCAATGTGATGGAGGTGGGGTCTTTGGGAGGTGATTTGATCTTTGACATGGCCCTTAGGAATAGGATTAGTGCCCTTATAAACAAGGCCTGAGAGACCCCTTGCCCCTTCTACCACGTGGGGACATGGAGAGAAGGCAACATCTGGGAATCACTAAGCAGGGCCTCACCAGACACTGAATCTACCAGCACCTTGATCTTGGACTTCCCAACCTCCAGAACCATAAGAAATAAATTTCTGCTGTTTTATTTATTTATTTTTATTTTTTAGACGGAGTCTCCCTCTGTCGCCCAGGCTGGAGTGCAGTGGTGTGATTTCGGCTCACTGCAACCTCCGCCTCCTAGGTTCAAGTGATTCTCCTGCCTGTCTCCCAAGTAGCTGGGACTATAGGCATGTGCCACCATGCCCAGCCAATTTTTGTATTTTTAGTAGAGATGGGGTTTCATCATGTTGGCCAGGCTGGTCTTGAACTCCTGACCTCAGGTGATCCGCCCACCTTGGTGGATCCCAAAGTGTTGGGATTACAAGCATGAGCCACCACACCCAGCCTCTGCTATTTATAAGCCACCCAGTTTATGGAGTTATAGTTATAGCAGCCTGATGGACTAACACACCACCTATATTTAAACTTCAGGAGATTTCACATAACACCTAAATTTCTGGCTTCTCTCCAGAAACATCTGGCTTCTCTCCACAAAGATCTGTGGCAAACTGAGCATCTCCAGTTTGTCACAATCTCCACCTTTAACTGTTGTCTGTTAGCATTGATTTGCCATTTTGCTTTGTCCTTAGGTTGTTTCAATGCAAACTTTACTTTGCATCCATGTCTCCACAGCAATGGGAGAATAAAGAAACACACAGAGAGGGCTGTGTGTTTCTTATATTTGATACACCATTTGGTGGGTTCTCTATAGTTTTTTGGATTTGTGACGTCTGTTTTAGAAACTCTGCGTGCATTGAGAATAGCCAACTGGTTGCAGCAAATATTTTTACAAACTCACCTAGACACTGCAAACAATTAGCCAGTGGCTGTGTTTCCTTATTTATTTATTTATTTATTTATTTTTAATTTTCTTATTATTTTTTTGAGACAGAGTCTTGCTCTGTTGCTGAGGCTGAAGTGCAGTGGTGCAACCTCCACCTCCCGGGTTCAAGCAATTCTCATGCCTCAGCCTCCCAAGTAGCTGGGACTACAGGCATGTGCCACCACACCTGGCTAATTTTTGTATTAGTAGAGACAGGGTTTCACTATGTTGGCCAGACTGGTTTTGAGCTCCTGGCTTCAAGTGACCCACCTGCCTCAGCCTCCCAAAGTGCTGGGATTATAGGTGTGAGTCACCATGCTCAGCCTATTTATTTATTTTTGAGACAGGGTCTCACTCTGTTGCTCAGGCTGGAGTGCAGTGGCATGATCATGGCTCACTGCAGCCTCAACCTCCTGAGCTCAGGCAATCTTCCTGCCTTACTTTTCCTTACTTATTTTAACATGATGCAGTTAATGCCGGAACTCTGTGTGGTGAATCACATTCCCAGGTTCCATCTGATGGGGTGTTGCTAATTTGAAAGTATTGGATTTGGAACTGGATAAACTGAATTCTGAGGCTGGCTCTGCCACTCATGGAGATCACTGTGCTTGTCTGAACCTCAGATTCATCTGTAAATGCACATAAGAATAGCTACCTTTAAGGCCAGGTGCGGTGGCTCATGCCTATAATCCCAGCACTTTGGGAGGCTGAGGTGGGTGGATCACCTAAGGTCAGGAGTTGGAGACCAGCCTGACAAACATGGTGAAACCCCATCTCTACTAAAAATACAAAATTAGCCAGGCGTGGTGGTGCATGCCTGTAATCCCAGCTACTCAGGAGGCTGACACACAAGAATTGCTTGAACCTGGGAGGCAGAGGTTGCAGTGAGCCAAGATCATGCCATGGTACTCCAGCCTGGGCAGCGAGAGTGAAACTCTGTCTCAAAAAGAAAAGAAAAGAAAAGAAAAGGCCAGGCACGGTGGCTCACGCCTGTAATCCCAGCACTTTAGGAGGCCGGATCACCTGAGGCCAGGAGTTCGAGGCCAACCTGGCCAACATGGCAAAAACCCATCTCTACTAAAAATACACACAAAAAATTAGCTGGGCGTGGTTGGAAGTGCCTGTAATCCCAGCTACTTGGGAGGCTGAGGCAGGAGAATCACTTGAACCCGGGAGGTGGAGGCTGCAGTGAACAGAGATCACGCCATTGCACTCCAGCCTGGGCGACAAGAGTGAAACTCTGTCTCAAAAAAAAAAAAAAAAAGAATAGCTGCCTTTGAATCATGTTGAGGATTAAATGCCATGGTAAATGAAAACGCTTTGCAAACACCAATATGTCATACAACGGGAAAGTTTTATTTTCTGACTCTTTAAAGTTGCCCTGGGTGATTTGGCTGTCTGCAAATAACTCAAAGTTAATGAGTTTATTTTTTAGAGACAGTGAGGACCTTTCTTTTGTAGTTTAGGTGATGTGTTTGCATGCTGCTAGATCACCCACTGGCAATTTGGCAGTTTACAAAGTCCTTTCTTCCACATTATTTCAACTAGGATGCCATTGGGCAAGTTACTTAAACTCTCTCCAAACCTTAGTTTTCTAATCTTTAAATGGTACAGATACCTACTCACAGGGTTTTCGAGGGGATTAAATAGGCATGGTGGCTCACGCCTGTAACCCCAGGACTTTGGGAGGCTGAGGCAGGCAGATCACTTGAGGTCAGGAGTTCAAGACCAGCCTGGCCAACATGGTGAAACCCTGACTCTACTAAAAAATACAAATTAGCCGGCTGTGGTAGCAGATGCCTGTAATCTCAGCTACTTGGGAAGCTGAGGCAGGAGAATCACTTGAACCAGGGAGGCGGAGGTTGTAGTGAGCCGAGATCATGCCACTGGCTGCACTCCAGCCTGGAGATAGAACGACACTCCGTCTCAAAAAGGAAAAAAAAAAAAAAAAGAAATTACCATTATGACTTCTGGGCCTTTGAGATTTTTGTTGATAAATCATGAATAAGCACCATCAAAAACACATCTTTTTTTTTTTTCTCCATGGTTATTTCAGTTCTAACCTTTGCGGGTTTTAGGAGAATATTGCCTTTGATGATGAGTTTTACAAGAAGATAATATAATGACAGAAAAGGATATATGTTAGGGACAGTAGTAGAGATGAAGTGAGGAACATGTTTCCCAAGTTTTAGTCTATTGTACACTAGCCTGCCTATTTTTTGGTATAGTGACGTTTCACCTGTACCATTATCTACTTAATTTTTTTTATTATTTGCCTTTTTTTTTTTTTTTTTACTCAAATAAGTTTTTTTTTAATGCCATGGTAGATGATAACTGCTTTTCATCAGCCTCCCAAAGTGCTGGGATAACAGGAGTGAGCCACCATGTCCATTTATTCTTCTCAAAAAACCCTGTGAGTAGGTACTAGTACGTCCACCATTTAAAGATTAGAAAACTAAGGTTTAGAGAGAGTTTAAGTAACTTGCCCAACGGCATCCTAGTTGAAATAATGCAGAAGAAAGGCCTTTGTAAATGGCCAGACTGCTTTTCCCAACATCGGCAATCTTCCTGGGGTCAGTAAGACCCTAGATGTCAAAACGTCAGGTGCCTGCCACCACGCCCAGCTAATTTTTGTATTTTTAGTAGAGATGGGGGTTTTGCCATGTTGGCCAGGCTGGTTTCGAACTCCTAACCTCAGGTGATCTGCCCGCTTCGGCCTCCAAAAGTGATGAGATTACAGGCATGAGCCACCACGCCTGGCCTCTCACATATATTTTTAAGGGAGTCTTTATTTACAATCATAAATGGAAAACCAGTGCCATTTGAAAGAAATCACAAATAACTGGAAAAATAAAAGCAATCCCATTCCAAAAAGTCATTAAATTCTAGCGAGATGTTACAGTTTGCTAAGGCTCTCAGCCCGAAGCCTACTCCTTTCTTGTTAAAAAATGGGAGAATGGCATTCTAGAACCACACTGAGATTTTCTCCTTTTGTTGCTCACGAGCACCGCGGGAGAGTTGTAAAGGGAATGCCTTTCTCATTTGGAACTCAGTGCTATTCAGTGCCTTGTCCCTACAGGACCTCAGACCTTGAATACCATGGGGGAGGAAGAAGGAGAGGGGCAAGGCATGTGGGACATGCTAGCTTAGGGCATGCTGAATACCATCTGTTGGTTTAATAGGTGGGTGGGAGATTTCTCTATAAAATCTCTTTTCCAGAGCTGGGAAGAAGGCAGCTGAGGATACTGGGTATGGTGGGAATCTGCCTAATTTGCTGGGATGGAAGCAGGCCCCCTCTGTGTTCGTTTGCTGGGGCTGCCATAACAAAGTCTCACACACTGAGTGCCTTAAACAACATCAATTTCATATCTTACAGTTCTGGAGGCCAGAAGGCCAAGATCAAGGTGCGGGTGGGGTTGGTTTCTTCTGAGGGTCATAAGGGAGGGATCTGTCTCAAGCCTCTCTCCCTGGTTTATAGACGGCCATCTTCTCCCCATGTCTTTACATGGTCTTCATTTCTGTGTGTGTCTATGTCCTAATCTCTTCTTTTTTTGTTGTTGAGATGGAGTCTTGCTCTGTCACCCAGGCTGGAGTGCAATGGCACAATCTCGGCTCACTGCAACCTCCGCCTCCCAGGTTCAAGCGATTCTCCTGCCTCAGCCTCTCAAGTAGCTAAGATTACAAGCATACGCCATCATGCCTGGCTAATTTTTGTATTTTTTGTAGAGATGGGGTTTCACCATGTTGCCCAGGCTGGTCTTGAACTCCTGACCTCAGGTGATTCACCCCCTCTTGGCCTCCCAAAGTTCTGGGATTACAGGCATAAGCCACCGTTCCTGGCCTCCTAATCTCTTCTTTTAGGGACACCGGTTGTACTGGATTAGGGCCTCCTACAGTGATCTCATTCTACCTTAATCACCTCTCAAAGGCCCTGTCTCCAAATACAGTCACATTCTGAGATATTCGGGGTTAAGGCCTCAATATATGGATTTTGGGGACACACAATCCAGGCCACAATATCTTCTTTCTCTTCCCCCCAACCATCCCAGATTCACCCCGACTCCTTGTGTCTCCGCCAGCCTCTGACACTCACCCTCTCTCCCTCACAGGATTGGCATCTTCTTCTGCCCCCTGCTGCCCTTTATCCAAATGATTATGCTTTTCATCATGTTCTACTCCAAAAATGTGAGTCAGTCCGACATTGCCATCAATCAGCTTTGTTCAGTCACCTGTGACCTGGTGGCGCTTAAAGCTGGGGAAGGGGGCTCTGCAAAGGTGTCAGGAAGCCAGGCCTGGCTGGGGTCCCTCTGCCGCTGCTCCGGCTGCAGATGGGAGGTGGCTGCCTCTCTCTCTTCAGATCAGCCTGATGATGAATTTCCAGCCTCCGAGCAAAGCCTGGCGGGCCTCACAGATGATGACTTTCTTCATCTTCTTGCTCTTTTTCCCATCCTTCACCGGGGTCTTGTGCACCCTGGCCATCACCATCTGGAGGTAGGAGAAGGTGGCCTTGGGGGAGGTTTTAGAGACTGGGTGGATGGGTGTGTGTTTTAAAACGTAGGTTTTATTATAATTCAGGTGTGGTGAGGCCGGGTGCAGTGGCTCACGCCTGTGATCCCGGCACTATGGGAGGCCAAGGCGGGTGGATCACTTGAGGCCAGGAGTTCAGGACCAGCCTGGCCAACATGGTGAAACCCTGTCTCTACTAAAAATACAAAAATTAGCCAAGTGTGGTGGTGCATGCCTGTAATCCCAGCTGCTCTTGAGGCTGAGGCAGGAGAATCACTTGAACCCGGGAGGTGGAGGTTGCAGTGAGCCAAGATTGCACCATTGCGCTCCAGCCTGGGTGACAGAGTGAGACTCTGTCTCAATAAATAAATAAATAAATAAATAAATAAATAAATAAATAAATAAATAAATAAATAATGTAGGTATGGTGAAGCCCAACAGGTCAGGAATGACCATCACTAAAAAGATAGTTTATTACTCACAGTTCCTGAGAAGAGGGGGCACTCTATGCCACAAGGGACCACACAGGGAAGCATCAGGGTTGTTCAGGAGGCAGAGGGAGTGAGGGGAAACGGGCTAGAGGCTTTATTGTGGTTTTCTATGGTAAGGAATGGGCAAGGCAGGGGAAGCAGGTTTAGGGTTGGCTGGTTTGTCAGTAGGCTGTGGGATATGGATCCGCCCTGAGTTGTCTGGCACCTGGCCCTGGGGTGATTAGGGCAGGGGAGTGGTGGCCCAGAGTGTGAGAGCCTGATAAAGGGGGCGGTTGCGGGTGTGGGATCTGGATTGGTTGGTTTGCATTTGAAAGGTGTGCTTTGTAAGCTAGCCCAGGGAAGGGCAGCTAGCCCTGGGAGCTGGAGTCAGTAAGACCCCAGATGTCAAAACATCAGAATAAAAAGACATGCTTAATACAGTGCCTAACTCAAGTTCCCTGGCTAACCAACAGACACTAAAAGCCAGGGAGGGAATGCATCCTAGTTTGATCACCACCCATCCGATGCCCACGGTCAGGAGTAGCTTTCTCACTTCTGCCAAGAACTGAAGCTTCCCAGAATGGGGAGATGCCCCCCCACCCCGTTCCTCCACATCCAGAACAGAACTTCATCTAAATTAACAGAAAGGCAGGACTCATCTGGCTCCTCCCACCTCTCCAACCCCACTTCCCTTTGGCTCCACTGTTCCCCGCCCCACCACCCTCACCCCATTCCTGGAAGCCAGCAAGCCCCTCCCAACAAGGGCAGAGTCCTCTGAGTGAAGTCCTTTTCCCACTCCCTTTGCTTGGCTGCCTCCTCTCCACCCTCTGATTCTCAGCTCCAAGGCCCTCTCCAAGATCTGATCTTCACAGCCCTCCTTGTCTGCTCTCAGTTCCCCACTGCTTCTCTCTCTCAGACCTGAGTTTCTTTCCTTCATTCTATCATTCATAATCAGGAATGCCTCTGTGTGAGTCTTTAATTGTTACTCAACGATTGTCCGTTTTTCCCACCAGAATGTAATCCCAATAGGGCAGGAACTTGCTTAATATGAAGTCCCCAGAGCCTGACTAGAACAGTGCTTAACAGAATAAGCCATGGTTGAATGAACAATTGAATGAATTAATGAACAAGGGAGATGATTTTTAGGACACATGTGAAACTGGGGCTCTCAGTTCCTTGCTCCACAACACCCTTGCTCCTCTTGGCATATCCACTCTCTTCTCTCTCTTCCTTGCTCCACAACGCCCTTGCTCCTCTTGGCATATCCACTCTCTTCTCTCTCTTCCTCACCAGTTCCTTGTTGCCCTATAGTTTCTGCTCATTCCTCCATAGCTAACAGGCTTCCCTCTTTATGCTTCTTAATTCAATTTCTTTCTTTGAGACAGGGCCTTGCTCTGCCACCCAGGCAGGAATGCAGGGGCGCAATCACAGCTCAAACTCCTGGGCTCACGTGATTGTCCCACCTCAGCCTCCCGAGTAGCTGGGACTATAGGCACACATCACCATGCCTGGCTAATTATTTTTTTATTTTTTATTTTTTTGAGACAGAGTCTCACTCTGTCATCCAGGCTGGAGTGCAGTGGCGCAATCTCGGCTCACTGCAAGCTCCGCCTCCCAGGTTCACGCCCTTCTCCTGCCTCAGCCTCCTGAGTAGCTGGGACTACAGGCGCCCGCCACCACGCCCAGCTAATTTTTTGTATTTTTAGTAGAGACAGGGTTTCACCGTGTTAGCCAGGATGGTCTTGATCTCCTGACCTTGTGATCCACCCGCCTCGGCCTCCCAAAGTGCTGGGATTACAGGCATGAGCCACCGCGCCTGGCATGCCTGGCTAATTTTTTTTTTTTTTTTTTTTTTAGAAATGGGTGTCTTGCTATGTTGCCTAGGCTGGTCTCGAACTCTTGGCCTCAAGAGATCCTTCTGCCTTGGCCTCTCAAAGTGCTGGAATTGCAGGCGAGCCACCATACTTGTCTTTAATTTCATTTCTTTTTTTTTTTCAGACAGGGTCTTGCTCTGTTGCCCAGGCTGAAGTACAGTGGTGTGATCACAGCTCACTATAGCCTCAACCTCCTGGGCTCAAGTGATCCTCCCACCTCAGCCTCCTATGTAGCCAGGACCACAGGCATGTGCTGCCATGCCCAGCTAATTATTTTTTTGTAGAGATGGAGTCTCACTATGTTGCCCAGGCTGGTCTTGAACTTCTGGGCTCAAGCAATCCTCCCACCTTGACCTCCCAAACTGTTGGGATTAGAGGCATGAGCCATAGTGCCTGGCCTTAATTCAACTTCTTAAGAAAAAAAGTCTGACTGCCCCCATTCATATCATTGAGCCAAGTTACTGCAGAAGTCACTGCTTGGCCTTTGGATTGGCTGCTGTTGGGTCAGCTCTGATCTGAGAGCAGGTCCTTAGAGTACAGGTCACCCCAGCAAGGCTGAGAGCAAGAGGGTTTCTTTGGGAAGTGGGTGTGATTGGATCAGGCAAGACTTGATGTTTTCAGGCCCAGAGCCCAGAAGGGACACCCTGATTCTAGAATAACCATCCCTGAGTCTTGTGCTAGAGATGTTCTTCCATCTTTGTTTTACCAGATTGAAGCCTTCAGCTGACTGTGGCCCTTTTCGAGGTCTGCCTCTCTTCATTCACTCCATCTACAGCTGGATCGACACCCTAAGTACACGGCCTGGCTACCTGTGGGTTGTTTGGATCTATCGGAACCTCATTGGAAGTGTGCACTTCTTTTTCATCCTCACCCTCATTGTGCTGTGAGTGTGGTACCCGGGGAATCTAGCAGGGAAAGCCAGGAGCTCTCGAGGGAAACAGCAGTAGGGATGTTTGGTTGGAAAGCAAATGGCTATAGCATAGCTCAGTGTTCTGGGTGACTCTACCCTTGCATAGGTAGTTTTCTTTCCTTCCTTCCTTCCTTCCTTCCTTCCTTCCTTCCTTCCTTCCTTCCTTCCCTTCCTTTTTTTCTTTTCTCTTCTCTTCCCTTCCCCTCCCTCCCTCTCTTTCTCCCTTTCTCCCTTCCCTTTCCTTTCAGTTCCGTTCCTTTCCTCTTCATTTTTTCTTCCTTCCTTCCTTCCTTCTTTCTCCCTTCCCCTCCCTTCCCTTCCCCTTCTTTCTCCCTTCCCCTCCCTTCCCTTCCTTTCCCCTTCCCCTCCCTTCCCTTCCCTTCCCCTTCTCCTTCCTTCCTTCCTTCCTTACTTCTCTCTTTCTTTTTTGGTTGAGACAGGGTCATGATCTCTCACTCAGGCTAGACTGTAGCGGCATGGTCATGGCTTGCTGCAACCTCAACCTTTCAGGCTCAAGCCATCCTCCCACCTCAGCCCCCAAGTAGCTGGGCTTGCAGGTGTGCACCACTACACTTGGCTAATTTTTAAATTTTTTGGAGAAATGGGGTCTCCCTGTGTTGCCCAGGCTGGTCTCAAACTCCTGGCCTCAAATTATCCTCCTGCCTCAGCTTCTCAAAGTGTTGGGATTACAGGTGTTAGCCACCTTGCCCAAGCTTGCATTGATAGTTTTTTTGAAGTTACTTAGCCTGGTGCAGTGGCTTGTGCCTGTAGTCTGAGCTTCTTGGGAAGCTGAGATGGGAGGATTGCTTGAGCCTAGGAGTTTGAGGCTGCAGTGTTCTCTGATCGTGCCACTGCACTCCAGCCTGGGCAACAGAGCAAGACCCCATCACTGGGGGAAGGGGGGAAAGGTTATATATACTATCTTCTTGTCTTAGGGATTTTTTTTTTTTTTTTTTTTGAGACAGAGTCTCGCACTGTCACCCAGGCTGGAGTGCACTGGCGCGATCTCAGCACACTGCAAGTTCCGCCTCCTGGGTTCATGCCATTCTCCTGCCTCAGCCTCCCGAGTAGTTGGGACTACAGGCACCCACCACCACGCCCAGCTAATTTTTTGCATTTTTAATAGAGACAGGGTTTCACTGTGTTAGCCAGGATGATCTCGATCTCCTGACCTCAAGTGATCCGCCCGCCTTGGCCTCCCAAAGTGCTGGGATTCCAGGCATGAGCCACCGTGCTGGGTCATCTTAGGGACTTTTTTTTTAACTTATTCTATTAAGAAAGCAATACCTGCTTTTCTCCTCTTAAGGAGATGACATGCCCAGAGATGCTCAATTAATTGGTCTGAAGAGGAGCTGTGGCATGGGCTTATTTCCCCCTTCAGGAACCATTGTTCCAATGTATTTAACCTATAACTCTCCCTGACATGACTTTTCAGAAACATGTTTGGGCCAAATCCATCTGCAAGCACAGATTCCAGTTCCTTTGCATCCAGTGGAAATTCAGAGCCTGCAAAACATTTGCAAGAGTGTCATTCTTTCTTTTCTCCTCTTCCAGAATCATCACCTATCTTTACTGGCAGATCACAGAGGGAAGGAAGATTATGATAAGGCTGCTCCATGAGCAGATCATTAATGTAAGTCCCCTTGGATCCCTCTGATGTCCGCCCTCACCCTTTTTAAACGCTGTATAAACATCCTCCAAAATAAAGAGAATACTACAATGAACTCTCATATCCCTGCTCTCAGCCCTAACAACCATCAATGTTTTTATATTCTTATTTCATCTACACTTTCTCTTCCCAGCAAATCCCTTATTTTTATTCTTAGTATTTATTTATTTTAATTATGATGATTATTATTATTATTTTGAGATAGAGTTTTGCTCTTGTTGCCCAGGCTGGAGTGCAGTGGTGCAATCTCGGCTCACGGCAACTTCTGCCTCCAGGGTTCAAGCGATTCTCCTGCCCCAACCTCCCAAGTAGCTGGAATTACAGGTGCCTGCCACCATGCCCAGCTAATTTTTGAATTTTTAGTGGAGACAGGGTTTCACCATGTTGGCCAGGCTGGTCTCGAACTGCTGACCTCAGGTGATCCACCTGCCTCCCAAAGTGCTGGGATTACAGCCATCACACCCAGCCTTATTTTATTTTTTTAGAGGTGGGGGTCTTGCTATGTTGCCCTGGCTGGATTCAAATTCCTGGGCTCCTGCCTCAGCCTCCGGAGTAGCTGAGATTACAGGCAGGTGCCACTCCATCTGGCTCCCTGGATTATTTTAAAGCAAATCTTAGGCTTTATATTATTTTTTATTTATTAAAACTTAGATATATATATATATATATCTCTCTATAAGATAAATACTTTTATTTCATTTATTTATTTATTTTGAGACAGAGTTTCACTCTTGTTGCCCAGGTTGGAGTGCAGTGGAGCAATCTTGGCTCACTGCAACCTCCGCCTCCCGGGTTCAAGCAATTCTTCTGCCTCAGCTTCCCGCATAGCTGGAATTACAGGCGCCTGCCACCACACCCGGCTAATTTTGTATTTTTAGTAGAGATGGGGTTTCTCCATGTTGGTCAGGCTGGTCTCAAACTTCCGACCTCAGGTGATCCGCCCGCCTCGGCCTCCCAAAGTGCTAAGATTACAGGTGTGAGCCATCGCCCCCAGCTGAGATAAAGACTTTTAAAAATAACTACAATATCATCATCACACTTAAAAAACTTAACAATAATTTATTATTATCATCTTATATCCAATGTTTACATTTCCCCAACTGTCCCCTTAAGTGTCTTTTTATACTAGAACTGCACAAATCAGGATCTGAAAAGGGGGTACATGTTGCATTTGGTTAATGTCTCTCTCTCTCTCTCTCTCTTTTTTTTTTTTTGAGACAGAATCTCACTGTGTCTCCCAGGCTGGAACGCAGTGGCATGATTTTGGCTCACTGCAACTTCTGCCTCCTGGGTTCAAGTGATTCTCCTGCCTCAGCCTCCTGAGTAGCTGGGATTACAGGTGTGTGCCACCACGCCCAGCTAATTTTTGTATTTTTAGTAGAGACGGGGTTTCACCATGTTGACTAGGCTGGTCTCAAACTCCTGACCTCAAGTGATCCACCTGCCTTGGCCTCCCAAAGTGCTGGGATTACAGGCGTGAGCCACTGCGCCCAGCCAATATGCCTAACTTTCTTTTACTCTATAACCATTTACCACTTCCCCTCCCCACTTCCTCTTTTCTTTTTATTGTTAAAGAATGCAGGTCATCTGTTTCATATTTTCCATATCCTACATATATCTTTTTTTTTTGTTTTGACATGGAGTCTTGCTCTGGGGCACGTGCCTATGGGGGATACTGGAAACCATTTTTCCTGGGTATTGAGACGTGGCATGTAAGTTGCTTCCAGCAGCCGACTTCTGGAGGCTACTTTCTCAAGCCTGTTAGGGGAATTGCTTTAGAGGAGAATATTACAGTGCAGGAAGGCTCTGGGGGATAATTTGGTTTTACTGTGAAATGTTTCTTTTCTTTCACCAAAAGATGGCAGTAACCTCCATCCAACTTCTAGGATCCTAGCTGCCTGAAAACCGACGTTCTTCCCATCAATTGCTTTCTCAATTCCATACCATCATTCATTCATATTTTTGTTTCTTTCTGGTTTTGTTTTCCTTCTTGGTAGGAGGGCAAAGATAAAATGTTCCTGATAGAAAAATTGATCAAGCTGCAGGATATGGAGAAGAAAGCAAACCCCAGCTCACTTGTTCTGGAAAGGAGAGAGGTGGAGGTGAGTCTGGAGGCTGCCTTGGGGACCCCTGGGACACGAGCTTGCCTCCATGTAAAAAGCGCGTCAGAGAACTACAGACCAAGCTCTTGGGATCATGGAAGGGCCCTTCACTCTCTGTCTTAAGTATTTCTGTGGTTTTTACTTAAAAAGTAATATTCATGGCCAGGTGCAGTGGCTCACGCCTGTAATCCCAGCACTTTGGGAGGCCTACGCGGGTGGATCAAGAGGTCAGGAGTTTGAGACCAGCCTGGCCAATATGGTGAAACCCTGTCTCTACTAAAAATACAAAAGTTAGCTGGGTGTGGTGGCACGCACCTGTAGCCCCAGCTACTTGGGAGGCTGAGGCAGAAGAATTGCTTGAACCCAGGAGGTGGAGGTTGCGGTGAGCCAAAATCATGCCACTGCACTCCAGCCTAGGTGACAGAGTGGCACTCTGTCTCAAAAAAAAGTAATATTCATTTTTTCAGCACTTTTCATGCCTGTACTTTTTCTAGGTGCTGGGGTTACGGTGAACAAAACAAAGCCCCCGCCCTCATGGAACTTGCACGCTTGTTTTTCACAACCCCGATAATACAGAAGTAGATCCCACTGAGATGAAAAGGGCCCTGAAATCTCATCTCACTATGAATACTTCAGTGTCTATTCTTTTTTTTTTTTTTTTTTTTTGAGACGGAGTCTCGCTCTGTCGCCCAGGCTGGAGTGCAGTGGCGGGATCTCGGCGCACTGCAAGCTCCGCCTCCCGGGTTCACGCCATTCTCCTGCCTCAGCCTCCCAAGTAGCTGGGACTACAGGCGCCCGCCACTACGCCCGGCTAATTTTTTGTATTTTTAGTAGAGACGGGGTTTCACCGTTTTAGCCGGGATGGTCTCGATCTCCTGACCTCGTGATCCGCCCGCCTCGGCCTCCCAAAGTGCTGGGATTACAGGCGTGAGCCACCGCGCCCGGCCTACTTCAGTGTCTATTCTTGCAAATCTATTTCCCTAGGCATCTGCAAACATACCTGTATCTACCAACACTTTAATTTACTTGTTTATTACAAAAGTGAGGCTATATTATACAAATAGTATCATAACTTCCCTCCCCCGCAGCCCACCACTAAATACTATATCTTGAACGATGTTTAATTCTGTACATATTTGGATATTTGGGTTGTTTCTATGTTTTTAAATACTTAAAACAGTAGGTAATGAAACATTTTGTTACAATTATTTTTTGTGCGTTTATAATCGCAGCTACTCAGGAGGCTGAGGTGGGAGGGGAGGACTGCTTGAGGCCAGGAGTTTAAGACCAACATAGCGAGACCCCATCCCTTAAAAAATTTTAATAATTAGGCACGGTGGCATGCAACTGTAGCCTCAGCTACTCAGGAAGCTGAGGTGAGAGGACTGCTCAAACCCAGGAGTTTGAGGCTACAGTGAGCTATGATCCCATCACCGCACTCCAGCTTGGGAGACAGAACAAGACCCTCTCTCTAAAAAAAATTACCCTGGGCACAGTGGCTCCCTCCTGTGATCCCCAGCACTTTGGGAGGCCGAGGCGGGCTTATCACTTGAGGTCAGGGGTTCGAGACCAGCCCAGCAAACATGGTGAAACCCATCTCTAGTAAAAATATAAAAAACAAAAACAAACAAACAAGAAAACTTAGCTGGGTGTTGTGGTGCACATCTGTAATCCCAGCTACTTGGGAGGCTGAAGCACAGGAAATCACTTGGACCCAGGAGGTGGAGATTGCAGTGAGCCAAGGTCACACCATTGCACTCCAGCCTGGGCAACAGTGCAAGACTCCGTGTCAAAAAAAAAAAAAAATTAAAAAGTTATTTTTTGTGAATATTTCTGCCACAAAGCACGTACATGACAATGTTAATAGATATTGCTATATCATTCCCTTAAAAAGATTTAATCAATTTCATTCTTACCAAGAGAATATAAAGATACATGAAACCCTGCTCTAATTCCAAAGCCTTGCTTGCTTCCTGAGTGTCCTGAAAATACAGATGAACAGTAAATCCACCTTAACGCAAATACCACTTATGTTGGAAATTGTGATCTTGACAGAAGTGACTGACAAGTAATTTACCATCTGTGCAAATTTATACTGTCAGCACAATTTAGGTAAGGGATCTAGAGGCCTAAAGGTAGATTCTCTGAAGGTGAGGACCACGTCTGTGCACTTGTCACCCCACGTCCTAATTTATTACCTGGCATAATATGAATGCTCAGTGAATATCTGTGGAACGGCCAGGTGCGGTGGCTCACGCCTGTAATCCCAGCACTTTGGGAGGCCGAGGTGGACAGATCACTTGAGGTCAGGAGTTTGAGACCGGCCTGACCAACATGGTGAAACCCTGTCTCTACTAAAAATAAAAAAAAAAAATTAGCTGGGCGTGGTGGCAGGCACCTATAATCCCAGCTACTCCAGAGGCTGAGGCGGGAAAATCGCTGGAACCCGAGAGGCGGAGGTTGCAGTGAGCCGAGATCATGCCATTCCACTCCAGTCTAGGAGATAAAGCAAGACTCTGTCAAAAAAAAAAAAAAAAAAAAAAAAAAGAGTATCTGTGGAATGAATGAATGGAATCACTCTCCCTAAAAAACAAAACATGTTCAATATTTCTATGGCGGAGACTTGGCCTTAATCTCTCATCCCTTAACTTCTATAAAATGGTGAGGGGCTCACAAATTGTGCCAAATATGTGACAAGACCCAGAATCTGCATTCTTCCTCCGTGACGTGGCTGCTTGTTTTTTTCTTTTTCAGCAACAAGGCTTTTTGCATTTGGGGGAACATGATGGCAGTCTTGGTGAGTAATTAAACTGGGACAGAATAAGACACTAATTTATTTCTGGTGAAATATCCTAAGACAAGTGTAAGAATTGCTCATGTGTCCATTACTTTTTCAGTTGCAAATTGGATCCAAACTGGCTTAAACAAAATTCCAAGAATAATTCTTGCTTTAGGCCTTGCCTAACGCAGGAACTCACAGTGTCACCAGAACCCGGTTTCTTTCAGTTCCGTTCTTACCCATGTTAGTTCCTTTTGCAATAGACTCTGCCTAATAAGTGCAAGACAGCTTTATCAACTTCTTATATCTTCTCAGAGTCAGTCTGGTGGGAAAGACTGAGGGACCCAGGATTCTCACGGTGTTTCATAGGATCTGACTGGGTGATGTCCCCGTCTATGAACCAATTGTTGTGGGTGCAAAAATGTGGCAGTTCCCTTGATCACATGATTTCATCTGTAGATGCAGGTGGTGCAACCATGAAGACCATAGGGACCAAGAGTAGGGAAGGGTGACTTCCTAAAGAAAATCTGGGGCTGATGCCAGGAGAGCGAATTCTGGGCAGGAAACAAACAAGCAAACCCATTTATTTTTGGGGGATAGCATTTACTGATGACTTCCAGTGATGGGAGTTCAAGGGAAGGATTATAGAAACTAAAAGGAAGAGGCAAAGAAGGCATGAGAAGCTATGGAATCTTGAAGGCAAGCTGGTCTTTCCCTTGTAGAGATGGGGCAGAGTGTGCCTGCGTTAACTTCTCTTTCCTGTGTCAAACCTAGACTTGCGATCTAGAAGATCAGTTCAAGAAGGTAATCCAAGGGCCTGATGACTCTTTTGGTAACCAGACACCAATCAAATAAGGGGAGGAGACGAAAATGGAATGATTTCTTCCATGCCACCTGTGCCTTTAGGAACTGCCCAGAAGAAAATCCAAGGCTTTAGCCAGGAGCGGAAACTGACTACCATGTAATTATCAAAGTAAAATTGGGCATTCCATGCTATTTTTAATACCTGGATTGCTGATTTTTCAAGACAAAATACTTGGGGTTTTCCAATAAAGATTGTTGTAATATTGAAATGAGCCTACAAAAACCTAGGAAGAGATAACTAGGGAATAATGTATATTATCTTCAAGAAGTGTGTGCAGGAATGATTGGTTCTTAGAAATCTCTCCTGCCAGACTTCCCAGACCTGGCAAAGGTTTAGAAACTGTTGCTAAGAAAAGTGGTCCATCCTGAATAAACATGTAATACTCCAGCAGGGATATGAAGCCTCTGAATTGTAGAACCTGCATTTATTTGTGACTTTGAACTAAAGACATCCCCCATGTCCCAAAGGTGGAATACAACCAGAGGTCTCATCTCTGAACTTTCTTGCGTACTGATTACATGAGTCTTTGGAGTCGGGGATGGAGGAGGTTCTGCCCCTGTGAGGTGTTATACATGACCATCAAAGTCCTACGTCAAGCTAGCTTTGCAGTGGCAGTACCGTAGCCAATGAGATTTATCCGAGACGCGATTATTGCTAATTGGAAATTTTCCCAATACCCCACCGTGATGACTTGAAATATAATCAGCGCTGGCAATTTTTGACAGTCTCTACGGAGACTGAATAAGAAAAAAGAAAAGAAAAGAAATTAGCTGGGTGCGATGGCTTATGCCTGTAATCCCGGCACTTTGGGAGGCTGAGGCAAGCGGATCACTTAATGTCAGGAGTTCAAGACCAGCCTGGCCAACATGGTGAAACCCCGTCTCTACTAAAAATAAAAAAACTAGCTGGGCGTGGTGGTACATGCCTATAATCCCAGCTACTCGGGAGGCTGAGGCAGGAGAATTGCTTGAACCTGGGAGGCAGAGGTTGCAGTGAGGCGAGATTGTACCACTGCATTCCAGCCTGGGCAACAGTGAGACTCTGCCTCAAAAAAATAAATAAATAAATAAATAAAGTAAATTAAAAGTCTTATTCAAACCAAATATGAAACTGGTGGTGATGTGTGGAATGTGTGTGTGTGTGCACATATGTAATGAATACGTGTGTGTATAATGTTTTTGCAGGTTTGCCAAATGATTCACAAGCCACGTGGCTGTTCTTAACACTGAAAGGTCCAGCAGAAAGGTGCAGTTACTCAGGAGAGAGGAGCCTCCTCTTAAGTAATCACTCGCATAAAACCTAATTGGAACTGAATTTAGAAAGCAGTTAAGATACATTCGAAACACAAGCACCCAACCAGTGCTGTCATTTATTCCCTTTTTTTTTTATTTTTAAGAGATAAGGCTGGGCTGTGTTGCCAGCTTTGACTCAAACTCCTAGGTCAAGCAGTCCTCCCACTTCAGCCTGCCAAGTAGCTGGGACTACAGGCACACGCCACTGCACTTGACCACGCACTTTTTCATTCACTTATTTTTTTCATTAATTCACTTCATCGGAGGAATTAATTTCTTTTGGTGTCATCTTTGGTAACAGTTGTATGTAGTGTTCATCCATCCATTCATTCAACAAATATGGACCAAATAGTGGTGAGCAAGATGGTGAACAATTCATGGTGCTGCCTGTCTAGCAGGTTTAGACATGAATTTAATTCTTAAGCAATAATTAATTACAGTTGTAGTAGATGCTCTGAAGAAGCACAGGGACTAAGGGAGACTTGTCTGTGGGGTCAGTGCAGGCAACCCATGGAAGTGATGTTGGAAGTGATTTTATTCCCCTTGGGGTCATCTTAGTGCTGTTTGTGCTTTTTTCTTTGCTTTTTTTTGAGATGGAGTTGGAGCCTCCCTCTGTCTCCCAGGCTGGAGTGCAGTGGTACAATCTCAGCTCACTGCAACCTCCCCCTCCTGGGTTCAAGTGATTCTCCTGCCTCAGCCTCCCGAGTAGCTGCGATTACGGGAGCGTGCCACCAGGTCCGGCTAATTTTTGTATTTTTAGTAGAGACGGGGTTTCACCATGTTGGCTGGGCTGGTGTTGAACTCCTGACCTCAGATGATCCGCTCGCTTCAGCCTCCCAAAGTGTTGGGATTACAGGCGTGAGCCACCATGCCCGGCTGCTGCTTGGGCTTCTACAATGAAATCTGAACTCTCTCTGAAAGCATCACTTCTGCTCATTCACCAGATGCTAAGTGCTTCCATCTAGAATGCTTCTCCCTTCACCTCCATCCCTTGTCTCCACTTCAGTGCAGCCCTGCTTCTCCTGGAGGTGTACATGCAGTGGATAGTGGCTCATGCCTGTAATCCCCGCACTTTGGGAGGCTGAGGTGGGCGGATCACCTGAGGTCAGGAGTTCGAGACCAGCCCAGCCAACATGGTAAGACCTTATCTCTACTAAAAATACAAAAATTAGCCGGGCGTGGTGGCAAGCGCCTGTAATCCCAGCTACTCAGGAGGCTGAGGCAGGAGAATTGCTTGGACCCAGGAGGCAGAGGTTGCAGTGAGCTGAAATCGCACCACTGCGCTTCAGCCTGGGTGACAGAGTGAGACTGTCTCAAAAAATAAAGAAACTACTGTACATGGAAAGCATTTTAAACAGTCTAGGACATGGTAGGCAGTCAATAAATGTTAATTAGCAAGGATTTTACATGCACTCTTTCATTTAATCACTACCACCGCAAGAATACTACCCCTATTTTACAGATAAATTCAGTAACTTACCCAAGGTCATATAGCTGGTAAGTTGCTGAATAGGAAGGCAGACTTGGCTTTCTCTGATTCCAAATCCTGTTATTAACCCTATACTAAGCCTTCCAAGGAAGTGCTTAATAGTAGTTATTAATACCTTATTTCATCATTCAAATTCTCCACCTTTTGAGGCCCTGACCATCTTAGCATAGGACCTAAATCCTTAATTTGGCCTGGCTGAATCAAAGGTAAAATGGATTTGGGATAAAGATCAAGAGACAGAGATCTCATGGCTCTCCAGAGATCTTCCCACAACACAAAGGGATATTATTATTATTATGAAATTTTTAAAGATTGGAGTCAAACTCTGTCCCCTAGGCTGTAGTGCAGTGGCACGATCCTAGCTCACTGCAGCCTCAACCTGCTAGGCTCCAGTGATCCTCCCATCTCAGCCCCTATTTGTAAATTTTTTGTAGAGATGGGGTCTCACTATGTTGCCCAGGCTAGTGTTGAACAGCCTGTTGAACAGCTAGTGTTGAACAGAGGTATCTTTTTTTTTTTTTTTTTTTTTTTTTTGAGACAGAGTCTTGCTCTCTGGCCTAGGCTGGAGTGCAGTGGTACAATCTTGGCTCACTGCAACCTCTGACTCCTGGGTTCAAGCAATTCTCCTTGCTTCAGCCTCCTGAATAGCTGGGATTACAGGCATGTGCCACCATGCCCAACTAATGTTTGTATTTTTAGTAGAGATGGGGTTTCCCCATCATGGCCAGGCTGGTCTCAAACTCCTGGCCTCAAGTGATCCACCCACCTCAGCTCCCAAAGTGCTGGGATTACAGGTATGAGCCATCACGCCTGGCCTGATGTATCTTCTTTGGTCACTTTTTCCTCCTCCTTTCACTCTAGTCATAACATGGCACGGAAGTACATGCAGTTTAGACATTTGTTGCACTCAATGAACAAATCTTTGTTGTTTATTTTAAAATTCAAGACAATTTTTTTGCAAATGCTGATTCAAAACGTACCAATCCCCATCTATCATGCCTATGCCAATACAATCTGTCACAAAAAAGTTTGCTTCTCATTGTCACATAGCTATGGGGACTGGTGGCCTTCTAAAATCACTGTCCAGCTGCTGCAAGTGTGAGGCCAGCAACCCACGGCAGGGATGCAGGAGGGAAGCCATGGCTAAGCTGTGGGCCTGGACAAAGGCCACAGATGGGGTTGAAAGGTGAGAAGCGGTAAGCTAGAGGAGACAGACGGCGTTGCCATTAAAAACAATTCAACTTCATTTTAATGTTGCTATGTAAGTTCACAATAAAATCCCTGGAAGTTCAAATTGGAAAGAGCAGTTTGGGGTCATGGGCTCAACAATATAAAGGCAGATTCAGTGAGGGGTAAGGGTAGTGGCTCTGGGGGCAGACTGACCTAGATTTGAATGCCAGTTGTACCAGACTCAAGACACCTTGGGTAAGTGGTTTTATGAAGTACCTCAGTTCTTCATCAGTAGAAAGAGTGCTAACACCTCCATAAGACTTTTGTATGGATTGAGTAAGATAATGCATGTTAAACCACTTGTATAGTTTCTGGCTAACTGTAAACAAGATGTTCTAGAAGTTCTAGTTATCTTTTTTTTTTTTTTTTTTTTTTTTTTTTTAAGAGTCAGGTTCTCACTGTGCCACCAAGGTTGTAGTGCCGTGGTGTAATCATGGCTCATTGCAGCCTTGAACTTCTGGGCTCAAGTGATCCTCCCACCTCAACCTCCTGAGTAGCTGGGAATACAGGCATGCACCACCATGCCTAATTTTTTAGAGATGGGGTCTTGCTATATTGCCCAGTCTGGCCTCAAGTAATCCTCCTGCCTCAGCTTTCTGAATTGCTGGGATTATCGGCATGAGCCACTGTGCCCAGCTAAGCTGTGACTTTTGAGGCAACCCCTTCCCTTCCACAGAGTTTAGTTTCCTCATTTGTAAAATGAGGACAAACCTAGATATTTTTGGAAGTTTCTTCCAGTTCTAATTGCCTATGATCAGATCACATCTGTTGCAGAGCTTCCTAAAAAGCCTGGAAAAATGCAACTCTGCCCCCTGGTGGTTTGCAGCTCTCTATTCAAGATGCTATAAATCCCTCATTGGCTTCAAGACCTCCCTACCATTTTGGTTGCTGTACACTGAAGCCTCACTGGATTGCATGGTGGCTTCCCCAAATTCCGTATGCCTTAGGATATGATGCTTGGCACACAGTTTTCCTTTAGTGCTCCTTTTAATAATTTTATTAGTATGGCCACAAGTTTGATGTCTACAGTACATGTTAACATAGCTGAGTACAAATATTTGAAATAAGTGTGGCAAGTTTTAAAATGTCAACTCTGAGTTATCATGCATGTCCCATGCATTTACATCTGCATCTGCAAACTGTACAATTCAATCTGTGCTTATCCTCACTGGGTCTCCCTGTGTGCCTCAGCTAGGGCAGGGCAGGGGCTCTTGTGCGTTTTTTCAGACCCAGATTTTCAAGAGCAACAGTGTTGAACTCTGGCATGCCATGGTGCATGGTGGCAACACCGGGTTTAGCTTTGGTTCAGGTAAAAATGCAGTGACCAACTATTGCATTTGTGTGAGTCACCTGATTCCCCAGGGCCTGGGCTAGCACAAAGGGTATTTTGATATCCCTGTATGAGGCCCCTGGCAGTTTCTGAACCCGTTTCGTCCCACCGTGAAAGTCTAGAAGTGAGGTTCGCAGTCTTCTACCATGCTGTCAGTGATATAGCTGGAACCAAGATGGGATTCGTAGTAACTCTTTTCATCAAAGGTATTAACAGTCCAACCAACAACCTGGATTCCTTTAGCTGACCACTTCTTCAAGTAGGCCCTGGGGAAAGAGGAAAGCCAATCCTGTTAGAATAATAAGCAGCTGTCTCAGGAATCCATAATGGCCACTAAGTATGGTGTTCACTGCATACCAATGGTGCCCAGAGAATGCCTCCTAACTGGCCTCTGCACTGTGATCAGAGGGACTGTTCCAAAACCCAGGATGCCATGAACCTCCTCTACACTGTCCCAGCTTAAAACATTTCAGTAGCTCACTAATGATCGCCACCCCCAAATGTCCTTGGCACAGCCACTGAAGGTGTGCCTGACCTGGCCCCGACCTGTCTCCTTGGCTTCATCTCACACCACATTCCCCCTTTCTTTTCTGTGCTGATTAATTTTAAATTAATTGAAAGAATATTAATTTTCTTTCACTTCCTGGAAAGAACCATGTTCCTTCCTGCCAGAGCACATTACATGTATTTTTCTCTCTGATCTGGATTCCTCCCAATTCCCACTCACCCTTCAGATCTTAGCTTAACTGTCACTTCCTTGGGGATGCTGTTTCTGACAACCCAGACCAGATTAGATTATAGCCCATGCACAGTTTTCTCTGACATAGCCTGTATCTTAGTTTTAACTTTATATTGATTGGATTTTTATTTGATTAGCATCTCTCACTCTCCCACTTGGCTATAAACGTCACGAGGGCAGAGATCATGGCTTTGATTCTTTACCCACTGCATCTTCAGCTTCTCAACATGGAACCTTGCAATAGTATAGGCACTTACCAAATATTTATTGAACTGAATCATGTATGTCTGAAATAATACTAGACCTACAACTCTAATTAGCTGAAATATACAGATACAGAATTGCCAAAGAAATGATTCCGAGATCGCTAGCAGGTTAGGAAATGGAAATTTTATGGGGAGAGGTGGGGGAGTGCCTATAACATAAGACGGTAGTGGGGAGGCTGGTGCCCACAGGATGTCTTCACTGTGGTTCTGCCCAGGATCCTGTGTTGGCTTTCAAAAAAACCAGTCACAGAAATAAAATCCCTTGCTCAGCATAGTGTCACAGGTTCATTTTTTTTCTTCAAAATACACTAAAAAACCGAAAATATGTGATCGACTCGGTCTGAAAACAGTGAAATATGCCTGAACTCTTCCCACCTAAGAAGCGAAATTGGTAATCCAATTTAGAGGTATGGTAAGCTTTGCAGGTCAGAACCAATTCAGGTTGTCTACTCTGTTAATCCTTCCTTTCAAATAAGAGCATTCAGGATGTCTGTCTGGGTAAAATAAAAAACCTTCCAACTTACGGGGATACAAAATCCTTTTGCATGAGGAAAGCTGAAATTCCACACAGGTACCACAAGATATTATGCATGCTCCAATCGAGCAAAATGTCCATCATAACAAATATAAAATGTTTCCAGAAAGTATCATAGCGTGGTTTCCCATCTCCTGTATGGCTTAGGCTCCAAGGTCTGTGAGTTAATGCTGTTATTACATCCCGATCTGTTTGTCTCATCTGCAAAGGAATTTGGGGAAGTAAAATAATGATCATATGTAAAGTTGAATACTTATTAGTTTAGATTTAGCCAATGTGCTCAATCAGATGAGGTGGTCATGGTTGGTACCCTGCCCCGGTATCTACTAAATAAGTTCTCAATCATAAACCCTTTGAGAAAATAATGTGAAGAATGTAAAGCACTAATATGCAGCACATATGAGAACTTTTTTTTCCCAGTCCTTAAAAACTGCAATCCTATCTTTAAAATGGAAAAATTAAAACTTCAGGATCAAATTTTAATAATGTCATGAGAATAAACTTTTAATTGGCTATTGACTTAAATCCTGGCCAGAGATAATTAATTAGAACTCAATGAGGAGGGAACCAAGGTCAGTTCAAGATGGGCTGTTTAGTTTTGACCCTTTCCAGAGCAAATGGCTGAAGAGTTGTAGGGGTGAGGAGGGGGATGGGGAAGTGAGGTGGGAAGGGAGAGAAGGGATTGTGACGAGAGAATGGGAGAGGACAACAGAGAAATGGAGAGATGTGGATGGAGTTCCTTTAGTCTCTGCTCTTGTGCTCCTCTGGGGGAATGTCTTATACGTTTTAAAGGACTCTGTGGTCAAGGAAGTTTGGGAAACACTGTTCCAAATGTCTGCAAGCCCCATGACCCTATTCAACTCCATGACAGCTTCTATTGATAGGCTCTATCCTCACTGTAAAAATTTTCAATGTATGCTCTGTTGGTCACTGGTAAAGAATGCTACGGAACCAGCTTGTTATTCTGGAAACTGGTAAATAAAAGGAAAGATAAAGCATTTATTCTGCCTATTTGGTAACTAAATAGTAGAGGAGGAAAAGTTTCTTTTTAAAGATCTATTTCAGCTAATGCAAGAAGTAATAGAATTAAAATATCAGCATTTTGTAGCTCCCTAGAAAATGGACAGATCTGGCCAATGAGCATCAATAGCAGCCAAAAACAACAGGAGTCAACCAGATGTCAAGTGCCTCCTGACGGAAAAACACCCTCATCTCTAGAGTTATCTTGCCAAGAATAACCAACCCTAACCTCATCAAGGCAAGCTTCCAGCTCTCGCTACCAGTTTATAGAAAATAAAGAGAAAAAAATATTAAGCCATATCATGGCATAATCAGCAAAATTTGGACTTGGGTAAACTCTACAAAACAATAATCCGGTTTCTTCAGTAAATACAAAACAAGGACCCCCCCCAAAACAAACAAACAAAAAAAACAGAGAGAGAGAGAGACAGAACCTGCAAGTTTTAAGATTTACAGTTGCCGGCAGGGCATAGTGGCTCACACCTGTAATCATTTTGGGAGGCCGAGGCAGGCAGATCACCTGAGGTCAGGAGCTCGAGACCAGCCTGGCCAACATGGCAAAACCCCGTCTCTACTAAAATACAAAAAAAATTAGCCAGGCATGGTGGTGTGTGCTTGTAATCCCAGCTACTCAGGAGGCTGAGGCAAGAGAATTGCTTGAACCCGGGAGGCAGAGGTTGCGATGAGCCGAGATCATACCACTGGGCGACAGAGCAAGACTCCGTCTCAAAAACAAACAAAAAAAGATTTACGATTGTAACACGCCGATCTTACTTGGGTCCTATTCGAATGAGCAATTTATGAAAAACAACCATTTATGACATTTCCGAGACAAGTCAAAATTTATACACTGGATATTTGATGATATGAATAATTTATTGTTAATAATTTTTAGATGGGACAATGGCATTGTGGCTATGTTTTTAAAAAGGCATCACTAGGCTGGTTACTGTGGCTCATGCCTGTAATCCCAGCACTTTGAGAGGCTGAGGTGGAAGGATTGCTTGAGCTTAGGAGTTGGAGAACTGCCTGGGTAATACAGGGAGACCCTGTCTCTACAAAAAATAAAAATAAAAAATTAGCTGGGCGTGGTGACGTGCGCCTGTGGTCCCAGCTACTTGGAAGGCTGAGGCAGGAGGATCATTTGAGCCTGGAAGGTCAAGAGTGCAGTGAGCTGTGATCACACCACTGCACTCCAGCCTGGGAAACTGAGGGAGAACCCGTCTTTTAAAATAAATAAATAAATAAATAAATAAATAAATAAATAAATAAAATGGCATCACTTTTTAAAGATTCTTAATGCAATTTTATGGATGGAATAAGATTTGCTTCAAAATAACACTGGGGAGGATCAATGGGGTTATGGGTGAAATGAGCTGGATCACAGTTAAAGGGGGGGTACACTACTACTTTATTTTATGCATGTTTTAGATTCTCCATAATTAAGAATTTATTTTATGAAGGTATGTTCTGCTGTTAGTTGGTGAGAAGTAGGGGCTACATAATTCTTTTCTGTTGTGAGAATTTTACTACAGTAATCTGAGTGAGCCTATAAACAACATAAAAGAAGGGGCAAAAGAGGAATAATGGCATTCTGTAAGGGGTATGAGTACATTCCCCTTCTGGAATTTCTCTGGTTAATTTAAAAGAGGAGCTTCTCAACTGTGACCCTGATGCAGTTCAATTTAATAGGCATCTATCCTGTGCTTACGCAGCCCATTGCAATTATCTACACCAGCTCACCTAATATGTACAAGAAAAATCCCGAATGTTACCTTGTAGATAACTTCTGGCAAGAAAGAACAGACCACACTATTATTATACAGTTGAGGAAATTCCATATACATTTTCTTTAGAGCCTCAGTAGCCTGTAAAATAAAGAGATTCATATATTTAAAATTGATTAAAATGTGATAGATAGCCCCAGCCAATAACTATCACATATTAAGTACAACCCTATGGAATAAAACAGAAGTTTACTAGAAATGGAGGTACTGAAAGTATTGGTAGAGTCTATTATCCACTGGGATGCATTTTAAACTCACACCAGCAGCAAACAAGGAAGAAGGTGGAGTACTGCTGCTTTACTCCCTCTGAGGGCCTCACCCCTTTTGGAATACTTTTGAAAAGTGTGGTAAGCCGTAGGTCAGATGAGGCCAGAGGCAAAATTTTCCTTGCCTTATACCCTAGTTTAGCCACTATGAAAAGTCCTTTCATACCCACAGCTCTATCACTCTGTGCCTTTTCTAAATGAAACATGAGCCAGCCAGTCTGGGAACTACAGAGGATAGATTTCTCAGTCCAGGGGACTGAGAGGACGCATTACCCATCACCAATATGGAGGGAGAAGTAATGGGGCAAGGGTAGGAGGGACTGGGAAGAGTTAAGGGGCTCCCAATTCTTCCCAAGGTGAACAGAAGTTTCTTTTTATAGTAGTCTAGCTACGAAATGAAGAAGACATGATAGAATTTAAGTATTATTTGGTAACCCCTAGTGAAGTGACATCAATAGCAGCTAACAACAAGAAAGTCACCAGCCATGTGGGACGCAATGCTGCTGCTGCATAATTTGTGAAACACTGCTAATTTTTGGAATGTTACACATACCCCTAACCAAATATGATGAGCAAAATGCATTCCCCCACCAAAATAAAAAAGGACACAAATTATCCATGTCATGCCTCCTCTTCGCTAATGCAACTGAAGGCAAGCTATAGAAAGCATTTTTTTTTCTGTTTGAACAAAGACATGCACTGTAAACTCTTAGCATTTACATTATTTAATTCTCACAACAACCTTATGTGGTAACTGCTTTTAGTATCCCCATTTTACCCATGAAGAAACTGAAGCTCATCAAAGTTAAGGTTACCCTGTAGTAAGAGCTCAGTCAAGGACTGTTGGAGTCCCAAGCCCATGATTTTGGCCACTGTGCTCTACTAGCTCCACTTTGTTGCCTACACTTGTGCCTTTCTACTACCATCTTGGTGAATTAGGTCACTATGTTCTACCCAGTCTTGGCTGAACACCCATGAGCACCCATTCAGAAGACTCAAATAGCTAGATTTTCTTTTTTAAATGTCTACTTCTTTTTAAAAAGTATTCTAAGAGAAGCCAGGCGTGGTGGCTCACACCTGTAATCCCAGCACTTTGGGAGGCCAAGGTGGGCGGATCACTCGAGGCCAGGAGTTTGAGACCAGCCTGGCCAACATGGCAAAACCCCATCTCTACTAAATATACAAAAATTAGCCGGGTGTGATGGCACATGCCTCTAATCTCAGCTGCTTGGGAGGCTGAGGCAGGAGAATTGCTTGAACCCCGGAGGCAGAGGTTGCATTGAGCCGAGATCGCGCCAATGCACTCCAGCCTAGGTGACAGAGTGAGACTCTGTCTCAAAAAATCTAAGAGAATAAGCATAAAAGTCAGTATACCATGGGTGAAATGTAGGACCTATCAGGGTTCCCAAATGTGGGCTGCAACATCAACAATGAGCACCTGAGGTGCTCATTAAAAATACATGTTCCTTGAGCCCACCCTAGACATTTTCAGAATCTCTTCCCTAGGGAGAATGGCCCAGGAATTTATATTTTAAAATAGGTACAGGTGATTCTAACGCAGACCAATTGGAAAACCTAGACGTATACAACTATCGGTTTACTAGAATAATAAATTAGTTACCATTATCTTCCTTCTTCAAAAATAGGAATTAACTGTTAATAAAATTAGAGTGTATACTTAGGCTCCACATTTCAGGTTTTTTTTTTTTTTTTGAGACGGAGTCTCGCTCTGTCACCCAGGCTGGAGTACTACTGGCGCAATCTCGGCTCAGTGCAACCTCTGTCTCCCCGGTTCAAGCGATTCTCCTGCCTCAGCCTCCCGAGTAGCTGGGATTACAGGTGCCCGCCACCAAGTCCAGCTAATTTTTGTATTTTTAGTGGAGACAGGGGTTTCACCATGTTGGCCAGGCTGGTCTCGAACTCCTGACCTCAGGTGATCCACTCCCAAAGTGCTGGGATTACAGGTGTGAGCCACTGCACCCGGCCCATTTTGGGTTTTAACAACTGGTTTCAATGATATCATGGGATTAATTAAAAAAAAAAATTGGCATCATCAGAATTCTCAACCAGTAGATGGCCCTTACCGATTATTAATATTGCTAGGGGAAAAATACTCAAGTTGCCCAAATGGGGAAAAAAGTACTTGCACTTGAAAAGCTGGTTATAAGAGAACAAATGTAATCAGAATCATATCTTCCCACTGATTTTCACTGTAATAATATGTTCTTATGAGTGTAAGTGCAGGCCCTAAAATTTAAGCAAAATTTTATCTAGGAATGTCAAATACATTTGAAGAAAATAAATGATTTTCTGATAAAAGTATAACTGCTAAAATCAATGAATAAAAAACTATACATAAGGGATATAAATTATACAAAGGGATAAATCTATGTAAAAGGTATATGTTCTGTTAACTATTAGAAGCTTTTAATATAGGAATTCTCTTTAAATGCAGTCCATAGTTGTCCATATAAGGCCCTTAACTTTTAAGCTAGATAAAATTGGTCTTGTGTACAACTTCGGAATTCCTTTTTTTCAAGTAACTCAAGGTTACTACAGTGGTTTTTTTCTAGAAATGTCTTTTTTACTGTTTACTTAATATCTTTTGTAAATGCTTTATGTAAATAATAGAAACTTGACTCTTCCATTTTATGCTGGTTTTGTAAAGTTTCCATAAAAGGTTAAAAAGTTCCATAATGCACTGTTTCCTTAAATGATATAGATTCCTGCATTGTACACTTCCATTAAACAAATACAATTTATAAAAATAAGTTTTAAAAAGAATAAATAACAAAATATATGTAACTTCGGAAATGACCGTCAATGAAATAAGATGTCTTTTTAACAAAGTGAAGTCCACAATTTAAACTGTACCTTGTGTGCATGGCCTTTGACATCAAAGAAGATTGTGAGGTTATGGTTTAGGCACTCTGCAACAGCTTCCCTTAGGGTAGGGATCTTTTCATCAGGGAAATCATTCCTGTAAGAGAAGAGAAAATACGTTGTAGGAAAAAAGAGAAACAGATAAACTGTATTGCAACAAACATTTTGCATATGTCTCTCAATCAAAAGGAAAGAGTGTTTTCTCCAACTTCCTTTTTTCGACCATAGCAAAGTCCAAAGATACTTTACTTTAAGATTTTTTTTTTTTTTTTTGAGACGGAGTCTTGCTCTGTTGCCCAGCCTGGAGTGCAGTGGTGCAATCTCAGCTCACTGGAACTACCAACTCCCAGGTTCAAGCAATTCTCCCGCCCCAGCCTCCCAAGTAGCTAGGACTACAGGCGTGTGACACCACGCCTGGCTAATTTTTTGTGTTTTTAGTAGAGGCGGGGTTTCACCATGGTGGCCAGGCTGGTCTTGAACTCCTGACCTCAAGTGATCTACCTGCCTTGGCCTCCCAAAGTGCTAGGATTACAGGTGTGAGCCACTGCGCCTGTCCTACTGTAATAATTTGAACCAAATTATAGATATTCTTTTTTCCACATTTTTATTGCTATACACTTAGACATATTTTTGTGATATGCGCATAATGTATAATGATAAAATCAGGGTATTTAGGATGTCCATCACCCCAAATATTTATCATTTCTTTGTGTTAGGAACATCTAAATCTCCTAGCTATTTTGAAATATACAACAGATTGTTAACTATAATCACTTTACTATGTTATTGAACACTAGAATTTATACCTTCTATCGAACTGTATGTTTGTACTCATTAACCAAATTCTCCTTATTCTCCTCTTCCCCCAACCCCAAACCCTTCCCAGCCTCTGGTAACTATCATTCTCCTCTCTACCTCCATGAGATCAACTTTTTTAGCTCCCATATATGAGTGACAACATGTAATATTTGCCTTTCTGTGCCTGGCTTATCTTATTTCATTTAACATAATACCTTCAGTTCCATCCATGTTGCTGTAAATGACAGGATATCATCCTTTTTTATGGCTAACTACATAGTATTCCATTGAGTATATTTACCACAGTTTATCCATTCATCCACTGATGAACACTTAGGTTGATTCTGTATCTTGGCTATTGTGAATAGTGTTGCAATAAACATGGGGGTGCAAGTATGCCTTTGATACACTAGTTTCCTTTCTTTTGGATAGATACCAACTAGTGGGATTACTGGATTGTATGGTAGTTCTATATTTTTAGTTTTTTGAGAAACCTCCATACTGTTTTCCATAATGGCTGTACTAATTTACATTCCCACCAACAGAATATAAGAGTTCCTTTTGCTCTGTATCCTCGCCAGCATCTGTTATTTTAAAAATCTTTTAAATAATGGCCATTCTAACTAGATAAGATGGTACTTCATTGTGGTTTTGATTTGCATTTCCCTAATAATTTGTGGTGTTTTTTCATATGCCTGTTGGCCATTTGTGTGTCCTCTTTTGAAAAATGTTTATTCAAATTAGGATTTGAATAGATGTTTTTAATGGGATTATTATTGTTTTTGCTGTTAAGTTCCTTGTATATTCTGGATATTAGTTACTTGTCTGTTGAATAGTTTGCAAATATTTTCTCCTATTCAACAGGTTTTCTTTTTACTCTGTTGATTATTTCCTTTGCTGTGCAGAAGCTTTTTAGTTTAATATAGTCACATTTGCCTGTTTTTGTTGCCTGTGCTTTTGAGGTCTTAGCCATAAAATCTTTGCCTAGATCAATGTCCCAGAGCTTTTCCCCTGTGTTTTCTTCTAGTAGTTTTATAGTTTCTGGTCTTAAATTTAAACTTTTAATCCATTTTGTGTTGATTTTTTAAATATAGTGAGAGATAGGGGTCTAGTTTCATTATCCTGCATATGGATATCCAGTTTACCCAGTACCAGTTATTGAAGAGAGTTCCTTTCCCCCACTGTAATGTTCTTGGTGCCTTCATGGAAAATCAGTTGGCTGTAAATATATGGATTTATTTCTTGGTTCTCTATTGTATTCCACTGGTCTATGTATCTGTTTTGTGTGTGTGTGTGTGTGTGTGTGTGTGTGTGTGTGTGTGTCAGTATTTATACCAATACCATGCTGTTTTGGTTACTGTGGCTTTGTAGTATATCTTGAAATGAGGTAGTGTGATATGTCCAGCTTTGTCCTTTTTGTTCAGTATTGCTTTAGCTATTTGGGCTTCTTTACGGTTCCATATGAATTTTAGGATTGTTGCTTTTCTATTTCTCTGAAGAATGTCTTTGATATTTTGATAGGGATTGCACTGAATTGTAAATTATTTTGAGTAGAATGGTCACTTTAGGAATATTAATTCTTCTGATCCATGAGCATGGGATGTCTTTCCATTTGTGTCCTCTTAAGTTTTCTCATCAGTGTTTTGTAGTTTTCCTTGTAAGAGCTCTTTCACCTCTTTGGTTATATTTATTCCTAGGTATTTTGTTATTTTTTTTTTGGTAGCTATGTAAATGGGATTACTTTCTTGATTTCTTTTACAGCTAGTTCATTATTTACGTATAGACATGCTACTGATTTTTGTACGTTGATTTTATATCCTGCAATTTTACTAAATTTGTTTATCAGTTTTAACAGTTTTTTGGTGAAGTCTTTAGGTTTTTCTACATACAAAATCATGTTGTCAGCAAAGAGGTACAATCTGACTTCCTCTTTTTCCAATTTGGATGCCTTTTATTTCTTTCTCTTTCCTGATTGCTCTGGCTAGTCAATCATTCCATATTTAGCAAAATTGATATGAAGGTCGAAAGAATCATGGAGGAAGTAATTAACCATATTATCCAGAGTTTGCTGTACTTGGAACTGATAAAACTGAAAGTATCCAGTAAGTACAGACTAAATGTAATCATAAACTTCCCTTTTATTGCATAAGACTTTCAAACATGCTGTGGTTGCTTTTAAACACAAGTAGGTTGGGCTGTAATTGTGTAAGAAGCAACAAGTAAATGGTTTGCACAAGCACTTTTAGAAAGGTTAAGACAACTGGACCACATGGTGGTGCCCAAGACATTTTTAATTCATATCCTGGTGACAAGTGAGCATTGAAAACCCAAGACTCGTAGATGAGAAGAATTGAAGCACACAGACACCTGAGCACAGAGATTAGAGATTGATGGTCTTTGGTTTCTTATATTGTATAATGGATGTTATTTTTCTGTTTTTTGTTTTGTTTTGTTTTGATTTGTTTTCCTTTTCTGGTAATTCTGTGCTTCTGACACTAGCTATAAATTGGGGTTCCCACCTCCTCCTCCTTGGGTTCAATTAATTTGTTAGAGTGGCTTGCGGAACTCAAACACGTTTACAGGTTTATTATAAAGTATGTTACACAGCATACAGATGAAGACATGCATAGGGTGAGGTATGGGGAAAGGGGCATAGAGCTTCCATGCCCTTTCTGAGTGCTCCATCATTCAGGAACCTCCATGTGTTCAAATACAGATATTCTTGACCAAAGACCAGCAACAACAACAAAAATCATTTAATTTTTAAGAAATCACTGAATTTCTATTGAATTAATAACATTATTAATAACCCTACTTCCCAAAGGGCAGAGTATATGCCACCTTTGGAAAACTCAAAGACTTAATTTTCAGATTGTAATTTCCCTAATAGAATGCTATGCAGGAGGAATTCTTAGGAATACATAAATCTGTTAACTGTATTGTGTATTTATTTAAGTGCAACTGTTTAAAATAAATAATGTTCTAAGACATAATTTTCTGATAAAGAAAATGAAAACTAAGTGCTTGATACAAAAGAAATTAGCTTTTCTCTCATAATAAAATTATTATTTAACTTAATGCTAATTCAACTGCATTATTTCAACTGTAAGATCATGCTTTTAAAAAAGGGTAAGGATAGGCCAGGTACAGTGGGCTCATGCCTGTAAATTCAGCACTTTGGGAAGCTGAGGCAGGCAGATCACCTGAGGTCAGGAGTTCGAGACCAGCCTGGCCAACATGGCGAAACCCCGTTTCTACTAAAAATGCAAAAATTAGCTGGGTGTGGTGGCATGTGCCTGTAATCCCAGCATTCTGGAGGCTGAGGCAGGAGAATCACTTGAACCCGGGAGGTGGAGGTTGCAGTGAGCCAAGATCATGCCATTGCACTCCAAACTGGGCAACAAGAGTGAAACTCCAACTCAAAAAAAAAAAAAAAAAAGATAAGGATAATTTAAACATTACAGGCAATTATCCCAGCCATTCTAATCAATTTCTATTCCCTGAGAGTGAAAGATGGGAGACCTGAATTTGTTATTCCTTTGGCTGATCTTAGTTTCCTCCTTATCCTCCTCTCAGGACAAGCATCTCATCACACTGAGCATAATTCTAGAGAAAATATCTATTTTTTCCCACAACATAATCCGTAAACACAAGCCAATTACTTCATTTAGTTTTCAATCATAGAACACACTCTGTTCCAATAGTGGAGCAAAGACTGGTTGTGTTAAAGACACTGAGATAATATGTTGCCTTTGCTGTCTTCTTAAGGGATTTTTTGAAAATCACAATTTTTTTTCCTAGGATGCACAAATTCCAGAGAAATGGACTCAGTGCTCCCTTAAAGGATTTTTAAGGGTAATGATGACCCTAAACATTTTTGCTTTAAGTATTAACTTTGAACCTGACATTTTATTAGCTGCAATGTCATTATAATATTCAAACCAGCCTTTCCCTTGCATAAGCAGAGCAATACAGTATCTGATGACACTCAAGAACAATTCTAGCAACTTGGACTCATAATTCTCAAGTGTTACCAATATTCTTTCCTGCCTACAGTATGACTTCCTTCGGCAGACTAATGTTTTTCAGATCCTAGGAAAACAGGTCTGGATCATCTTTTAGGAAAAAGTATAACTTAACTGTTGGGTCAAATACTTAATTTTCCAAGAGAATCGATCATTGTCTGGATAATTGATATTACATGAATAACCAGTGAGCACACCCTTTTCAGTACTGCAAAGATGACAAGCAGAGAGGGATTTAAATAACCACATTCCAAAGTACAGTATATTACTCAGCATACCAATTCCAAGGGTGTTTACCGCTGTAAGTGGGGAAGAGGATGTAGGTTCTGTGATCATGTAAGTTTGAGAAAAGCTAAGTTACAAGTAAGAATCAGCTGATGTGGACTGTTTATCCACAACAGAAGTATTCAGAATACACTGTTTGATCTTACTTGAACCCTGTTTTTGCAGAACATCTTGTAAGATTAGCTCTAGTGTATATACTTTGGAAGCTACGTTTACACTCTACCAGGAAGGAATTAAATTAGACACTGAAAGAACTTTTGCTCTTACAGGGTTGAAAGACATTGGGGGCAGCTAAAAACAGCATGATTTGGACTAAAACTTGGGATAGATTCTAGTTTTGGCTTCTTTATGAACTAGTTATTTGCCCTTGAGTAAATAATTTAACTTTTCTGGGATTATATCTAAAGGCAAGATTGATCTAGATCTGTAGTATCCTATATGGTAGCCACACATGGCTATTTCAGTTTAAATTTACATTTAAATTAAAAATTCACTTCCTCGTGTCACTAGCCACATATCAAGTGCTCAATAGCCACAAGTACCTACCATATTACACAGTGCAGATATAAAATATTTCCATCATTGCAGAAAGTTCTACTGCAAAGTGCTATTCTAGATGATTTCTAGGATACTCTCTATTCCTACAATTCTGTGATTCCTCAGAAGTTTGTTATGAGGATCAGAAGAATTAAATGGGTTAAGTTAAAATGTGATATTATAATGTTACTTGAAGCTTTTAATGAATGTATAATTTGCTTCTTGGTACACCTGAAGGCAAGAAGATTGCCAAGCAATGACTTTCAGCCTCATGATTCTATGACTAGACAGTATTATCTTGACAATAATTCTGAAGCCAAATTTAGCCTCAGTGGGAAAGATTAAAAACATAATGCCAAATTTCTGTTGTTCCTGGCACTTGCTCATTACTTACAAGACCTACGTACAGTTCAAAACAAAACAAGACAACTCTCCTGGGGCAGATGTAATTAGAAGGCACCAGTGTCTGTCATTTCCAATAAAAGCTAAAAGATCTGTTTAAGTGACAATAAACTACTTACCTGAGTCTGTGGTTTGCTGCAGGATTCAGCTTCCTAATTTGTTCAAATGTCAAATCACACAATCGCCCAGTCCCATCAGTCGTCCTATCTACTGTGTTATCGTGCATTAAGACAGGAATCCCGTCAGAAGTAAACTCAATGTCCAACTCCACGCCTGTTGCTCCATTCTTAGCTGCCTTAACAAAAACATCAAGAATATTACTGTCAAATGGCCACAAACATTATTTTGCATCTAACCACCCAAAAGACCAGCAGGGCTCCTAAGACAGCTGTCCTTTTTGATTCATTTTCCTTCCACTTCCCCCACCAAACAGCAATCCTGATCTGTTTCTGTTTTCTGTGTATATAACCTTACTTCAATTCCTAACTGATGGATTCCTTAAAAACTTTAATTTTCCCACTCTTCTTACTTTCACAGTGGAAGACTAGGAGACTTCAGGAACTTATGTTTTCTCTGGATGTTTAACTATATGGGTCATCAATGGCTTATGAATACTTAGACAATTCCACTGTTTACCTACACTATTTGTTGGTACAGCAGTTCTGATGATCACCCTACGGTTGTTGATTAGTCAGATATTTCACTACTTTGGCATAAATGAGTCAGGTTTTTGTTGGTTTAATTCCACCCTCTACCACAAAGACACCACGCCTGCTTCTAGGACATATCACATTTTGTTTATGTAAGCAGCACTGGCTGTTGGCCCATAAGTTGTTAAGCTTGATGAGGTAGATTAGAATTTATCTAAAAAGAGAATTTGAACCTTAAATTACACGAGCCATGCTCCTCTGGAGACACACTATTTAATGTTTGCTTCCTTGGCTTCCTCATCACAATAAAGATGTGAAATGCTCATTACGATGAAGATTTCTTTCTTTTTTTTTTTTTTTGGAGACAGGATCTGGCTCTGTTGTTCAGGCTAGAGTGCAGTGGCATGATCTCGGCTCACTAAAACCTCCGCCTCCTGGGTTCAAGCCATCCTCCCACCTCAGTCTCCCAAGTAGCCGGGACTACTGGCACGTGCCACCATGCCCAGCTAATTTTTGTATTTTTTGTAGAGATGGGGTTTCACCATGTTGTCCAGGCTGGTCTCGAACTCCTGAGATCAAGCAATCCTCCTGCCTCAGTCTCCCAAAGTGCTGGGATTACAGGTGTGAGCCACTGTGCCCAGCTATGATCAAGATTTTTAATTTTTTAAAAAATATTTTAAGTCATGGTCTATTGCAAACATCTACAGTAAAAAAGATTTAACATATGTGAATATTTTGACCTAATTTCCTCAGTCTCTTTCTGTACTAAAACAAAAACAAAAACAAAAACTATTATTTATTGAGCCTTTTCTACTTGCCAGGCACTCTTCTAAGTGCTTTAAATGTATTAACTTATTTGATCCTCACAACCCTGAAGCAGGTACTATTAATATTCTCATTTAACAGATAAGAAAACTGAGACAAAGAAAGAGTAGGAAACTTGCCCAGGGCTGCACAAGCTAGGATGCAGTAGAAGTTGCACTCTTATCCGCTTCAGTTTTACTATCAACACTACAGATACAGCTGAAATTCTCCCTTTCATTCTCCTCCTTTCCTCTCCAGAGGTAATTACCATCTTAAAGTTGGTGTATATCATTCTCATGTCACTCCCTTACCGGTTTTTATTTAAGTACCCATAAACAACACAGAGCACTGTGCTAGTGAATAGTTAAGATTTCAATAAATGTTAGCCATTGTTATTTATTATGTCCTTTTAAACACATCTTTAAAGGTAATATAGTCAAATTTATCAATAACGTCCTTTATGGGTGGAGATTTTTCTGCTTTATTTAAATCTTTTCCTTTTCCCATGTGATACAGATGTACGACTATTTTGGAAAAACACATCACATTTTCCCTCTGCTCTCACAACAATCAACCCCGACGTCTGTGACCAAAAATGTGGGGGTTTTTCCCCACCAATAAGTAGTGGACACCAGCTGGGTATCCTCCAACTCAATTTTGACACTATCTACCTGGAGATAGTGTCAGATCATAGGTTGAGGGCTTGGTCCCCAAGACTGCACCCCACCCTCCTCCAGACACAAATAGCAAGCTGGGGCCTATGGAACTTCTGACCAATTGGCTTCAAGTCCTCTTAGGTTTATTTTAGTTTTTATTTTTTTAATTCCTCTTAGGTTTTTATGGAAGCTTCATGATGTCAGCATTCCTTCCCCCAGGGTATAGGGTGGGGTCCCTCTCTGAGGAGGGTCTTAAGACTCACAATTTGAAAGACAGGGAAAGATTCCAGTCCTGCCTTGGGGTAGGTGAAAGGAGGGCAGGAGAGATTCTGTTTCCCAAGGCCTGCTCCTAAGGCCTAGGATGCCTAACAAAATACTGTAGCAAGGGCTGAGAGTTATGAGCCAGGAACCATGGATGAAAACCTATATATGTGTGTGTATGTGCATATATATATATATATATATATATACATACACAATACTTAATAGATTACAATATAGTGTAAACATAACTTTTATATGCACTGGGAAACCAAAAAATTTGTGACTCCCTTTATTACTATATTTGCTTTATTGACTATTTACTCAGGTCTGGAACTGAACTTGCAATATCTCCTATATATACTAATATGTGAATTAGAACCAGGGATTCATCTTTTTATCTCAATTACTGGAATAACATAGAAGTACTGGTAAAGCTGGCCAGGCAGTGGCTCATGCCTGTGATCCCAGCACTTTGCCTGTAATCCCAGCACTCTGTAATCCACTGAGGCAGGTGGATCACTTGAGGTCAGGAGTTTGAGACCAGCCTTGCCAACATGGCAAAACACCATCTCTACTAAAAACAAAAAACAAAAATTAGCTGGGAGTGGAGGAGTACATCTGTAATCTTAGCTACTTGGGAGCCTGAGGCACAAGAATCGCTTCAACCTGGGAGGTGGAAGTTGCAGTGAGTTGAGATCGCCCCACTGCACTCAAACCTGGGTGACAGAGAGAGACCCTGTCTCAAAAATAAATAAATAAATAAAATTATTGGTAAAGTCGAATGTATACATACATATATACATTTCTGACAGTGCTAGAATTTCTGGTAGATTATAAATGAGATATAGAAGGAAAAACTTGATAAATGTGAGTTGAGTGTATTCCAAAAACAGATACACTACTATAAACAGTGGCAAAGGAATGAAATTACACCCACAGTACATTCTCCACATGGGCCAGAGTGCAGCTTTAAAAGTATAAATCTTGGCCGGGCACGGTGGCTCATGCCTGTAATCGCAGCTACTCGGGAGGTTGAGGCAGTAGAATCACTTGAACCTGGGATACAGAGGTTGCAGTGAGCTGGGGTTGCGCCGATGCACTGTAGCCTGGGAGACAGTGAGACTTCGTTTAAAAAAAAAGAAAAAAAAAAAGAAAAAAAAAGGAAATGAGGGAGGCCAGGCATGATGGCTCATGCCTGTAATCCTAGTACCTTGGGAGGCCGAGGCGGGTGGATCACTTTGAGGCCAGGAGTTTGAGACCAGTCTGGCCAACATAGCAGAACCCCATCTCTACTAAAAATACAAAAATTAGCTGGGCGTGGTGGCACACGCCTGTAATCCCAGCTACTCCGGAGGCTGAGGCACGAGAATCGCTTGAACACGGGAGGCAGGGGTTGCAGTGCGTGGAGATTGCACCACTGCCCTCCAGCCTGGGTAAAAGAGTGAGACTCTGTAAAGTAAAAAAAAAAAAAAGAAGAAGAAGGAAGGAAGAAGAGAGAGAAAAATAAAAAAGAAGAGAATCAGATATATTTACACAGATGCAAAAGTGCCTAATCCACTGAAAAGCCCTCTCTGTAAGCTGTCATTATTATGAAGCTAGGAGAATGCCAAGAGCTGGGAGGTATCAAAAGTTTCAGGAGTGCCTTGTGAAAAGGAGGGGGCAGAAACTGATGTGAGTCCAGCTGCCAGGGTTGTGCGAGTGCGAATGTGTGTGTCTGGGGAAAAGGTGATAAGGAAATGACTCAAGTGATTTACAAGACAAGCAAACGTATGTCTTGTGAAGGGTGATCTATTTAGACTAACCTCAATTACTGACCAAGAACCTATTTGACCTGACCCATTTTCTACTTCATTCACACACCAGTCTTTGTTCTCTTCCTTGAAGTCAGGCCACACACTGCCTCTTCTGTTACCTGAACACCCCTATATTATTCCCATCTCAGGACCTTCTGCACCTGCCTGGCTCCTTATAATTCCGGTTTCTGTTCAAATGTTGCTTCTTCGGAGACGATTTCTCTTGACTATTCCATCTAAATAAAATAGCGTAACTCTTTCCTTCGAGTTCCCCCGATTTCTTCATTGCACCTTTCACTCTCTTAAAGTTATCTCATTTATGTGTTTACTTGTTTAAGGCTTGCCTCCCCCATTCCGATGTACACTCTGTAAACCAGGGACACTTTTGACCTTGTTCCTGGCTGTATGTAACCTTAGCGTCAGGCGCACAGAAACTATATACATATCTGCTGTCTTCTGTAAATATAAAACCTCAAGTCCGGAGATCCCTAGACACTGGGAGCGATCAAGGGCCGGGAGTGTGCCTTGTGGACGAATGAGGAAGTGGGAAGGCCGTCCTGAGAAGATCGGGGAACCCTGGGAAGGAAAAGTAGAAGTCCGAGCTCTCGGGAGGACCGAGGGGCGCGAACGTGGGGGTCTCACCTGCCGAATGGCCGCCAGCGTGTTCTCGGGCGCGTCGTGGCTGCCGCCACGGTGGGCGATGGCAGAAATGCGGTCCCGGGGCTTGAGCACCTGCAGGGCCCTGCAAGAGGGCACCGGCTCAAAGCTGAAGACGCGCAGTAGAACGAAGAGGCTGCCGGTGAGGAGGCAGGCATTGACCGGGCTCCGCGTCACCAGCAGCAGCACTAGCAGCAGGAAGGAGAAAGGGCCCAGGAGGCCGCCCTGGTCCTCCCACAGCCACATGCCGGCGCCCGCACCGGCACGGACGGGAGTCCCGGACCCGCCGGGCTCCTGGGGCAGTAGAACGAGAAGCGAGGGGGAGGGTCCAAGGCACCGGCAGCAGCAGGAACCCTCTGAGGGGACCAGCGCCGCACAATGGCGGCAGCAGACACATCCAGAGAGGGAGTCGGCCGCCCAGCCAATCAGGGATCGGGATTCGCAGCGCCAGTGGGCGGAGCCGCTCCATGGCAACGGGGGAGGGCCCAGGCCCCAGGCCCCAGGCTCACGTTCCAAATCTAAGGTGGGTTAGGGTTTTCCGAGGTCTGAACTTCAACCTGGGCGTTCAGACTCCTAGGCGAGAAAAGGAGGGATAAGAACCATCCTAAAGCTGTAGGACTGGAAGGGATTTTAGTGACTCCTTTATCTGCCCTTGAGGAAACTGAATTCCAGGGAACCTGGAGAGGCAGGATGCTTAGACTATCAATTCAATTCAATTCAATTCAGTTCAGTTCAGTTCAATTCAAGATGTGCCAAATACCGGTCCAGGTGCTCCGGACACAGTTGAACAGGACCTACAGGGTTTTTGCTCTTATGGGATTCACATTCTTGTGGGAGGAAATAAAAGTTAGCAAGTACACCTAACGTTTACAGAGCACTTACCATGTCCCAGGTACTTGACGAGCAAACACTTTATATGCTTATCTCATTCTCAATACAGCCTAACAGTTACTATCAGGAGACTGATTTCAATCGACTTTATTTTCCAGATTCTGGGGGACTGGAAGAGCCTAGCAAAGAAGGCACAATCGGATTATAAAACTGGAAGGGGTTTTAAGGATTCCCTTATTTCATAGATGCGGAAACTGAGGATAGGTGAATTAAGCAGTTAATGGCAGGGTGGGGACTGACATAAAGGCCTCCCCAGTGATTTGTGACATTTTCACTCCTCCTCCCCCTAATCTTACTTCTGCTAAGGGCTTTTGTACCAGGCACTGTACAGGAGTTACCTCAACTGTGCCTCACAACCACCCTTGTGATAGGCACTTTTAAAACCCCCATTTTACATATGCAAAAACAGGCACTGGAAGGAGGGTAAGAGAGATAGACCATGAAGCCGAGTTAGGGAGTGAAAAGGGGCCCCTGGACATATTTTGGAGGGCTGGTAACATTTTTATGTAGAGAACTTTGCAAAAATATTCAGGGATTTTTCTGTTACCTTTTTTTCCTTTAGTGCATTTTCCCACTGATTTGCAAAAGGGGATAGATGTCTTAAGCCTTCCAGTTGGCATCTAGGATTCAGCCTTTTTTTTTTTTTCTTTCAGACAGTCTCACTCTATCGCCCAGGTTGGAATGCAGTGGTGCAATCATGGCTCACTGCAACGTCGACCTCCTGGGCTCAAGCGATCTTCCGACCTCAGCCTCCCGAGTAGCTGGGATCACAGGCTCGCGCCACCCCACCCGGCTAACGTTTAAAATTTTTGTAGAGATGCCGTCTCCCTTTGTTGCCCAGGCTGATCTCGAACTCCTGGGCTCAAGCGATCCTTCCGCCTCGGCTTCCAAAATGTTGGAATTATAGGCGTAAGCCATCACGCCCGGTGGGTTCAGCAAGTTTTTACCTACAAGAAAATATTTTGGTGAATGTTACATGTTTTCTAACGGCTGCATAGAAAGGGGTTATCTTTATACAGATAAGAAAAAAATGGCAACTTCAAGGAACACTTCAGGGGGCTTCAGACCCTGAGGGGTGTTCCTATTCTACTAAATAAGTAAATTTATTAATAAATTCTAGTCTCTAGCTTGCAAGGAAGACTACGTTTCCCGGCGTGCAGCGTGCTGGCCGTAAGCATTACGTCCTCCATCGCGGGCGCGCAATGCACCTCGGGGATGGTAGTGTTCTGGTGGCCCAACGGTTTTAACAGCCCGGGAATCAACCACCGGAAGTGCCGGCCCTGAGAGGTGGAGTCGGGGTGGCAGCGGCGGCGGTTGCCAGGAGCCCGCGTTGCAGCCTGAGATCCGTAATATGGCGGGGAGGAGGAGGAGAAGGCGGCGGCGGACCGAGCTGCGCTCTGTCAGTACCATTTGAGCCATTCGCTTCCTGACAAGGCCCGTGGCGAGGGGAGAGGAGCTGAAGGGGCCGTGGGGGATCAGGTGTGTGCATGAGGAGGGGGCTTGAGCCTTGACGGGTCCGGGCTGAGAGGTGGTCTGGCGAGGCGAAATTGGCGCCCTGAGAAGCTGAGGGCGGGCTCTGTGCTGGGCTCCCGGGCCTCGAGCCCCCTGGAAAGGCGCCGGCTGTTGGGAGGCGGGACCCCGGGGGCAGCCAGCACCGGGCGCTGAGGTGATGCTCCGATGCTGGCCCCGCCTGGAGGGCCCTCGGTTTGGAGTCTTAAATCGGAGGAGCTGGAGGAGGTGGGCATGGGGCGCTGGGGAGAGGGCAGGGGGCCGTCCCTGGTGAATAAAACTCGGGCCAGAGCCGGAGAACCCCATCGTGGTGATCAAATTGTTTGGGCCGTTTTTCTTCTCCCTCCCACGGTGCTGGAGAGGGAGGCTTCCCCGGGGTGTGCATTGGCCATTTATGAGCCCCTGTTTCCACAACCAAGGCCCTAGGAGCGCTGCTTACTTCGCCTTTGCCACTCTGGGGCATAAACTTGAGGATAATAAAGTAATCGATTGCCCCTGGAGCTGCTAGATGGTTCCCACCCTTTGATTCTATTCTGGTTACGATCCAAGCTCCCTACCCCCAGTTTAGGCAAATGGCAGCCATCTCGAGATTGATTTGACGGGGAGAGGTCTAGGGACAGGGAAATGAGGAAGCCGTTGTCCCCTTTTCTATATTTTTCAGTTTCATTTGAAACCTACGGGGAACCAAGCACTGTCGCTGCCCTCCAGGAATTCATACTCTACTGCTAAAAATCGTCATCATCATTATCCTCTTAATAAGAAAAGCAGTCCCCATTATTTGTTGCTTTCTGCGTGTTCTGCACTACGTTAATTGCCCTACATGCATTAGCTCATTGAATTCTTACAACATTCCTTTGAGACGGATACCGTGATCATCCCTCTTTTACAGAGGACGAAACAGGTGTGGGGATGGTAACTGGCTTGCCAAGAACTTGCAGCTAGTACGCATCTGAATAAGAAATCTTCCCCTTTACCGCTTTTACAAGAAGTTTGCGTCTTTGGCGGAACTGATGGGCAAAGAAACACTAGGTTCTGCAAAAAAAAAGCAGGATCTGTTCTGTGTTACTTTTACCACTCTTTTCAGTGACATGTCTGGCAGAGCACGGGTAAGGAGCAGATAGGACCATGAGTCTACGGGGTTTGCAAAGAGGCTCATTTGCACAAGGGTCAGTGGTTCTCTGTGGTATAAATGGAGAAGACGGCATGTCTGAACCTGCTGTAGCTGACAAATTATTACTGGAAGTGGACCAGTGATGCCTGATGGCAAGATATAGAGCAGTAGATTTGTGGCTGGGGTAGCCTTGTAGTCAGGGCTCCCTTAAAATAAAACCTTGCTGACAGTGGTAATTGTAGTGTGAAAGGCATAGTGTCCTCTTGCTTAATCATGGGATACAGACTGCTCACTTCTTAAATGGTTACCTTTGCAGTTTAAGAGGTACCAGTTTCTCTGGGACTAGAGCCATGGTGAAATTTCCATTCTCTAAATTCCACTCTTCCTTGCTAGCTTCGGTGTATAGTCCGCCTTCTTTTTTTCTTCTGGTTTACATTATTGTTTGAGCTTATTATTATTCTTATTCATTTATTCAATACTTTTATCAAGTGCCTGCTGTGTGCTGATACTGTTCTGTGTAATGGGGATTCAGTGAACAAGACTGAAAAGGTACCTGTACTTATGGCGCTTACATTTTGGTGGAGGAAGACAGACAAAAATCAAGGAAATAAACACGATAATTTCAGATAGTGGTAAGTGCTATGAAAATTGGGAAACAGCAGGGTAATGTGATAGTGATAGAGGCAGAGTTCATTTAGATGGGGTCATCAGGGATGCCTTCTCTGAGGAGGGGATATCCAAGCCGAGACTGAAGAATAAGAAGGATCCAGTCATGCTCTAAGGATCATCTAGTAATTTGTATAATCTCCATATTAGCACTCATATTTGAATGAGTAATGCGTTGTCATATGCTGTGTTGTGCTGTAATAATAATATAGTACTATACATCTGCAAGATATAGGACATATATGTACTATTTAAGGGATGTGAATAACTTTCTGAAACAATGAGGCATAGCTCTATGATGTTGAAAGAAAAATAAAACTATGGCCATAAAAGTATTATATTTCCTTAATAATTTCCCTCACTTCTAAAATTGAATTTCATGCTTTGCTTGAGTATCCATAGAAGATATATTACTTTATTTGTATAATCTATTTACATTCTGTGTATTGCTGAATGCATGGCATGATTAAAAAAATAAAATATTTGAGCAGAAATGGGGTTAAGAAATAATGTGAGTTGAAACCTAGACCTAAAAAAAGGCTATGCCTTAAGGTGTTTTATTGTTTTTACTTTTGCTTTTTTAAAATAAATAAAAGCTTGTAAAATAGTCTCACTCACACTGTAGAGAACCATTTGTTTGTCATTAGATTCCTACTTTGCATAGATTGAACACAAATAATTACAATTGATTGAATAGTAGGAAGAAGTTTTGTTATTGATTAAACTATTTAGAAAAAATAGCATTATATCTTATTTTTTTATAACCTGATTATAATTTTGACTATTTTTTTTTTCCCATTTCTCATTGCACTATAATTTGTCCCTGATACTTTGGTGTACTGAATTTTTAAGTACTTTGAGGCCTACCGAGGACATATCCTATTTCATCTTTGCATATCCCACATCATGAATTGAATTTCCCTGCCCTCTCTTTTTTTGTTAAGAAGCTAATTATTTTAAAATGAAGACATAAAGGAACATGATTGTATTCTATTTTCTGTTTCCATAGTTCATACCCTTGCTGGTTATGATTCTGATAATGTCTTTTTATTTTCCCTTGCTTATTTAAAGGAAACAGTGCCACACATAATGCTGTGCAAATAAGCAATCAACATTTACTGTTTGCTAAATGAATGAATATGATGCCTAATCCCTCCTGGTTACCTTGTATTTTCATAATCACAATTTCCCAGAAACTGTGAAATTACTGGGATTGTTTTAAGTAGTTTGGTGATGGTTCCAATTTTCAACAATAAAATATAATTAATATCAGAGCCAATCGATTTGCTCTTTTTTACCTCTGACTGAGTTGGCTGGTGCTCATGCAGTCCAAGTATAGTGTTAAGATAGGCAAATTGAGGCAGGAGGATTGCTTGAGTCTCAGAGTTTGAGACTATAGTGCACTGTGACTGAACCTGTGAATAGTCACTGGAATCCAGTTTGGGCAACATAGTGAGACCTTGTCTCTTTAAAAAAAAAAAAAAAGATATGAGAGTAACCTCTGAACTTCAAAATAGAAAATTTTTAAAAGTAAATATTCTTTGATTTAAGTAGGCTTTTTTACTACAGTGTTTGTACCTTTGTATGATATAGTTTTTCTTGTGTAGATAAGTCCTGTTAAAGAAAATATAATATCCTGTTTTACAATGTGAAGTTAGTAAAGATTTACAGAACTTTGTTTCCTTTAAGAAGGTTTTACTGAATTCTTAGCTAAATTAATCCCATTTAAAGATTGATTTACATGCAATAATATTCAGAAATATTTAATATATAAAGTAAATCTTAATTGGACAGGTTCTTGAGGTGAATTACCATACCCAAGAATTAGCTCCTGATCAGTAAGACAATTCTGGGAGGACCAGTTATAGGAATTGTGAATTATAGGGACTCTCTCATGCTCTACAAAATCTGCCAAATAATTAAGATCTGTTTTTCCCAGTACATTAAAAATAACATTTTTCTCTCTTGTAGTGTGACTGTGGGAAGATGGAGGAGTATGAGAAGTTCTGTGAAAAAAGTCTTGCCAGAATACAAGAAGCATCACTATCCACAGAGAGCTTTCTCCCTGCTCAGTCTGAAAGTATCTCACTTATTCGCTTTCATGGAGTGGCTATCCTTTCTCCACTGGTAAACTTGCTTTGTTTTTAAATAGTTTTTTTCTGTAGTGAACAACTAAAACAGTTCGTGGAAAAACAAAAGAAAGGCTTATAAACATTTGAAGAGATGCCCTCATTCAGAATTAGAGAAATACAAATGAATTAGCATTTTTTACTTACTATTATAGATTGGCCAAGACCTAATAGAACTTTGTGTTCCTTAGATTGTGGAGAAAATGCACTTTTAATGCACTTTTGCTAAGAGAATCAGTTTATTTTATTTCTAGATGAGCAGTTTGGTAGAATTTAAAAGCATACATAGCCTTTGGGTCAGCAGTTCCATTTTTGGGTATATCCTACAATTATATGTGAGCCCAAAGAAATAAGTACAAAGTTACATTAGCATTGTTTAAAATAGCAAAGGTTGACGAACCACCTAAATGTCCATCAGTAGTGGAGTAGTTTAACTATGGTCTATTTTATAAACTCTCATACATACCATTACAGTAAGGCAGATGTAAATGTTGAGGCATGGAAGGATCTCAATGATCTAGTGTAAAACACCGTGTGCAGCATGCTGTCAGGGGCAGTATAGAGTCATGATTAGAGGTCCAGACTCTGGGCCAGGCACAGTGGCTCACACCTATAGTCCCAATGCTTTGAGAGACCGGAAGGAAGAGGATTGCTTGAGACCAGGAATTCAAGACTAGCCTGGTCAACATAGTGAGACCTCATCTCTATAAAAACATGTTAAAAAATTAGCCTGGCGCAGTGACATGTGCCTGTAGTCCCAGCTCTTCAAAGGCTAAGGCGGAAGGATCGCTTGAACCTAGGAGTTGCAGGCTGCAGTGAGTCAGGATTGCATCATTGCCTGGACTACAGAGAAAGACCCTATCCCAAAAGAAGGAAAAAAACTCCAGCCTGGGCTAACAGAGCAAGACCCTATCCCAAAAGAAGGAAAAAAAAAGTCTAGGCTGTGGAGCCTTCTGGCCTGGGTCCAAATCATTGCTTTGCTACTTACTTGCTGTGTAAACTTGTGGTCCATTTTCTTATTTGTTAAATGGGGATAAAATAGTGCCTACCTCATAAGGCTATTTTGAAGATTAAATGAATTCGTAGATATAAAATGGTTAGAATACCACCTGGATCATAAGAGGTACCCAATATAAGTTAACCATTTGGGTTTTTCAAAGGATGGCTATTCCTTTTCTGGGGAGTGGTGAGAGAATATAGGATAATAGGGAAGACACTTCATCATACACCCTTTGATACTAATTGGATATTTTAAAAATGCATATGACTTTATTTTAAATCACAAACTAATATTAGAAAAAAGTGAGCTTTAAATTTATTTTTTGGTATAACAGGAGTTAAGAGATTAATTTTAATTAATTGAATTGAATTTTTAAAGACACCAGAGCTAACTGCCAACTTTTTGTAATGAAACTTTCAAACATACAGCAAAGTTGAAAGGATAGTGCAGTGACCACCCATAGATTTACCATTAGATTAAATAATTTTTAACATTGTTGTCATCTTTGCTTTATTGTGTTTGTGATTTTTATATACATCTATGTGTGTGTGTACATATGACATTTTTAAAAATTGCCTAGCTATTTGAAAACCACGGAGACCTGACACTGCTCCCCTAAATATTTTGGTGTACATCTCTTAAAAATAAGGACATTCTCCTATGTAAAGCCCCAATACCATTATCACATCTTAAGAAAACTAATAATTTTTAATAATATCTAATAATTCTGTTCATATTTAAATTTTTCCATTTGTGCTCAAAATGCCTTTTATAACTTTATTCCCCCAATCTGGATCCAAAGTTCACAATTAGTATTTGCTTGTTATGTTTCTTTATTTTAATCTAAAATAGCTACTGTACGTCTTAAAAACAGTTTTTTTTATTGGTTGAGCATGGTGCCTCACGCCTATAATCCCAGCACTTTGGGAGGCTGAGGTGGGTGGATTGCATTGCTTGATCCCCAGAGTTTGAGACCAGTCAGGGCAACGTGGTGAAATCTCATCCCTACAAAAAATACAAAAAAGAGCTGGGTGTGGTGGCGCGCACCAGGAGTCTCAGCTGCTCTAGAGGCTGAGGTGGGAGGATCACCTGAGCCCGGGAGGCTGAGGCTGCGGTGAACCCTGATCATGCCACTGCACTCCAACCTGGGTGACAGAGTGAGATACTGTCTTTAAAAAAATAACAAAACTATGATACTGAATTTTTAAAGAGACCAGAGCTATTGTCTTGTAGAATTCCTTAGATCTTGGATTTGTCCCATTGTTTCCTAATAGTGTTATTTAACTTGTTTCTCTAGTCCCTGTAGTTCCTATGAACTGGAAGTGAAGTTTGATAAACAGGTTAAAGATTTTTGGAATTCTTTGAAGATAGGGCTGGGCGGGGTGGCTCATGCCTGTAATCCCAGCACTTTGGGAGGCTGAGACCAGCCTGGCCAACATGACGAAACCCCGTCTCTACTAAAAATACAAAAATTAGCTGGGCGTGGTGGTGGATGCCTGTAATCCCAGCTATGTGGGAGGCTGAGGCAGGAGGATCCCTTGAACCCAGGAGGCGAAGGTTGCAGTGAGCCAAGATCCACTGAACCCAGTAGGCAAAGGTAGTGAGCCGAGATCGAGCCACTGCACAACAGCCTGGGCAACAGAGTGAGACCCTCTCTCAAAAAAAAAAAATGTAATCCCAGCACTTTGGGAGCCCGAGATGGGTGTATCACTTGAGGTCAGGAGTTCGAGACCAGCCTGGCCAACATGGCGAAACCCCTTGTCTACTAAAAATATAAAAATTAGCTAGGCATGATGGTGGGTGCCTGTAATCCCAGCTGTGCGTTAGGCCGAGGCAGGAGAATCGCTTGAACCCAGGAGGGATCGGGATCGCACCACTGTACTCCAACCTGAGACTCCATCTCAAAAAAAAAAGGAATTCTTTGGAGATGATGCCCTGCACTTCATACTAAATTAAATCAGAAGTTACATAATGTTTAGTTGCCCTCTATTAGTGATGTTTAGTTTGAACACTTGCTTACAGTAGTGACTGCCAGATGGCTCTTTAAAGTACACATTTTCTCCTTTTGATTAGCAAGTAAATTGTATAATCATTCTTTGGTACCATGCAATTAGGAAAAAGTTTTAAAACAACATATTTATCAGCTATTTGATAACACATTGCTTGATTTAATGTGGACCAAAATGTCTGAGGCTTGTTGTGTAGGGTCTATGACTCCGTCTGTTATTTATTTATAAGCAAAATGTGATGTTTATGGACCTAATCCACACTTTTATGTTGTATTTGATAGGTGAATATTGCAACTTTTGAAATAATTTTTTAATGATATATTTTCTATTTGTGTAAGTCTACGATAAGTCTTGACTGTTAACAGTGATTTAATTTCCCAGGACTTAATAATTAAGATTGAAATCCATTATAAAGAGATACAATGCTTAGAAGCCTTCCATTTTTTAGGTACATTATATTTTTATCAGAAGGTAGAGTGAGGTGAAAGAAAAGATGTATTCTGCTTTTGTAGGCAAATAATATATTATCTGTTTATTTTATCATTAAACCTTTGGACATTTTTTGAGGCAGCAAAGAGTTAAATTGTGCACTGGTTAGAAAATTAAAAGTTGTAGAATCCAGTTGATCCAGTGAAATAAGATACTGAAGATGGGCCAGGCGCGGTGGCTCGCGCCTGTAATCCCAGCACTTTGGGAGGCCGAGGTGGGCAGATCACAAAGTCAGGAGTTCGAGACCAGCCTGACCAACATGGTGAAACCCCATCTCTACTAAAAATACAAAAATTAGCTGGGCGTGGTGGCACGCGCCTGTAAGCCCATCTACTCCGGAGGCTGAGGCAGGAGAATCGCTTGAACCCAGGAGGCGGAGGTTGCAGTGAGCCGAGATCGCACCACTGCACTCCAGCCTAGGTGACAGAGCAAGACTCCATCTCAAAAAAAAAAAAAAAAGGATACTGAATGTGAAGTAATATTCAAGTCAATATTCAAGTGAAGTAATAAAAAACTCAGCAGTGGCCAAAAGGGCCTTAATTTTATTTCTGTCATTTTAGAACATTTGATTAGTGAACAAACTTTTTTCTTTTTAACCTTTTAACTGAAAATAATTTACACATAGCAAAATGCACAAATCTTAAGTGTTAAAGTTCCATGAGTTTTGATATATGGCATACACATGTATAACTCACACCCACACAGGATTTTCTTCACCATGGAAAGATCTCTAATGCCCCATCCCACTCAGTACCCAGACCATTGTTCTGATTTCTTTCACTATACATTAGTTTTGCCTGTTGCACATGTTTTTAATCTTTCTGATTCACAACTTCCCGATTTTATGATATTTTTATCGTGGGAAATAATTACATTTTTATGATGTTTTGCAGCTTAACATTGAGAAAAGAAAGGAAATGCAACAAGAAAAGCAGAAAGCACTTGATGTAGAAGCAAGAAAGCAGGTTAACAGGAAGAAAGCTTTACTGACTCGTGTCCAGGAGATTCTTGACAATGTTCAGGTGTGTGATTTTAGCTGTTTCAGTTATAATAAAGAAATCATAAGATAAGCGTTGATGATAATTTTTCTGAAATATATTTGCACTTAACTAATTACTAATGTACTTTACTGTTACGTTTGAGAAGCTTCATAATTTGTGATTTTCCATTTCAGTTACTCCAAAGAGAATGTACTTGCTTGTTAGTAATGCCCAGTACTTGAATCAGAGGATATTTACACAATAGAACCATACACTGAATATAATTGCTTATTGTTTGCATCTTATGACTCTAAAAACATTGAATTCTCAGTGACAAAATGACAGAATTGGGTATTATTGTTTACCCCAAACTAATTAGACTATTGACTAAATGACCTTATTCTCATTCTTTGCTTAAGTAAATAACTGCCTCCAATTTTTTTTTGGTGAAAACTCTTAGATACACAAAATGCAGTTTAGATAACATTGAATTGTTTAGATGCATCCTATGTCTAAAAACTATTTAAACAACACATCTACACCTTGTGCAGTTATTTTTAGATTTGTATAAACAATTTGTTCTGACATGTGGATCATTTTGTACTAAAAAGAAAAACAAATGAATTAGATTGAACGAATAATTTCTACAACATATAGCAGTGTTCTGCTGGTAACATCTTTTTGTTTTTTCATAATCTTAGGAGTTTGTGGTTTGTCTGTTTAATTCGTATCGATGACACGTGTATAATGAACCTTAAGGGTTCATTTCTCTGTTGGTAGTGTAAACTGAAGAAAATGACTGAGGCAAGTCTCAATCGATTTAGAGGTTTGTTTTGCCAAGGTTGAGGATGTGCCAAGGAAAAAGAGACAAAAGTTACAGTAGAATCTGTGGCTTATGCTTTTCCAGAAGAGGTTTTGAGGACTTCAGTGTATAAAGGGGAGAGAACAGCAGGAGGGGAAAGAGGAAAGAAAAAAAAAGGAGGGTAGGTAATGAGATAAGCGATCACATTTTTGTGAGGCTTTGATTAGCACTCACTGAATCCACAAGTCGCATGAGAAAGGTGGGGGTAGAGGAACAGTCAGTTATGCATTCATCTCAAGCTCAATAAATCTGCATTTTACATAGGATAAAGTAAGCAGAGTAGAGGAAGAAGTCAAATATACATTTGTCTCCAAAGGGATGATTTCTAGTCATCTTTGGTCTTTGTCCGTATCTTGTCAGAGTGAAATTCAGCAGAACTCTGGGTTGGTGTAAAGATTTTGGGGCCTACGAGGAATTTCCTTGTGAGCAATTTGCAAGAGAGTCTACCTGGGTAGATAGGTGGCCTTCTATTTTGCAGCTATCTGTTTAGGAATAAAAGGAAGGCAGTTTTTGTGTGACTCAGTTCCTAAGCTTTACTTTTTCCTTTGACATGTGATTTTCCATTTCAGTTACTCGAAATCCCTATGTAATGAGTCTTCAGAATCTGATGAAAAAGTCAAAGGAATATATAGAAAGAGAACAATCTAGACGCAGGCTGAGAGGTAGTATTAAGAGAATTGTTAATGAGAGTCATAGTGACTCTCATGTGACATAGTTGAGTTTGGGGTCCTGAGATATTATTTCCCTTTCACAGTAGTATATAGTGTGTGGGTAGTAGATTTCATTTTGCAGATTATAATTACTGTCCATATTAAGTTTAAAAAATGTATTGAGTAGCACTAATTTAACAATAAGAGGTAGGTTTTTTACTTACTACGTATTTCCTGTGATTGAAATGAAAATGGCATATCATTCTTGGTCCATTGAGGGAAGATAAAATATACTACTAATAAAATTGTTAAAAGAGCATGTATAATGTTGAACTGTAATGAATTAATTATTCAGATAGGAAAATTTTATATAATACAATTAGATTTCTGCTTCACCTGTAAAACCTAAGATTCTATGATAGATTTTTTTCTTGTTGTTATTTAACTTGTCTAACTAAAGGCTCATTTTAGTGACGTATAAACAACATAGCTTCCGAATATCACAAATGTGAAATATTTTACGTAAGGAAATCATCTGTTTTACTTAAACCTGTGAACATGTTCATGGATTTCATAAATATGCATCCTTTTTGTTTTATTTTGGTCCTGAGGCTGTGACTAAGTATGTCTTGTACTCTTGTACTGTTGATTGCATAGTACCTGGAAACCTTTTTGCATCTTTTTTGTTTTATTTTGGTTCTGAGGTTGTGACTAAGTATGTCTTATTGTACTGTGTATTGCATAGTACCTGGAAACCATTACCTGTCTTGGGATTTGTAACGTAAAATAGGAGAGCCATGTGGTCTAGAAAAAAACAAGCACATTCAAAACAACCAAAAAATATTGTAATATTCAGACTTTTTTTTTTTTTTTTTTTTTTTTCTGAGATGGAGTCGCGCTCTGTCGCCCAGGCCGGAGTGCAGTGACGTGATCTTGGCTCACTGCAAGCTCCGCCTCCCAGATTCATGCCATTCTCTTGCTTCAGCCTCCTGAGTAGCTGGGACTACAGGTGCCCACCACCAAGCCCAGCTAATTTTTTGTATTTTTAGTAGAGATGGAGTTTCACTGTGTTAGCCAGGATGATCTTGATCTCCTGACCTCATGATCCGCCCGCCTCGGCCTCCCAAAGTGCTGGGATTACAGGCGTGAGCCACCATGCCCCGCCAGTAGTCAGGCTTTTGATGTCTGTATTCATATGATAATACAATGATTTTTGCCAGTTTAATATACGGATGTATAATTACCTTTAGAAACTATCCTAGTTCTCTTTTTATTCTTTTGCAAAGTTGGATTATTTAGATACAAAATATCTATTTTTACATTCATTCATTCATTCATTCATTCATTTTTGAGACAAAGTTTAGTTAAACTTTGGAGTAAGCATGTAGGTGCAGGAGTCTTATTACTGAATCATTTTTGCTTAATCAATGTCCTGGACAAGTTAGTCTTTGTTAGAGAGGGAATCGTTTACGTAAGACATTTCATTACTTGCTGTTTATTGCATATATTATTATCCTTGGATGATAGCTATCCTAGGAGGAACAGTTGGTAATGTTAATAACATATGACTAGAAGAAATTTAAGTGCTTGTATTCTAAGATTAAATTGCACATGGATATATGAATATATGTGTGTGTGTATACACATATATATGTTCATATTTGTATCAGATTAGATGTTTCTTTTTATAACTCTTTTATAACTCTTTTAATAACTTAGGCAGGATGACCAGTAGGCATCTTTTCAATAATAATTTGAGCCCCCTGTGATACAGGATACCGTAGAAACCTGTCATCTTAGTTTTTCTTTATGTTTTGAAATGTCAGAATTCTGAATTTTCAATTTCAATTTTATTTTAGAAAACAGTGAAATCAGAGACTTTTTGTGCAATGAGGAAATATTAATTTTTAAATTTCCTGTTTCAGGTTAGAAAAGCACCTAATGCCAGTGATTTTGATCAGTGGGAGATGGAAACAGTTTACTCTAATTCAGAAGTCAGAAACTTGAATGTTCCTGCTACATTTCCAAATAGCTTTCCAAGCCATACGGAACACTCTACTGCAGCAAAGCTTGATAAGATAGCTGGGATTTTGCCATTGGATAATGAGGACCAATGTAAAACTGATGGAATAGACTTAGCTAGAGATTCAGAAGGATTTAATTCTCCGAAGCAATGTGATAGTTCCAATATTAGTCATGTAGAAAATGAAGCTTTTCCAAAGACCTCTTCAGCAACCCCACAAGAAACTCTTATTTCTGATGGTCCCTTCTCAGTAAATGAACAACAGGATCTACCACTTTTGGCAGAAGTCATCCCAGATCCCTATGTAATGAGTCTTCAGAATCTGATGAAAAAGTCAAAGGAATATATAGAAAGAGAACAATCTAGACGCAGTCTGAGAGGTAGTATCAACAGAATTGTTAATGAGAGTCATTTAGACAAAGAACATGATGCTGTTGAAGTGGCTGACTGTGTAAAAGAGAAAGGCCAGTTGACAGGCAAACACTGTGTCTCAGTTATTCCTGACAAACCAAGCCTTAATAAATCAAATGTTCTTCTCCAAGGTGCTTCCACTCAAGCAAGCAGCATGAGTATGCCAGTTTTAGCTAGCTTTTCGAAAGTGGACATACCTATACGAACTGGCCATCCCACTGTTCTAGAGTCTAATTCTGATTTTAAAGTTATTCCCACTTTTGTTACCGAAAATAATGTTATCAAAAGTCTTACAGGTTCATATGCCAAATTACCTAGTCCAGAGCCAAGTATGAGTCCTAAAATGCACCGAAGACGTTCCAGGACATCATCAGCGTGTCATATACTTATAAATAACCCAATAAATGCCTGTGAATTAAGCCCTAAAGGAAAAGAACAGGCAATGGACTTAATTATTCAAGATACTGATGAAAACACAAATGTGCCCGAAATTATGCCAAAGTTACCAACTGATTTAGCGGGAGTTTGTTCAAGCAAGGTTTATGTGGGCAAAAATACATCTGAAGTCAAAGAAGATGTGGTTTTAGGTAAATCAAATCAGGTATGTCAATCTTCAGGAAATCATTTAGAAAATAAAGTTACTCATGGACTTGTTACTGTGGAAGGTCAGTTAACATCCGATGAGAGAGGCGCACACATAATGAACAGTACCTGTGCTGCGATGCCAAAGCTGCATGAACCATATGCCAGCAGTCAGTGTATAGCAAGTCCAAACTTTGGAACTGTGAGTGGACTCAAGCCAGCCAGTATGTTAGAGAAAAACTGCAGTTTGCAAACAGAACTGAATAAGTCTTATGATGTAAAAAACCCTTCTCCTTTATTGATGCAAAACCAGAATACGAGACAGCAGATGGACACACCTATGGTGTCCTGTGGAAATGAACAATTTTTGGATAACAGTTTTGAGAAAGTTAAACGGAGACTTGATTTAGATATTGATGGTTTGCAAAAAGAAAACTGCCCTTATGTCATAACAAGTGGAATAACTGAACAAGAAAGGCAACATTTGCCAGAAAAAAGATACCCTAAGGGATCTGGCTTCGTTAACAAGAATAAAATGTTAGGAACTAGTTCCAAAGGTAAGGAATCTTTGAAGCGTTTGATACCTTCTATGCAGATACCTTTATTTTAATACTCTTAATTGACATTTTTGGGAAAAAAGTGGTCTTTATTCATATGGGCACTTAATTTTATTTATCTTATTAGAAAGCATATTAGTCAGCTACAGTTTATTGCCATTTGATAGGCTTTCTTAAAGATTTTCTTGAGACAAGGTCTGGCTCTATCACCCCAGTTTGGAGTGAAGTGGCATGACTTCAGCTCACTACAACCTCCGCCTCCTGGGCTCAAGCCATCCTCCCACCTCATCCTCCCAAGTAGCTGGGACTACAGGCTCATGCCACCATGCCCGGCTAATTTTTGTATTTTTTGTACTGTAGAGATGGAGTTTCTGGCATGTTGCCCAAGCTGGTCTCAAACTCATGAGCTTGAGTGAGCCTCCCGTCTCAGCCTCCCAAAGCTGTGGGATTACAGGCGTGAGCCACGACACCCAGCCAGGATTTTCTTTTTTGAGACAGTCTGGCACTGTTGCCCAGGCTGGAGTGCAGTGGCACAACCTTGGCTAACTGCAACCTCCACCTCCCGGTTCAGGCAATTCTCATGCCTCAGCGTCCTGAGTAGCTGGGATTACAGGCGTGAGCCATCATGCCTGGATGGATCTTCTTATTTAAATGATGAAGCTTTCATAGTCCACTTGGTATTATTGAGAATATTAATAATTGGAGGAAACAGTTCTTTTTTTTTTTTTTTTTTTTTTTTTTTTGAGACAGTCTTGCTCTGTCGCCAGGCTGGAGTGCAGTGGCGGGTTCTCACCTCACTGCAACCTCTGCTTCCTGGGTTCAATTGATTTTCGTGCCTCAGCCTCCAGAGTAGCTGGGATTACAGGTGCTTACCACCTGGCCCAGCTAATTTTTATATTTTTAGTAGAGATGTGGTTTTGCCATGTTGGCCAGGCTGCTCTCAAGCTCCTGGCCTCAAGCGATCCACCCGCCTCAGCCTCCCAAAGTGCTGGAATTACAGGCATGAGCCACCGCACCCAGCCCCAAACAGTCTTGCCTGAAACATCACTTACAGTTTTAATTCACTGTATTGCTATGAGGTCTTTCTTTTGGACTATAGTTTCTAATGTTTATTTCAGTTTGCTTTTTCATTTGTAGTATGAGCTTCGTGTAATTGGTCCTTCAGTAAACACTTTAACATCAAATTATTAGACAAAGTATCAGAAATAAGGCTCTGAGTAGGTGGTTCAAGAACGGTTCTTTAGGCCGGCGCGGTTGCTTACGCCTGTAATCCCAGCACTTTGGGAGGCCGAGGTGGGTGGATCACTTGAGGTCAGGAGTTCGAGACCAAACTGACAAACATGGCGAAACCCCGTCTCTACTAAAAATACAAAAATTAGCTGGGCGTAGTGGTGCACATCTTTAATCCCAGCTACTTGGGAGGCTGAGGCAGGAGAATTGGATGAACCCAGGAGGCGGAGGTTGCAGTGAGCCGAGATTGCACCATTGCACTCCAGCCTGGGTGACAGAGCCAGATTCCATCTCAAAAAAAAAAAATAATAATAATAAAGGTTCTTAATTAATAAAAATTATTATTTCAGTTTTTTCTGTTGTATCCATTAACAGCAATTTATTAAAGCACGTTTTTCTCCTTCATTACCCCTTACTTTGTTGTCATTGTTGATAATTCTTTATTACTGATATAGAAGACATACAAATCAAGTAAGTTAAGCTCTTAGGGCTTATGGGAAATACAGGGTTGGGTCAGACTGCTTAAAACCTGTGCAACTTTTTTTTTTTTTAATTTTTTTTTTTTGAGACAGGGTCTTGCTCCGTCACCCAGGCTAGATTGCTGTGGTGCGATCTCAGTTCACTGTAGGCCTGGGTTCAAGCGATTCTCCTGCCTCAGCCTTCCAAGTAGCTGAGATTTACAGGCATGCGCCACCACGCCCAGCTGTTATATTTTTTGTGGAGACAGGGTTTCACCATGTTGGCCAGGCTGGTCTCGAACTCCTAGGCTCAGGTGATCAGCCCTCCTTGGCCTCCCAAAGTGCTGGGATTACAGGTTTGAGCCACCAGCCCTGGCCCATCCTGTGCAACTTTATAAGAGCTCTAATAAAAACAACCACTGTTACCTGGGGAGCCAACTTGGATCCTCCAAGTAGATAGCATAGCAAGGCAAGAGGCTGCCTCAGTGAATATCAGAAGTACATAAGACCAACAGAGTGGAAATTTCTTTTTTTTTTTTTTGAGATGGAGTTTCACTCTTGTTGCCCAGGCTGGAGTGCAATGGTGCGATCTCAGCTCACTGCAACCTCCGCCTCCCAGGTTCAAGCGATTCTCCTGCTTCAGCCTCCCAAGTAGCTGAGATTACAGGCATGCGCTTGTATTTTTTCAGTAGAGATTCGGTTTCACCATGTTGGTCATGCTGGTCTCGAACTCCTGACCTCAAGTGATCCACCTGCCTTGGCCTCCCAAAGTACTGGGATTACAGACGTGAGCCACCACACCTGGCCCATACTTGGTATTTGTACATTTCAACATGTCTTACCACATTCTATTTAGGAAGCTTGTATTGTCATAATGTTTTCTCTTAGTTAGTAACTAAATATCTGGAATTTTAACGTCCAGTCCTTTTTGAAACCTCAAGCTGAGAAAGCTTTATACCATCAAGGAAACACTTTCTTTGAAAATCAAAACAAGGCAAAACTACAAGCTACACTACCAGAGATCCTGGAGGACAAGTGTCAAAAAAACAAATGATGGTAGGATGCAGTTGAGGACCACATCTGAAAGTTAAGTAGAGTCAGGAGAATCTTGTCTGAATATATAGTCCTGGGTCTGTCATTTCAGATCAGGATGGGATCTGTTGAATGAGTGGGTAAAGGTGATGCAATACAGGTCTTACTTTATTGAGTAGCATGAAATAAAAGGAGTGTGGTTCGAAGTAGAGACCCAGCTATATCTTGATTGTATTATGTCAGATCCAGGAATACTCTCTTGTCAGAAGGATAATTTAAATTGATGGTATAAAATATCAGACATTAGACTTGTGAATTTTCTAAATTGAGGAAACATGTTTCTTTTCAGAAAGCGAGGAGTTACTAAAAAGCAAGATGTTAGCTTTTGAAGAAATGCGGAAGAGACTAGAAGAACAGCACGCCCAGCAATTATCACTACTCATAGCTGAGCAGGAAAGGGAACAAGAAAGACTGCAAAAGGTGAGGAATGTGGAGGGAGATACAACTGGTAAGTGAAATTTAGCCAAGGATACCTATGAATTTTGGTCATGTATAGAATACGTGTAATTTTTGCCTCCATATATCTTAAGGTAAGGGAGTCATTTTGATACGTGAATGGTATTTTTTGTCAAAATATGAATTTTGATATTTAGATCCTTATCTAAAAGTAATTGCATAATTTATCGAGAATATTTTATTGAATCCTTGATTTAAAGCTTAATATTTTAAAAAGGTATTTTATAAATAGGTGCTAAAGTACACATTCTGCAGGAGTTGTATCATAAAAATGACACTCATGCTGGGCGTGGTATCATGAGCCTGTAGTCCCAGCTATGCAGGAGGCTGAGGTGGGAGGATTGCTTGAGCCCAGAAATTCAAGGCTGCAGTGAGCTATGATTTCGCCTTTGTCTAGCCACTGCACTCCAGCCTGGGCAACAGAGGGAGACCCTGTCTCTATAAAAAGAAAAAAAAAAAGAACGACACTTGTTATAATATTATTATAATTAATAATTTAACTATACATTATCACATATTAAATTATAGCCTGGGCGTGGTGGCTCACGCCTGTAATCCCAGCACTTTGGGAGGCCGAGGTGGATGGATCACCTGAGGTCAGGAGTTTGAGACCAGCCTGGCCAACATATAGTGAAATCCCATCTCTACTAAAAAATACAAAATGGTGGTGTATGGACCTGTAGTCCCAGCTACTTGGGAAACTGAGGCAGGAGAATCACTTGAACCCGCAAGGTGGAGATTGCAGTGAACCGAGATCGTGCCACTGCACTCCAGCCTGGGGGACAGAGCGAGATTCTGTTTCTTGAAACAAGAAAGAGAGAGAGAGGAGAGAGAGAGAGAGAGAGAGAGAGAGAGAGAGAAAGGAAGGAAGGAAAGAAAAGAAAAGAGGGAGGGAGGGAAGGGAAGGGAAGGGAGAAGGAAGGAAGGATAATTTGAGGAAGAAAAACTTGAAATAAATAATAATTGCTGATAATTACATGTACTTTTGGCTAAGCCTAAAATGATATCATTTTGGGACATAATTAAAAGGTTTAGCATGTTACAATAAACTGTTCATGTATAGGAAATAGAAGAGCAGGAGAAAATGTTAAAAGAGAAGAAGGCAATGACAGCGGAAGCCTCTGAGTTGGACATTAACAATGCAGTGGAATTAGAATGGAGAAAAATAAGTGACTCTAGTTTGCTGGAAACAATGCTGTCTCAAGCGGACTCACTCCATACTTCAAATTCAAATAGTTCTGGTAAATATTTAAAAATCCTTTTACATTTGGGAAAGTGATCCTACGGTAAGATATTTATTTGGCACACTATAAGATTATATCTCCTGTTTTCAAATGATTCCATGTCCAACCCTCTTTGCCAGCTGCTTAGTAACCAGTGAAAAATGACATGATAGGAGATCAAAGACTTGTGAGCAGATGTTTGTGAACAAAGATTACCTTTGCCAGGAAAAGATCAGGAAATTTGGCTTAGAGCCCAGTCTGATCATTCATGCAGCAGGTGATATACTTCAAGTGAAAACAGTTTGCTCTCTCCTGAGTGATCTTGAATTACCTCTAATTCCCTAGTCCCTTTAAATAGCTTATCTTCATATCTCAATTATCCTGAGATGCTGTTTGTGTTGAAAAGATCCACCTGGTATGTAAGCTTTAAAGTCCATAAATATTTTAAGTCGGCAGGTAGGTCATTTTTGGAGGCAGTTGTTATTCTTAATGAGTGTCACAAGTGTTTATTGGGATGTTCTTCGTATTCTAATTATATGACATCAAGTATAATACTATATGTATGTTTCTCTAGGTTTCACAAATTCTGCCATGCAATATAGCTTTGTTTCTGCAAACGAAGCACCATTCTACCTCTGGGGATCATCAACTAGTGGCTTGACCAAACTCTCAGTAACAAGGCCTTTTGGAAGAGCCAAAACTAGATGGTCTCAAGTGGGTAAACTTAATGATACATGTCCATCTATCTATTTATCTTTTCTTAAGAGCTATATTATCTTAGACTGTATAAATGAACACCAATAAACATTGTGTCTGTCTTCTTTCTCCTAGGTTTTTAGTCTGGAAATACAAGCAAAATTTAACAAAATAACTGCAGTGGCAAAAGGATTTCTTACTCGTAGACTTATGCAGACAGATAAGCTGAAGCAACTTCGACAAACTGTAAAAGTAAGATTCCTGTAAATCGTTTGTATTTCACTTCTGTCTTAGTTTCTATCAGTCTTGTGACAGCTGAGCTAACAGATTAGTTCAGAACTTAAACGCTTTTTAGTCACTGTAATCTAGGCAGTTTTAGAAGTCTGATTGTTTGTTGCGGGAAGTCAGGGACCCCGAATGGAGGGACCAGCTGGAGCCGCAGCAAAGGAATATAAATTGTGAAGATTTCATTTTAATATGGACATATATCAGTTCCCAAATAACACTTTTATAATTTCTTACTCCTGTCTTTACTTCAATTGCTGAACATAAATTGTGAAGATTTCATTTTAATATGGACATTTATCAGTTCCCAAAATTAATACTTTTATAATTTCTTATGCCTGTCTTTAATCTCTTAATCCTGTTATCTTCATAAGCTGAGGATGTAGGTCACCTCAGGACCACTATTGTGTTAACTCTACAAATTGATTGCAAAACATGTGTGTTTGAACAATAGGAAATCAGTGCAACTTGAAAAAGAACAGAATAACAGCGTTTTTCAGGGAACAAGGGAAGACAACCATAACTGACTGCCTGCGAGGTCGGGCAAAATAGAGCCATATTTTTCGTCTTGCAGAGAGCCTATAAACGGACGTGCAAGTAGGGAAGATATTGCTAAATTCTTTTCCTAGCAAGGAATATTAATAATTAATACCCTGGGGAAGGAATGCATCCCTGGGGGGAGGTATATAAACGGCCACTCTGGGAGTATCTGTCTTATGCGGTTGAGATAAGGACTAAAATATGCCCTGGTCTCCTGCAGTACCCTCAGGCTTACTAGGATTGGGAAATTCCACCCTGGTAAATTTGTGGTCGGACCAGTTCTCTGCTCTCAAACCCTGTTTCCTTTTAAGATGTTTATCAAGACAATACGTGCACAGCTGAACATAGACCCTTATCAGTAGTTCTGATTTTGCCCTTGTCCTGTTTCCTCAGAAGCATGTGATCTTTGTTCTCCTTTTTGCCCTTTGAAGCATGTGATCTTTGTGACCTACTCCCTGTTCTTGCACCCCCTCCCCTTTTGAAATCCTTAATGAAACTTGCTGGCTTTAAGGCTCAGGTGGGCATCATGGTCCTACCAATATGTGATGTCCCCCTCGGACGCCCAGCAGTAAAATTCCTCTCTTTGTACTCTTTCTCTTTATTTCTCATCTGGCTGACACTTATGAAAAATAGAAAGAACCTATGTTGAAATATTGGGGGCTGGTCCCCCCAATAATCGTTAATCTTTCTCAGATAATATTATGAATAACATGTAAATGAAGCAGTTTGTGTGTTTTTGACTTGCTTGAAAGTGAGTGGTTTGACTTCTGATAAGTAATAGTTTTATTTATGTTCTTAGTACAGTCGGTCCTCTATCTCTGGGTTCCACATCTGTGGATTCAACGAACCATGGATCAAAAATAATTCAGAAAAAACAAATGATGGTTGTGTCTGTACTGAACATGTACAAATTTTTTTTCCTTGTCATTATTTCCTAAACAATATAACAACTATTTACATAGCATGTACATTTATTAGGTATTTTAACTAATCTAGAGATGATTTAAAGTATATGGGAGATGTGCTTAGGTTATATGCAGATAACTATTTTATATAAGGGACTCCAGCATCCTTGGATTTTGGTATCTGAGGGATTCATGGAACCAGTCCCCCACAGATACTGACGAAAGACTGTAATTTTGGATTGACTGAGAAAAAGAAAAAAGCAAACTCCAGTGATCACAAATCTTTCTAGAAAAATGTTTTTGAAGGAGCATTTCTTTTTTCAGGATACTATGGAATTCATAAGAAGTTTTCAGTCAGAAGCACCATTAAAGAGAGGCATTGTTTCAGCTCAAGATGCTTCACTTCAGGAAAGAGTGTTAGCTCAGGTAAATACATGGATCCTGAAGGCTTTTAAGACATGGACATATTATATTTCTCCTTTTTTATTTAATCACTGAAAATAGGTTTCAATGAAAACTATTTTAATCTTTTTCTATAAATAAGTGTACATGGTATATAGTATTCCTGAACTCTAACCTCATCTTTTAAATGTATACAATATTTTCTTCTCTTGTGCCTAGTTGCGAGCTGCCTTGTACGGTATTCATGACATATTCTTTGTAATGGATGCAGCTGAAAGAATGTCTATTCTACATCATGATCGAGAAGTTCGCAAAGAGAAAATGCTCAGGCAAATGGTATGTTATATGATTTCTAATGAATAGAGTTCTTCTGGGTTTAGGGTAATTGATACTAAATGTCAGTTTTGGTTGACTTCAGCACCCTTCTTCTGATAATTCTTAAGCACAAGTAATTCCTGGAATTACTAGCAGCATTTAAATCTGTAGACAGATTTAAAAGAATTACATCATTTAAGAATTACATATTGTTTTCTTATTGGATTTTAGAGTTGAAGCTTTGAATGTTTTGCTCAGATGGCTTATACAATCTATCAGCTGCTCCTGATTGAATTTCCTTGAATTCAATTATAATGTGGGTTTTGCTTTTTTTGAAATCTGAGTTAGAAAACAGGCTCCAAGTTAATTTGAAGTATATCAGAGTATGTGATTTGAATCAGTTATCTTAGTGTGATTGGCAAAGGAAAAGCAAGCAAAATTTACATAATTCTAATTATTTAATTCTTAGAATTAGACTGCTTCAAAAATACAAAACAAGATGATTTAACTAAATTAAAAATGTTAGTAGAGAGAAGCTTTTCCAGGCAATGTGGGATTATAATACATTATAATATAGTGGTATTAATTGGTTCCAGTAGAGTTTGACGTTACTTTTGTATATTAAAGGATAAAATGAAAAGTCCACGAGTGGCTCTTTCAGCTGCAACACAGAAGTCTCTTGATAGGAAGAAATACATGAAGTAAGTTTTTTGTATCATGTCATGTTAGTTATCAAACCAATTAATTTTAGTCATCTGTTGGTCTATTTGCATATTTAAATTTAGAAATAAAGAGTTAATTTTTCTGCAGTTGAGCTGATAGAAATCCCCTTTATATAAAGAAATTTATTAAAATCAGGTGCTAAAATCTCATTTCATCTTAGATGAATTTATTTACTAAATTTGACAACATTCAACTCATATAACTGATAGCTGGTTAATCTTAAAAACAGTTAATCTTTATATTCAGTGCCTAAATATATTCCTTTTCTGATGTCCTAAAGGTTTCTTGGGAATAAAGACTTAATGGGAAAAATATCTTAATAACTTTTTTAAAAAATTCTTCTTTCTTGAATGCAGTCTTTAATATGCTTAGTACAGGTCTTCCAGTAGTACACCAGCTTCTAAATGATGATTTGTTTCTGTCATCCTGTATTACATTTGTAAGCATGTTTTCTTCCCTTCTCTAAATACATTATGTCCTTATTTTTATATTGTGTTAGAGCTGCTGAAATGGGAATGCCAAATAAGAAATTTCTGGTTAAACAAAATCCTTCTGAAACAAGGTGAGAAAAATCACTTAGTCTTAATGAGAGGCTTTTTGTTTTTTATAGAAAAAAAAAATTGGCTGGGCACGGTGGCTCACGCCTGTAATCCCAGAACTTTGGGAGGCCAAGACGGATGGATCACCTGAGGTCGGGAGTTTGAGACCAGCCTGACCAACATGGAAAACCCCATCTCTACTAAAAATACAAAATTAGCTGGGTGTGGTGGCACATGCCTGTAATCCCAGCTACTCAAGAGGCTGAGGCAGGAGAATCGCTTGAACCCGGGAGGCAGAGGTTGCAGTGAGCCAAGATTGCTCCATTGCACTCCAGCCTGGGCAACAAGAGTGAAACTCTATCTCAAAAAAAAAAAAAAAAAAAGTTAAAAAATTAAAATTTAAATCCCAAACTTCATTTTTGTTGACTTTGTTCTACTTGACATCAGTAGAGCACTTCTTGCTGAATTGGGTCGGGGGTCGTCCTCAGGCTCAAGATTCATACCAATACCTGGCCATATACCTAGTCACATGTCAGACCAGATGTGCCCGGACCTTTTGTAGGACATGCTATCTGTGGTAGAAATTTTGAGCGTGGTATGTCTTGAGTTCAGTTAGACAGTCCAGAGGATCTTTGATACTTATTTAAAAACCTTAGAAAGCTAATTTAAGCTGGGCTGGGAGCAGTGGCTCATGCTTGTTATCCTAGCAGTCTGGGAGGGTGAGGTGGGTGGATCACGAGGTCAGGAGTTCAAGACCAGCCTGGCCAAGATGGTGAAATCCTGTCTCTATTAAAAATACAAAAATAAAAGATACAAAAAGCCGGGTATGATGGCGCGTGCCTGCTCAGCTACTCAGGAGGCTGAGGCAGGAGAATTGTTTGAACCTGGGAGGCGGAGGTTGCAGTGAGCCGAGACTGCACCACTGTACTCCATCCTGGGCGACAGAGCAAGGGTCCGTCTCAAAAAAAAGCTAACTTAAGCTGGGCACAGTGGCATGCTCCTATGGTCCCAGGTACTCGGGAGGCTGAGGCAGGAGGATAGCTTAAGCCCAGAAATTCAAACCAGTATGGGTAACATAGTAAGACCCATCTCAAAAAAATAAATAAATAAAAAATAAAGCTAAAAAGCGAACTTTAATATTTCTGACCTGTTTTTTACTCCTGTAAAATGAGAGTGATACTTTCTTCTCTCACTGGTTTGAAGGGAAAAGTTAGCTTTTGTAAAGCATATGTATAAGAAAATTATCTAAAAGCACAAGGGTTAGTCTATATGTTGGACATTTCTTTGCTGATAAAAACCTAAGGTTTGGACTCTTAGTGAGCAAAATACAAGTATCATATTAATATGCTTTAGTCGATTTGCTCTGATTTGTGGTAATATATAGGCCATATTATTGCATAGTTGACCTTTACCTTACAGTCATCATCTTTCATCCGTTGAAAGAAAATGGGAAAAAATGGAATTTAACCTATTAAATTAATTTTTCATTTAATTTGTCAACAGAGTCCTTCAGCCAAACCAAGGACAGAATGCACCTGTTCATAGGCTACTTAGTAGACAAGGGTAAGAATGCCACACACGGGTATTGAAAACTACGGAAACCAAGATTAGATTTGAGAGGGAAAAATAAATCTAGTGTTCTTTATGTAAAGGATAATGGTTTTTCAATGGGATTTTTTTTCTTTATAGCATTGGGAAAGATATTTTAAAGTTTTGTCTTCAAATGTAACCCTCTTGGTGTACTGTTGTGTATTCTAATTACTGTCTTAAGTTGGGATGTTTTTACTTTTCATTTCATACCATTTTACTCATAAAGTATTTTAAATATCCATATAGTAAATTCAGCATCACCGAAGTGATTCTCCAACAGAGTATGACTCGTGCTTATAGTCTCCTGCTGAAGCCAGAGTTTAGCTTTCCTTACTGTGCGCATGCATGAGACTTCAGTTCTTTTCAAGCTTATTTGTGCTTTGGACAGTTGATGCAATGTGATTGCTTTCTTTGAATTTTGAACATTTAGACCTTAATGCCAGTGACTTATTAATTTTTTTATATTCAATTAGAACCCCTAAGACATCAGTGAAGGGGGTTGTGCAAAATAGACAGAAGCCTTCACAGAGCAGAGTGCCTAACAGAGTGCCTGTTTCAGGTTTGTAGAAAATAAATTCCTGAAGCCCATTCAATAGAAGGAAGTGCACAAGCTGCCCCATAACTCAGGCCATAGAAGTGGAATAGATTGTCTTTCCTTGCCACCATAATTTTGGCATATTCACAGTCATCTTATTAGTGTTCTTTGGTCTTAGCATTGTATGGCAGTCAGGAAGTCTTAGTAAAAGTGTGATTCCAGTCTTCATTTCTATAATATTTCTGTGGAAAGCACCTTGTATTTTTCATTCTGAAAAAATTGTAGAATTTGCCATGCTTAATTCAGAAAACCTTTTTATTTAATGAATAAAAGATAACGATCATCTCTGGTGCTAAGTCTGTGCATTGTCTGTTCAGCTTGGGGAAGTGTATCTGCACATAAGGGGATAAACTTTCTCCCTCAGACTATAAGATCACATGTGAATATGCCAGTGGGAGGAGGGCTTCATATTTTGCTCAGTCCAAAGCTTGAGCTAAATCTCTCCTTATGTTCATTATTTGAGGATTAAGAGCTAAACTAAAAACTGTATTTTAAAATTCTGTTTATGGTGGCAAGAAGACAAACTCATTCTTGAGCAAATTCAAAGCTCTTAACCAAATGCTTTAATATTTTTTAGGTATCTTTGTTAAGACACTTTGATTAAGCTCACTTAAAAATTATGTGATCCATTTAAAAATACTTTCCAAATGTTGTGCTTTAACTATACTGCTTTCTAGACATTTACAACAAACCTAAATTAATCACCAGGCATTGAAGATTAAACCTTTAATCAATTTTAATCTTTCCATTAATATACAATTAGGCAAATTTTAGAGCTTTATTACTAAGTGATTTCCTTCAAATTAGGAGGGAACAAGCTATTGGTCGTAACTTTGAAATGATGGCTGACCTTTTGTATGTATGTAGTGAAGGTAATTCATAGTGTCACACATATATAGGATAATTTAAAAGATCATCTTTGGAAATCATTGTGAGTGACAGTTAATGGAATTGTCTTAAAGGATTACATAGCTGAAGATACTGTTTACTCCAGAGGCAGTCAGAATAAGCTAGTTTGAAAGATAACCATTTGAAAGGACTCAGACCAAACACCAAACCTGTGGAATTTTAAGACATTTTCTGTTTTTCTCATGTTAGTATTCTATATTGCACTGAAACTTAGCAAGTTGGAAAATCATTGAGGAATTAGTATTGTTTTGCCTGATACCAATTTGCCACAGTGACTACTCTCCATGTTCTTTTCTCATGCATTTCATCTCCACTATTTGTCACTTGTGAACTTATAAGCAAAATAGCAAGTACTGTTTTTATTCAGCAATACTCAACAGTATAAAGGATGTATAGTCAGTCACTGAAGTTAGTAACATACAATGAAGTTCATTATTTTGAACTATTGAGGTTAAATTGCATTGCAACATACTTATTAATACAAATGAACTTAACCCTTGAATTAATATGTATCTAAACAAGTACAAAAGTCTGTTGCTGTTGTTTTCTAAAGATTTACTTATACATGAGTGCATATTTAGACAATTGAAAGAAACTAAATAATTGTGTTCTTTTTTTTTTTTTGAGACAGAGTCTTGTTCTGTTGCCCAGGCTGGAGTGCATTGGTGTGATCTTGGCTCACTGCAATCTCCACCTCCTGGGTTCAAGCCATTCTTCTGCCTGAGCCTCCCAAGTAGCTGGAATTACAGGCGCGTGCCACCATGCCCAGCTAATTTATTGTATTTTTAGTAGAGATGGGGTTTTACCATATTGGCCAGGCTAGTCTCGAACGCCTGACCTCAGGTGATCCGCCCACCTCGGCTTCCCAGAGCTCTGGGATTACAGGTGTAAGCCACCGCGTCCAGCCAGAATTGTATTCTTTTATATAAACTGAGAGTTTGGGATATTGGCTGGTTAAAATGCTAACTATGAATCTGAACACAGGAACTCACTGTCGCTCTTGAAAAGATTACTCTTTCCTGCTTAGAGTTTTAATGGTCTGAATTATGTTTTAAACAAATTTGAAATTATGTTCTGATTTGCTCTAAATGGAGGCAAATCCTTTGTTAAGCAATTTATAGAAAACTAACTTTTCTTATGATAGAATATCATACTCTTAGACTGAAGTAGAATTCTAAAATGTTAAAGTATGCTGCAAAGCATTTAGTTATTTATAGTTTTACAAACCTAAATTGCAATCTCTGATGTTATCGTAAGTGATCTTTGACTTACGGTTTTAAAACACATTTCTTCATTTGATGTTTTGTGCTTGACTAGAGTTTATATAGTGAAATTCAGAAACCACTAATCAAAGCAGAGTAGGAGGTGGTCATGCAAAATGGTTAAGTAAAATAACACATCAGGTGGACTTGGGTTATCAGAGTTCTTCCTTCTAGCTCTGTTCCTTAGGCAACTGCTCTCCTATGCCTCAGTTTTATTATCCTTAAAATGGTCATAACAATTTCTACCTCAGGATGATTCATATAAGGATTAAATATGATAATGTATATTGCCTAGCTCAGTGTTTGTTCCAGAGTAAAAACTCATTAAATGGTATCATTATAGAAAACCTCCCATTGAGAAGTAATACTGGTTTTGCTCTATTTTTAGGAGTATATGCAGGAAAAATCCAAAGAAAGCGGCCAAATGTTGCGACAATTTAAGAAGACAACATTCATTAGGATAAAATGGGGGGAAGGATTATTATTCATGTTATTTTCCCTGCCCAAGACTTTATTTAACCCTGGACTCCGTTTACACAGACAAAGTGACATCAGAAGGCTGAGCACTTATCTGGATCATTTGGTCAGTTTGGTAATTCCTGCTCCACACCCCTATTTTCCTCTTAATAATACGTTTGGGTGAAGACAAATTAGTGTTTAGTAATTGCATCATCTCTGTGCTTACCTATACAAACATAAGTTTATTTTATATGCCCAGATGTCTACAGAGACCCTTTTTGTAAATGTCAAGGACATTTGGATTTACTTTTACAGAATATTGAAAAGATAAGACAAATTATAAATAAGTTCTAAAACATAAATTTAATTCATCTCTGCATAGTGATTTTTGAATTTGATTCAAAGGGAAATTATTGCAGAAGAATGCCTTTCCCTCATTTTATAACTTTAAAAACTTGGATTAACCACTCAATGTCCACTTTCTTTGACTTACAGTATAACCATGTAGCCAATTGTGGCCCACTAAAATCTACAGAAGTTAATGTGGGTCACCATTTTGGTCAGAAGCATACATTCCTGTCAGACAACTAGTTGTCTGACAGAAATGTTAGGCTTCATGTATGTTACCCCAGTACTGTTAGAAACATTTGTACTAGGTTATAAGATCTTTCTGTGACAGGTAACAAATTTGGGGAAGACAGCACAATCTTCTTGAATGTAGCTCTTGGGAATGCATTATTACATCCATTTCTGTAACATAATAATATGTTGCATGCAGTTATATTTTCTATTTAGTCTGTATATTTTGTTCTTCATAGTCTGTTTTTTCTAGCATGCTTGATTTAGGAGAGAATAAAGGGCTATATAATAATAAATCCAGATTTCCGGATAAGAATATTGCCTGGTTAAAATTCTGCATTGCTTAAAGACACCCATGTTTAAGATTTTTCATCACTAACATATCCATTAAAAGTATCAACTGGCCAGGCAGGGTGGCTCACGCCTGTACTCCCAGCATTTTGTGAGGCCAAGGTGGGTGGATCACCTGAGGTCAGGAGTTTGAGACCAGCCTGACCAAACATGGCGAAACCCCATCTGTACTGAAAATACAAAAATTAGGCATGGTGGTGCATGCCTGTAGTTCCAGCTACTTGGGAGGCTGAGACAGGCGAATTGCTTGAACCTGGGAGGCAGAGGTTGCAGTGAGCTGAGACTGTGCCATTGCACTCCAGTCGGGTTAACAGAGCAAGACACTGTCTCAAAAAAAAAAAAAAAAAAAAGTATCAACCAACAAATGTTACCAAGATAACGTGACTTCATGAGGGAGAATGTCACTATTAATTTATCATACCATTTCCAAAAAGGGCTTTGTGCTTTTCACATAAAATTGAGACAGTGTATATTTAATCTAATTTAAATTTTAAAGAGATACTGGTATTTTGAAAATGCAACCTATATATATTCTTAATATCCTTTTAAGAATATGGAGATGAAGATTGTTTTCTCCAATTTTCTGTGCCATTTTAAATTTAACTTTGACATCCAGCTATAGACAGAAATAATAAGCCACCCTGGGTGTAAACTTGATTTTCTTTATTGAGATGTATCATGTATTGAATGAGTGAACCAGAAAATTAGAAGATGGTCAAAAAAAGTCCAAGTTACCAATTTTTTAAAATTTATAGGCAAAGTATCAAATTGTCTTCTTAATATGATAAACTGTGCTTTATCATTCTGAAAACTCAGGATACAGCTTATTCATAGCATTGTGGGTCTCTCCAGTAAGAAAGATGCTAAAAGTTTTGTGCACTTTTTGTGTGTGTAATGCAAATTAGTTAAAACAAATAGTTTTGGAGAAAGTTAAAACTAGCTTTAGAGTAAGGATGAGAAACTTGAGTGTTTTTAATTTAAAGATAAAAGCCTGTGTTTTACACATTCTTTTTTGGTGTTCATAGCTTCTTCTCATACAGGTGCCAGACACTGTTTGTGCTTTTGATGGATTTTTATTTATATACTTTTTTTGCTTATTTTTACTTTGAGTGGAATGTTCATTAATGTAAATTGTATTTATTTTTATACTTTTATTTTCACTAGTTTTGCTTCTAGGCAAAAAGCAAAATAAACTTTTCATCTTAAAGAAAATCTAGTTTGATTGTTTTTATTTACCAGGGGAAGGACTATTAAGAAATAGGCCGGGCATGGTGGCTCATGCCTGTAATTCTAGCACTTTGGGAGGCCAAGGTGGGTGGATCATGAGATCAGGAGTTTGAGATCAGCCTGGCTAACATGGTGAAACCCCGTCTCTACTAAAAATACAAAATTAGCTGGGCGTAGTGGTGCATGCCTGTAGTTCCAGCTACTTGGGAGGCTGAAGCAGGAGAATCGCCTGAGCCTGGGATGGGGAGGCTATAGTGAGCCGAGATTGTGCCACTGCACTGCAGCCTGGGTGACAGAGCAAGACTCCATCTCAAAACAAAACAAAAAAGAAACCGATATTAGCCAGGCATGGTGGTTCACATCTGTAGTCCTAGGTACGCTGGAGGCTGAGGCAGGAGGATCACTTGAACCCAGGAGTTACAGGTGGCAGTGAGCTATAATCGCACCACTGCACTCCAGCCTGAATGAGACTTTGTCTCCAAAACAAAAAAGAAAAAAGAAACAGATATTGAAAAGTATTAGGCCAAAACAAATATTGTATATAATCATTCTTTACAAGTTCCATGAAAGATATATCTCATTATTTAATATGTCCCCTGGGCCAGGTGCAGTGGCTCACGCCTGTAATCCCAACACTTTGGGAGGCCAAGGCGGGAGGATCACCTGAGGTCAGGAGTTTGAGACCAGCCTGGCCAACATAGTGAAACCCCGTCTCTACTAAAAGTTGGACTTTTCAGAAGGTAAAACTCAGGCTGGAAATGTCTTAACTTATTAAGAGATAGAAGCCTGCTAAGGGAAGGAGAGGGAGAAAAGAGAATGCGAAGGTTGAAGCTCACATCAAAGCTGTTAATTTGCACAACTTTAAGAATCCTCCTCTTGTTACTGCCTAATCATGCAGTGTGAGCCTAGGAAAAGGCTCCTCACCTTGACCTCTTATTGAGATGTTGCATGTGATAACATGCATGGCTGTATGGGAAGAGCTCCTTGCTTTCCCGTGGCCACCCTTTAACCCTTGTTCACTTCCAGTGTTGGGAATAGCAGGTACGAGTGGATATACTTTCCTACTCATACTGAGCTGAACACTGGAGGGCCCGTTCTGGAGATGATCCTTTTCCCTGTCATAGGTCACCATCTCATGAACAACCACAGACCACCACCCCCGAATGAAAAGTAAGAGTTATAAAAACATCGAATGCTTTCTCTCTAAGGGACCATAATGGATATCTAAGTAAGTTATAAAAGTAATAATTAAAAAAAAAATTTTTTTTTGAGATGGAGTTTCGCTCTTGTAGCCCAGGCTGGAGTGCAATGGCGCAATCTCGGCTCACTGCAACCTCATCCTCCCGGGTTGGAGCAATTCTCCTGCCTCAGCCTCCCGAGTAGCTGGGATTACAGGCGCCCGCCACCATACCCAACTAGTTTTTGTATTTTTTAGTAGAGACGGGGTTTCACCATGTTGGCCAGGCTGGTCCCGAACTCCTGACATCAGGTGAACCACCCACCTCGGCCTCCCGAAGTTCTGGGATCATAGGCCTGAGCCACCGCTCCCGGCCTAAAATAATTTTTAAAAACGTTCTGTGGTCGAAATGGATATCCACCTTCCTAGAAACACTGCTTTGCCAAGTTGGACGAAATGCGAACCCTAATTTCCCCACGTGCATTAGCTGTAGTCAATCATATTAGATCTAGGGCAGCCCTCGGTTGCTAGTCGTGGGAAGGGCATTCTGCAAGTGTCTAAAACCGCCCGCAAAGCAGTGGGTAAAGCAGCGGCCTAGAGGGGGCATGGCTGTCCCACGCCAAACAGCGTATTAGCCGCAAAACCAGGTACTGGCTGAACCTCAGTTTGCGTCTTCGCTCCGCCGCCTTCTGGAGTCCTTTCTGCCCCTAGAGGACGCAGGTGAGCTAAGCAGCAGTCATGCCCTTTACCATCATGACGCCCGCAGGCGGGACCACCCGGCACTGTAGACAGCTGCCCTTTACAATCATGACTCATAGAAACTACGGCACTCTGGCCGTGGCCGACGTTGCTCCTCCGAAGCATGGCGCCGGCGGGAGTTGTAACCCGGGCTGTCCGGAGCGGGGAGCTGCCCCTCACAAGCATGGCGTCAGCTGAAAATGAAGCCTGTGCTGTGCGGAGCGTCGCCTGCCCCTCACAAGCATGGCGTCTGCAGAAGGTGCTGTGCGGCCGCTGCGGGGCGGCCAGCTGCCCTTCACAAACATGGCGGCCGAGGGGTGCGGGGAGTGGCGGGGTAAGGATGGGAAGCCGAGCAGACGGCCCCAGAACAAGCGGTCATGTGACTGGGAAGATGGCCGTCTTTCCTTGGTAAGGAAGCAGCGGCGGGTGGGCTTTGGAGAGGGGCTGTCCTTACTTGTGATGGGGTCGGCCTGGGTCTGAGAGTGTGAATTCCTCTCTGTCGGGTTCTGGTGGTCGACCGGCCACCCCCAAGTTGTCTTGACCGTAGAATCCCTGGCCGCTACCGCGGTCCAGCGGAGCAATCTGAAGCCAGACTGGCGGGTTCTTGGTTCTCTCCCCGTCTGCTGCCTCTCTGCGCCTTCCACGGGCCCCTGTCCATTCATTCCCTAAAGAAAACTTGAGTTTCCAGGCTTCCGCGTCCCCAGAAGTTGGCGCGGGTTCTGGGGTCGCTGGATGAGGGTAATGGTGGACTCAGCTTTTAAAGTCTGGACGAGTCGGGAGATCTGGCTGTTGGTCAGTTTCCTCAGCTCCTCTGTTCACCTGGAGACTTGCTTTTCTCATCTGTAAAATGGCCGCCATTCATCCTATCCTAGGCACAGCCCTCAGACTTATTCCTTGGCCTCAAGGAGCTGACAGTATAATGGGGCAGACGCACAGTAGAGGGATGTCTAAAGAAGGCATTCGGATGAGGCACCAAGAAGGGAGTGATTATCCCCACCAGGGGGCTAGGGGAAGGCTTCAGAGAGGAGGAGTTAAATTGGGTCTTGGAGGATGAATAGGAGTCCACCATAGGGAGGGCGTGGCGTGTGCCTGGTTGGCAGGCCCGTAGGTCCCTTGTGGTTGGAGTAGCTAGGAATGAGTGACTGAAGCTTCAGGGTTCAGCAGGTGGTATGTGTGTGAGTGAAGAACTTGAGGAAGTTGTGTTGTTGATGATAGTGGGATTTGGGGACGGGGAATCTCTCCTGCATCTCAGAAAGCGAGATAATTTACTTTCTCTTCAAATGATGTGAAGTAGCTTAGATTAAATGAGCAAATGAAAGACCTTAGAAATAATCAGGTACAACCTTCTGCTTTTGAGCTTGATAAACACTTCATTTTGTCTTATTCCTTTCATTTGCCCAACACTTAAGAGACTGCTTCCTTGACACGCTACATCAGCATTGAATGCCTCTGAGCACTTCCACACCCTGAGGTTTTTTTTTTTTTTTCAGTTAATAGTCATGCTGGCTGGGTATGGTGGCTCACGCCTGTAATCCCAGCACTTTGGGAGGCCGAGGCTGGCGGATCACCTGAGGTCAGGGGTTCGAGACCAGCCTGGCCAACATGGCGAAACCTAATCTCTACTAAAAATACAAAAATTAGCTGGGCTAAATTAGTGGTGGCACGCACCTGTAATCCCAGCTACTTGGGAGGGTGAGGCAGGAGAGTCGCTTGAACCTGGGAGGCGGAAGCTGGAGTGAACCGAGATCATGCCACTGCACTCCAGCCTGGGCAACAGTGAGACTCTGTCTCAAAAAAATAATAATAAAAAATGAAAAAGTCATGCTGGCTTGACCAAAAAGCTAACCAAAAACATGAGAAACATTTGACTTCAGTGGATTTATCTGAAGTTTGCAATCAGAAAATCCAGGAAGATGCTGTCTTAATCTCTGCATCCCAGTACATTTCTACCTTTGGAATTTTAATTTTATATTACAAGCAGGCAAACAGGTGCCATAACGCTTTTAGTATTTAGGGTCTCTATAGTTCCTAATATGGCCGTGCTCTAAATATTTTGTTGTTGTTGTTTTTGTTGAGACGGAGTCTCGCCCAGGCTTGATTGCAGTGGCGTGATCTTGGCTCACCGCAACCTCCGCCTCCCGGCTCAAGTGATTCTTTGCCTCACTCTCCCGAGTAGCTGGGATTACAGGCGATGCCACCACACCAGGCTAATTTTTGTATTTTTAGTAGAGACGGTGTTTCATCATGTTGGCCAGGCTGGTCTCGAACTCCTGACCTTAAGTGATCCGCCGACCTCGGGTTCCCAAAGTGCTGGGATTACAGGCGTGAGCTACCACACCCGGCCCGTGCTCTGAACATTTCCTTTTGAAGTATGCATTCATCTTTCAGTTTCCCTAATAGACTTCTTGCTCCTTAAAAGTTAAAAGGACTGGCTGGGCGCGGTCACTCATGCCTGTAATCCCAGCACTTTGGGAGGCCGAGGCAGGCGGACCACCTGAGGTCAGGAGTTCCAAGACCAGCCTGCCCAACGTGGTGAAAGCCCGTCTCCACAAAAATACAAAAAGTAGCCAGGCATGACGGCAGGTTCCTGTAATCCCAGCTACTTAGGAGGCTGAAGTGGGAGAATCGCTTGATCCCGGGAGAATCACTTGATCCCAGGAGGCGGAGGTTGCAGTGAGCCAAGATCGTGCCATTGCACTCCAGCCTGAGCTACTAAGCGAGACTCCGTCTCAAAAAAAAAAAGTTAAAGGGACTGAGTTTTGTCCATCTTTGTATGTGGAGCCTAGAACATAATGGTGAGTGCTGAATAATATTTATGAATGAATGAGGAAACTGAGGAGGACTGCAGAGGAGAAATGAGTTTCTGTCATTAAATTTACATTTATCAAGTCCTTATTTTCTGTCAGACATCACTCGTAAAGTGCGTAACATGTAACATCATTAGGTTCTTATAACAACCCCATGTTGCGGAGGAAGAAATAGAGGCAGAGAGATGAAGCAGTTTACTTAAATTAGCCCCACAAGGGATAGCTGAGGTTTGGAAGCCAGAGGCTATGATAGTAATCATCCTCATCAGCTGGACTTCAAATCTATATCCTGGGCTGAGGTTTCTGGCTTGCGGGGTTCCCCAAATCCCACTGCCTTGTCATGGGTCTCCCCAGGAATGCCTCTTTTTACCCACAGTTTTTGCTATCCCTGCTATATTTTGGCCTGGCTAGGAGATGAGATGTCCTGTATACCCTAGATCACATTTTCCGTTTAATCCTGTGGTTATAGCACACTTGGAAATACCACCCTTTGGACCGGGCAAGGTGGTTCATGCCTCTAATCCCAGCACTTTGGGAGGCTGAGGCGGGTGGATCACTTGATGTCCGGAGTTCAAGACCAGCCTGACCAACATAGTGAAACCCTGTCTCTACTAGAAAAAAAAAAAAATTCCTCAGGCGTGGTGACGGGTGCCTGCAGTCCCAGCTAGTCCAGAGGCTGAGGCAGGAGAATTGCTTGAACCCAGGAGGCAGAGGTTGCAGTGAGCTGAGATCGCGCCACTGCACTCCAGCCTGGATGACACAGTGAGACTCCGTCTCAAAAAAAAAAAAAAAACAACCCTTGGAGTCAGAATCTCTACATCATTTTAAGAGTTTTTTTTATGTGTAGCGGTGAAGGGGGCTGGGTAATATTGTGATTGTGGAAGAAAAAGCTGTGTGGTCCGATTATGTGATTAGTAACCAAAAACTTATTTGAGAATTAAAATAGTTGAGCAAAGCATTTAGTGGATTTTGGTGTTTCCAGTATAAGGAGATTAATTTGGTTAATCATAGTGGGATTTCTGTGTATCCATATTATCAGAGGTAAATAATTTAAAAATAGGCCATTGTCAACCTTTAATGTGCATATAAACCACCTGAGGATTTAGTTAAAATGCAGATCTGATTCTGTAGGCCTGGGGTATTTCAGCCCGCCCAGGTGATGTCATTGCTGGTGATCTGTGAACCACATTTTGAATAGCCAAGGGCTAAGCCCAGCCAATAGTGGAGGTGTGAAATGGTGGCCTTTTTTCCTGTGGCAGGTGCCAGTGATCCAGACAAGCCCTTTACATTACTGGGGGTTGGAATTATGGGGAATTTTTACCAGTTTATATCAACTATGTTAGCAAAAAGAAAAGGAATGATTTTTGAGAAAATGCCCACAAGAGGTCGCTGTTAGCCTTACCAAAGACCCAGAGATTAAAGAAAATGCTTTAACATCTCAGACTTAGGGATCAGAGAGCAAATTTGAGGAAATCATCAAAGAAGTGGTAGAAAATCAAAATATGATGGTTTACTGTGGGCTTTCAGAAAGGAAAATAAATTTTTTTTAAGATTTATTTCCACAAGCAGTATTTTTTTTTTTGAGATGCAGTCTCGCCTGCCGTAATCTCAGCTCACTGCAACCTCCACCTCCCGGGTTCAAGCAATTCTCGTGCTTCAGCCTCCCGAGTATCTGGGATTACAGGTGTGTGTGACCATGCCTGGCTAATTTTTTTGTGTTTCTAGTAGAAACGGGTTTTGCCGTGTTGGCCAGGCTGGTCTCGAACTCCTGACCTCAGGTGACCCACCCACCTCGGCTTCCCCCACCTTGGCCTCCCAAAGTGCTGGGATTACAGGCGTGAGCCACTGCGCCCGGCCCAGAAGCAGTATTTTTCACCACCATCCCCCTTTTTAAAAAAAATAAAATTCGTTCCAAAACTTGGCTCTTTTAAGGGAAATAGACTTAAATTTTAAAGTTCTCAACATGACTTATAGATAATCTATGGAACTACTGAATCTGATTCTATTGTTGCTCTCACTTTCGACAAGTTACCAACATTCTAACAGCCTCAGCTTCTTCATCTGAAAAATCGGCTTAGTACCTACCTTATTGGGTTGATTAAATGAGGAAACGGAGGTAAAGGCTGGCCCAGAGCCTGGTATACAGTAAGTGCATAATAAATGAGAACAGTCATTTGATTGTTGCATATGAAGTCATATTTCTGTTTTGATCTAGCGTTTGCTCAGCTGTTGATTGTTAGTAATTCCAATAGGGACAGAAAACACATTTGGAACAGACTTTCCTGTCACATTCAATTTTCTATTTTGTTAAATGAGCCTTTCAACATTCTACTTTTCTTGACAACAGATAAAATTAAGAGTCATTTGAGGCTGGGCGTGGTGGCTCACACCTATAATCCCAGCACTTTGGGAGGCCAAGGTGGGTGGTTCACTTGAGGTCAGGACTTCTAGACCAGCCTGGCCAAAATGGTGAAAGCCCGTCTCTACTAAAAATACAAAAATTAGCCAGGCGTGGTGACACACACCTGTAATCCCAGTCACTTGGGAGGCTGAGGCAGGAGAATTGAGTGAATCCAGGAGGCGGAGGTTGCAGTGAGCCGAGATCATGCCACTGCACTCCATCCTGGGGTACAAAGCAATACTCTGTCTAAAAAAAAAAAAGTGATTTGAAAAGAGGAAAAGTGTACTTTGATGTTTTAAACTCCATCTTGACTGTTGATGACTCTTATTCAAATTTATCCTTTGTGTTTTTTTTTTTAAATAAATCGAGGATTGCCTGATAGCATCCTTGATGGGATGGGAGTTTGGAGGAATATTTCATAGGTGATTTCAATTGCAATCTTTTGGAAGATGAAGATAGTGTATATTTTGTAAATATGACCCCAGAGGGACTAGGCAAATTATCGTGAAAGGGATTTTCCCTTAAAAAAAATAAAAGTAGGGGCCAGGTGCAGTGGCTCACGCCTGTAATCCCAGCACTTTGGGAGGCCGAGGTGGGCAGATCACGAGGTCGGGAGATCGAGACCATCCTGGCTAACACAGTGAAACCCCTATCTCTACTAAAAATACAAAAAAATTAGCCGGGTGTGGTGGCGGGCGCCTGTAGTCCCAGCTACTAGGGAGGCTGAGGCAGGAGAATGGCATGAACCTGGGAGGCGGAGCTTGCACTGAGCGGAGATCGCGCCACTGCACTCCAGCCTGGGCGACAGAGTGAGACTCTGCCTCAAAAAATAAAATAAAATAAAAGTAGAACTGGTTCATTATTGTCAACCAGCCTTTCTCCTCCTTTCCTACACTTGAAGCCGAGTTCATTTAGAAAGGATAGAAATGAAATGACATGGGAGCTCAATTCGTTTGTGCTGGCTTGGGTTTCTGGGTTAATGGAGGATATTGGGTAAAGCTGACTAGTTGCACGGCACAATTAGATCTGGGGTGCTAGTATTTCATACAAAGGTTAATGAAGTTGGGAATCTAAATGGGAGCAGAAGATGGGGTGGGGGGATGAATTTAAGGGACTTGGAGGCCAGGGAAAGTCCCTGTGCTCTTTGAGGTTCCTCTTTCCCTAAAGTGGGTTGGGAGGGACAAGAATTGTCCCGTGTGCCCAGAAAAGCTGTTTTACTGGGATGGGATATTTTACAAATGAGAAGTGCACATGTCTTTTGTTAAAGAAAAACTATTGGCTGGGCTCAGTGGCTCACGTTTCTAATCCCAGCAGTTTGGGAGACTGAGGCAGGTGGATCACCTGAGGTCAGGAGTTCGGGGTCAGCTTGGCCAACATGGTGAAACCCCGTTTCTAATAAAAAATACAAAAATTAGCCGGGCGTGGGGGTGTGCCTGTGGTCCCAGCTACTTAAGAGGCTGAGGCAGGAGGATGGCTTAAACCTGAGATGCAGAGGTTGCAGTGAGCTGAGATCGCACCACTGCACTCCAGTGAGACTCTTATGTCAAACAAAAACAAAACAAAACAAAAATATTATTCATGGTGCTTGTTAAAGGAAATGAGACAGGCTTTATTCCGGGGGGCTACTATAGTGGGGTTTTGCAATAGGGGACAGAGATTGGCCTCAGCTCCTAATGCAACAAGGAATAGTGGGAATTTATAGCCAAGTGGGGGTAGAAGAAGAATTCGATCAGATATTGAGGGCAGCTGGATATGGAGGGGGATTCTGGCTCAATCAACTTGACAGAATTCTTGCTAAAACTGGGCGGTGCAAACACAAACATGGAAATCCAATAGCTGAGCACTAGCTGGGGAGAACTCAGAGGAACCTGCCCAGAGTTTGGTCAAGGAGAGACTTTGTCACTTTCCATACTAGCTGAGATGTTCTGCTTGGAGAGTCAATGGAGGAGATGAGAAAGGGGTCAAATGGGTTAACTTGTCTATGACTTTGTGGCCCTGACGTTCTGTGACTATGGTAGCTTTTAAAATTATATGTGGATACACACATTGCATAAACAATTTGGTTAAATATGTGAGTTAAAAAAGATTTTAAACCATAACCTATGAAATTAAATTCTCAGATCTTCATAATAGAGATTAAGAAATGTAAAGACAATCATTTAAAAACATTTTCTGCCTTCCCCCCACTCCTGTGTTCCTCTCCTTCAGATTTTTTTTTCTTTTTAAGAGAGAGAGACTCATTCTGTTGCCCAGGCTGGAGTGCAGTGGTGCGATTATAGCTCACTGCAGTTTTGAGCCCCTGGATTCAAGCGATCCTCCCACCTCAGCCTCTAGAATAGCTGGGACTACAGGCACACACCACCACACCCAGCAAATTTATTTATTTATTTATTTATTTTGTAGAGATGGGGTTTCGCCATGTTGCTCAGGCTGGTTTCAAACTCCTGGGCTCAAGCAGTCCACCCATCTGTACCTCCCAAAGTGCTGGGATTACAGGCGTGAGCCACCATGCCCAGCAGAGAGAATTTCGTAAAAGGAAAACGGATACTTTATTTTCAAAGGAGCAACAATAAGACTACTATTGCAGCACAAAGATGAGCACAGAAGACACAGGGACCGTATCTTTAAAATGCTCAAAGAAGGCTGGGAGTGGTGGCTCATGCCTGTAATCCTGGCACTTTGGGAGGCTGAGGCAGGAGGATCACTTGAGCTCAGGAGTTTAAGACCAGCCTGGGCAACATAGGAAGATGCCAACTCTCAAAAAAACTTAAAAAAAAAAAAAAGAAAAGGAAAAATTCTGTTTGGTTTCTATAAATTTTACTATGAAGGCTCCAAGTGTGTTTTGTTTATTTGCTTTTGTACTTGTCCTACTTGGGCCACAGATGTTTCTTGAGTCTGTAGCTTGATGTCTTTCTTTGGTTTTGGAAAAGTTTCACCTATTATCTCTTCAGAGACTGTTCTTGCACATTCTCTCTCTCCTCCTCTTTGGGATTCCAGTTATATGTGTGTTAGGCCTTCTCTTCACGTTGCTTGTGTCTTTGAAATTCTGCCTGTCGTCCTGTTCTTTTTCTGCTCCATGCTTCAGTCTCCCCCTTTATTTTCCAGCTCACAAATCCTTTCTCTTTTTGAACCCTCAAGAAACCAATGAAAACACAGTGAGCTCTTCATCTCCTTTCTGCGTGGCTCCTTTCTCTTGCCCTATGCAGCTCAATGGGCGAATACCTTGAGGGGAAATCTGGGCTGGATTTCTGTCTTCTCTGTGCTCTCTCCTCTTCCTCCTGGCTGTCTTGATAGCCCTGAACTCCTGTTTATCTGTGCAGCTCTGTGAGGTTTCCTTAGAGCCTTTTTAGCTGCTCTGCTGCCTCACAGCTGCCCTGTGCTTGGCGTCAGCCTCTTGTCCTGTGCTGAGAATTCACAAATGCCCTCAGCGGGAAAGCTGGGCAAGGAGTGTTAGAGTCACCTTAGTGAGTTTCCCTTTGTTCTGGTGTGTGGCATAACAAGTCCAGTATGCTGGCAGCTGTTTATACCTTCAAATATATATATATTTTTTGAGACAGAGTCTCACTCTGTCCCCCAGGCTGGAGTGCAGTGGCATGATCTCAGCTTACTGCAACCTCCGCCTCCTGGTTGAAGCGATTCTCCTGCCTCAGCCTCCCAAGTAGCTGGGATTACAGACATGTGCCACCACGCCCGGCTAATTTTTTGTATTTTTAATAGAGATGGGGATTCACCATGTTAGCTAGGATGATCTCGATCTCCTGACCTCGTGATCCGCCTGCCTCGGCCTCCCAAAAGTGCTGGAATTATAGGCATGAGCCACTGCATCCGGCCAAACAGATTTTTTAAAATGTTGTGTTTTGTTTTTTGTTTGCCATGGAGTCTCGCTCTGTGGCCCAGGCTGGAGTGGAGTGGTGTGATCTCAGTTCACCGTGACCTCCACCTCCCAGGTTCAAGCGATTCTTCTGCGTCAGCCTCCCAAGTAGCTGGGATTACAGGCGTGCGCCACCATACCCACCGAATTTTTGTATTTTTAGTAAAGATGGTATTTTACCATGTTGGCCAGGCTGGTCTCAAACTCCTGACCTCACGTGATCCACCCACCTAGGCTGCCCAAATTGCTGGGATTACAGATGTGAGCCACTGCGCCTGGCCAAAAAGTTTGTTTTTAAATGTAGTTTCTTTTTAACTTTGGTGGGAATATTGTGCTGTTCTAAACTACCTTGTCATTGAAGAAGTCTCATCAGAAGTTTTTAGTGTTTTAAGTACCCCCATCCACTAATTGGCTGTGTTTCGCTGTTTACCAGGCACTCCAGGAATAGGAACTACAAAGCTGAATTTGCATCATGCCGACTGGAGGCTGTACCATTGGAGTTTGGGGACTATCACCCTCTGAAACCCATAACTGTAAGTTTTGTTAAGGGTCTTTCTGAATGATATTCTTATCCCTTGAAATGAAAGACAATCTTCCTGAGTCTTTTCCGTTTTGCCAGTGGTAGCCACTTTTGCATATTTGATTTTTTTTTTTTTTTCAGAGTCTTGCTCTGTCGCCCAGGCTGGAGTGCAGTGGTGGCTCACTGCAACCTCTGACCTCTGCCTCCTGGGTTTAAGCGATTCTCCTGCCTCAGCCTCCCGAGTAGCTGGGGCTATAGGCACACGCCACCATGCCTGGCTAAGTTTTTGTGTTTTTTTAGTAGAGATGGGGTTTCGCCATGTTGCCCAGGCTGGTCTTGAACTCCTGAGCTCAGACAGTCTGTCCACCTCCACCTCACAAAGATTATGGGTGTGGGCCACCGTGCCCAGCCTGATTTATTTTTGAGATGGAGTTTCACTTTGTAGCCCAGGCTGGAGTGCAGTGGTGTGATCTTAGCTCACGGCAACCTCTGCCTCCCAGGTTCAAGCAATTCACCTGCCTCAGCCTCCTGAGTAGCTGGGAGTACAGGCATGCACCATCACGCTTGGCTAATTTTTGCTATTTTTTTTATTTTTAGTAGAGACAGGGTTTCGCCATGTTGGCCAGGCTGGTCTCGAACCCTTGACCTCAGGTGATCCAACCACCTTGGCCTCCCAAACTGCTGGGATTACAGGAGTGAGCCACCTCGCCCGGCCTGCATATTTAAATCAACCAGTTTGTTCACTGCCTCTTTTTTGTAATATTGGCCTCACCTAGCACCATTTTTACTCCCTTCCTTCCTCCTTAGTGAGGTTCCCTTGTGAATGGGATGACTTTGTTCCTGATTTGGCTGTGTCAACAAAATGTATCTTGACTTTTAATTTTTGTATTTGGAATATAAGAGTCACTCTAATTGCCAGCAGAGAGTGCTGTCCTGAATAGCATCTTAGTCTATCTGTGGGTTTATTTAAAAAATAAAAACAAAAGCAGGCAAGAGACTTGGCTGGTTCCTCTCTGCCAGGTTGGTACTGTCTTATTAGCAAGTAATAGAAACTACACGGTTGTCATGTTGGGGAGAAGAGAAGATGTGATTGTCAGCATGGAGGCTCTGGGAATGTATGGAGATGATTGCATAAAGCAGAAGACCCCAAGACTGAGATTTAGCCTCCCAGGACCCCTTCAATCCCCATGCTGTTGTGTGGCTGTGGGTGACCTCAGCACAGCCACAGTTGCGTTCATTCTCAGGTGCCCGTTCCCCATGTTAAAAGAAAATTCTTGGCCGGGCTCCATGCCTCACACCCGTAATTTCAGCACTTTGGGAGGCTGAAGTGGGTGGATCACCTGAGGTCAGGAGTTCGACACCAGCCTGGCCAACATGGCAAAACCCCATCTCTACTAAAAATATAAAAATTAGCTGGGCATAGTGGCATATGCCTGTAGTCCCAACTACTCAGGAGACTAAGAGAGGAGAATCACTTAAACCCAGGAGGCAGAGGTTGCAGTGAGCTAAGATCACGCCACTGCCCTCCATCCTGGGCAACAGAGAGAAACTCCATCTCAAAAAAATAAAAGGAAAATTCTGAGCCAAATTAAATTTAATGGAGCTTAATTGAGCAAAGAATAATTCATGAATTGGGCAGCCTCCTGAGCCAGAGTAGGTTCAGAGAGGCTCCAGCACAGTCACGTGGTAGAAGATTTATGGACACAAAAAGGAAAGTGACATTCAGAAAATAGAAGTGAGGTACAGAAACAGCCGGATTGGTTACAGTTCAGTATTTGCCTTATTTGAACCCAATTTGAACAGTTGGCCCCCCCCTTTTTTTTCTTTTTTTTGAGACAGAGTTTCACTCTTGCCCAGGCTGGAGTGCAATGGCACAATCTCAACTCAGTGCAACCTCTACCTCCCGGGTTCAAGTGATTCTCCTGCTTCAGCCTCCTGAGTAGCTGGGACTACAGGCGCCCGCCACCATGCCCAGCTAATTTTTTTGTCTTTTTAGTAGAGACATGGTTTCACCATGTTGGCCAGGCTGGTCTCAAACTCCTGACCTCAGGTGATCCGCCTGCCTCAGCCTCCCAAAGTGCTGGGATTACAGGTATGAGCCACTGTGCCCGGCCCAGTTGGCCCCCTTTAATTGGCCAAAACTTGGTGATTGGCACAAGAGTAGGTTACACTCTGTTTACATGTCCAATGAGGTTATAGTTCACTATGTGCAGAGAAACCTTTAGGCCAAACTTAAAATAGGTAAGGAGACAGCTTTAGGCTAAACTTGATTTAACACCCATACCATAACAGAATAGCTGAGAAGAGCTGCTGCAGCTCCAGGCCTATCCTGTTAGGTTAGCAACATCAGCAGCAGGAAAATGCTTTTCTCAAGCAGTTTTCATTGACCCAGTTTTGTTATGCGCCCTACCCTGAACCAGCATTGGTGACCTGCTGTATAGAATAAGTTGATAGATTGGGGTAGGTCTAATGCTCACCTTGGGAACTGAGAACAGAGTTCACCCCACCAGGCCTGTAGGAACTGAGTGTGGGGGAGAGATGTTTTCTCAAATAAAAATTGGGGTATTAAGTATTAAGCCTGTGAGGTGGAGGAATGGGTGCCAGGCAGACAAAAACAGCAAATGTACCCCAATGGGAGGTGCTTCTCTCCCTCCCCTAGACTGCAGTTCAACTCCATTCAGGCAGCCATCGCCGGCAGTTGGCATCTGACTCGACAGGTTTGAGGGCAAGGTCCTCAGTGAGACAGCCCTGGCCCAGTATGGTAGCTCATGCCTGTACTCCCAGCACTTTGGGATGCTAGATGAGAAGATCCCTTGGGCCCAGGAGTTCGAGAACAGCCTTGGCAACATAGTGATACCCCACTTCTACAAAAAGTAAAAAAACAATTAGCAAAGTGTGATGGTGTGCTTGTAGTCCCAGCTACTCAGGAGACGGAGGCAGGAAGATTGCTTGTGCCCAGGATGTCGAGGGTACAGTGAACCGTGATCACACCATTGCACTCCAGGCTTAGTGACAAAGCGAGACCCTGTCTCCAAAAAAAAAAAAAAAAGACATCTTCACTTCAGAAACTCCAACTTCGCTACACATTGGGAGTTCCCATGCCTCCCTCCCTCATGTTCAATAATTTGCTATAGTGGCTCACAGAACTAGGGAAACATTTACTTATACTTACCAGTTTATTATTTAGTATTTACTTGTACTTAACAGTTTATTATTAAGGATATTACAAAGAATACAGATGAACAGCCAGATGAAGAGCTACGTAGGGTGAGGCCCAGGGGAAGGGGCACACAGAGCTTTCATGTCCCCTCCAGGTACCTCGATGTGTTCTTGTTCACCTACCTGGAAGCTCTTCAAACCGCCCCCCCCTTTTTTTTTTTTGAGACAGGGTCTCACTGTATCGCCCAGCTGGAGTGCAATGGCACATTCTCAGCTCACTGCAACCTCTGCCTCCCAAAACCCCATTTTTCATGTTTTTTTTTTTTTGAGGCATCGTTGCATAGGCATGATTGATTATTCATTCGGTCTCCAGCCCTCTCACCTTCCCGAAGGATGGGGAATGGGGCTGAAAGCTCCAATCTTCTAATCATGGCTTGGTCTTTCTGGTGACCAGACCCCATCCTGAAGCTCTGCAGGAGCCCATCGGGAGTCACCTTATTAGGACAAAAGATGCTCCTATCACCCAGGAAATCTCCTAGGGTATTAGGAGCTCTGTGGGAGGAACTGGGGGCAGAGACCACATAAATTTAACAGCTTGGAGTGCAGTGGTGCGATCTCGGCTCACTGCAACCTCCACCTCCTGGGCTCCAGCCATCCTCCCACTTCAGCCTTCTGAGTAGCTGGGACCACAGGCATGTACCACCACACCTGGATTATTTTCATATCTTTTGTAGAGATAGGACTTCACCATGTTGCCCAGGCTGGTCTCAAACTCCTGGCTTCAAGTGATCCTTCTGCCTCAGCACCACAAAGTGTTGGGATACAGGCATGAGCCACTGCACCCAGTAGAAAACTTAACTTTTATGAGGTGTTCAAGGGAGAAAGGCAAAAAAAAAGTACCTGGTTAAAGTAGAAATTCCCTACTTAGATGTTAGTTGTTGGTTTTGATTGGTAGTCTCTAGTTAGTGGGTAGTTGGCGATTTGCAACTGATTAAGCTTAAGTTCCATTTTGCTACTTATATTGAGTTGGATTTTGGTTTGCTACATAGGGAACCCCAGGTGCTGTAGCCATCTCAGTCCAGTGACCTCTCAATTAATTTTTTTAACACTTCCTAACCCTAACTTCCTACTTTCCCTTCCTTGACAGTTGTGATCCTGAGTCATGTCCATTTGTCACAAAAACTAAGCATCCCCTGCAGATGGTTAAGTCTCTGCTGCAAATGAACCATCCATTCAACTACCAGAATGGGAGGAAAGTACCCACTGGAGTGTTTCACTGGAGAGAGTTGTGGGAGTTCCGTTTTACCTCCAGAAATTTTCCTCACAGGTCACAGAGTCAAAGACAAAGAAAGTGAACCGGAAAGGAAGCACTTCTTCCACGTCCTCCTCCTCCTCCAGCTCCGTGGTGGACCCGCTGAGCAGCGTCCTCGATGGGACTGACCCCCTCTCCATGTTTGCAGCCACTGCTGACCCCGCAGCCTTGGCAGCTGCCATGGTAATGCACCCCAGCCATGGTCGTCCAGTGGGGGTTGGTTTTGTGGGTGCAGGAATGGGTGGTTTTCTTGTGCCCTGCCCTTTTTTTTCCCCTGAGAGACAGAGTCTCACTCTGTCACCCAGGCTGGAGTGCAGTGGTGTGGTCATGGCTCACTGCAGCCTCCAACTCCGGGGCTCAAGCAATTCTCCCACCTCACCCTCCTGAATAGCTGGGATTATAGGTACACACTACTGTGCCGGGTTAATTTTTTATTTTGTTGTAGAGGTGGGGTCTTGCTGTGTTGCCCAGGGTGGTCTTGTACTCCAAGCCTCAAGCGATCCTCCCACCTGAGCCTCCTAAAGCTTCTTCCCCTTTTTTAAGTTGCACAAGTAATGCACACGGTACCTTCTGGTCAGGTCATCCTGACATGAGAGGCTGGTGTAGCTCTGTGAAGTCTTTTTGTTTTTTTGTTTGAAAGCATTTTAAAATTTATTTTTATTTTTTAATTTAATATTTTTTTCAGACAGCCTTGCTGTGTCACCCAAACTGGAGTGCAGTGGTGCAATCTCACTGCAGCCTCCGACTCCGGGTTCAAGCAATTCTCTCACCTCAGCCTGCCAAATTGCTGGGACAGGCATGCACCACCATGCCCAGCTAATTTTTGTGTTTTTTGGTAGAGATGGGCTTTCATCATGTTGACCAGGCTGGTCTTGAACTCTTGACCTCAAGTGATCCACCTGCCTCAACCTCCCAAAGCACTGGGATTACAGGCGTGAGCCACTGCACCTGGCTCTTAAAATTTATTTTTAATTTTAATTTTATTCTTCTTATAAATCTTTTTACATAATACATAAGTAAATCACTCATTTTGATGTGAAAAAGTCAGACACTACAGATAAAGTCATGTAGAGCAATCCTCATTCCAATCTCCACCCTGGCGGTTGTGAGAATGATGGCTGTAATGTGTCTTCTTCCATAGCTTTTCCCCTGTATTTTCATAGATACTTGCGATAGCAGTTTCTGAGCATTCCCATACGTACTCATATATAAATAATTACAGCATCAACTTACTGCATGGCAGGCATTTTTCCGGAGTGCGTTTTGTATTTGGTTCTCTTACTACCTTGTGAGAGGTATTGGAATCCTCATTAAAGAGGCAGCCATGGAGGGATAGAGATAACAAGTCACATCCAAGCTGGGATTCAAACCTGGCCAGTCTGACTTCAGAATACATGCTCTCGATCATCATCCTATGCTGTGTTTCATATATATATATATATATATATATATATATATATATATATATATATATATATATATTTTTGAGATGAAGTCTCACACTGTCACCCGGGCCGGTGTGAAGTGGGGTGATCTCGACTCGCAGCCTCCACCTCCCAGGTTCAAGCGATTCTCCTGCCTCAGCCTTCCGAGTGGCTGGGACTACAGGCACGTGCCACCATGCCCAGCTAATTTTTGTATTTTAGTAGAGACGGGGTTTCACTATATTGGCCAGGCTGGTCTCGAACGCCTGACCTCGTGATCCACCCACCTCGGCCTCCCAAAGTGCTGCAATTACAGGCGTAAGCCACTGTGCCCGGCCTGTGTTTCATATATTATTTACCATTGTTACATAAATGGAACTGCTGTTTTGTGACTTGTTTTTTTGGAGATAGTCTTGCTCTTTTGCCTAGGCTGGACTGCAGTGGCATGATCATAGCTCGCTGCAGCCTTAAAGTCCTGGGCTCGAACAATCCCCCTGCCTCAGCCTCTCGAGCAGCTGGGACTTCAGGTGTGTGCCACCGCACTCAGCTAATTTTGGATTTTTTGGTAGAGTTGGGGTCTCACTGTGTTGCCAAAGCTGGTCTCAAACTCCTGGGCACAAGCAATCCTCCTGCCTTGGCCTACCAGAGTTGCTGGGATTACAGGCCTGAGCCACTGCACCCCACAACTTTTTTTTTTAATTTATTTTATTTTATTTTATTTTATTTTTTTGAGACGGAGTCTCATTCTGTTGCCCAGGCTGGAGTGCAGTGGCGCGATCTTGGCTCACTGTGACCTCTGTCTCCTGGGTTCAAGTGATTCTCCTGCCTCAGCCTACCTAGTAGCTGGGATTACAGGCATGTGCCACCACACCTGGCTAATTTTTGTATTTTTTGTAGAGACAAGGTTTCGTCACATTGGCCAGGCTGGTCTCGAACTCCTAACCTCAGGTGATCTGCCCACATTGGCCTCCCAAAGTGCTGGGATTACAAGTTTGAGCCATGCCGCCCAGCCAACTTTTTTTTTTTTTTTAACTTGACCATATGTCTTGGAGAACTATCCATGTTAGTACATTTAGAACAACCTTATTATTTTGACCAGCCGTATGGTATTCTAAAGACTGGATTTACCTATTTTAATTTACCATTCCTCTACTGATGTATCCATCAGATGGAGGATATCCCAGATAGTTTCTGGGTTTTGCTGGTACAAACAGCAGTGCAGCATGTGTCTCGAACACACACACATCTTGGTGCATGTCTGCAAGGATTTCTGCAGGATAGCTTCCTAGAAGTTCTTTGCTGGTTGGCCAGGCGCAGTGGGTCACGCCTGTAATCCCAGCACTTTGGAAGGCTGAGGCGGGCGGATCATGAGGTCAGGAATTCGAGACCAGCCGGACCAACGTGGTGAAACACCATCTCTACTAAAAATACAAAAATTAGCCAGGTGTGGTGGCGGGCACCTGTAATCCCAGCTACTCGGGAGGCTGAGACAGGAGAATCACTTGAACCTGGGATGCGGAGATTGCAGTGAGTAGAGATCACGTCACTGCACTCCAGCCTGGGCAACAGAGCGAGACTCCATCTCTTTGCTGGCATAAGGCAATGTGTATTTAAGGTTTTGATGGCTATCACCAAATTGTCCTCCAAAAAGAGTTAACCAGTCTGCATTTCCACCAGTGATGTTGAAGAGGGTCTGTTTCCCTGCATCCTTGCCAGCCTGACATCAGCCAGCATTTTAACTCTTTGACATTCTGATAGTTGAAAAAGTGGTCTTTTCCAACTATCCTTTCCTTAATTCTTAATGAGTTTGAGCATTTTTTGATATGTTTATTGTCCATTTATGATGAAATGGTCTGAATTTTTTTTTTGAGATGGAGTCTTGCTCTGTCACTCAGACTGGAGTGCAGTGGTACAATCTTGGCTTACTGCAACCTCTGCCTTCCAGGTTCAAGCGATTGTCCTGCCTCAGCCTCCTGAGTAGCTGGGACTACAGGCATGCACCTGGCTAATTTTTGTATTTTTAGTAGAGATGGGGTTTTACCATGTTGGCTAGGCTGGTGTTAAACCCCCGCCCTTAAGTGATCCGTCCACCTTGGCCTCCCAAAGTGCTGGGATTACAGGCGTGAGGCACCATGCCTGGCGCTGTAATTTTTTTTATGATAGTAAACCTTGAGACAAATCTCTTTTATTCCACAGTAAAGGACTATCTGGCTTCTATTTATATATGTATATATTTAAAGATCAAAATGATATTGCTGCTGAAGAGATTATCTTGCCTTTCTTTAGGACAGCTCCAGAAGGAAACGTGATAGAGATGATAACTCCGTTGTAGGATCGGATTTTGAGCCTTGGACCAACAAACGGGGAGAAATCCTTGCCCGGTACACCACTACCGAAAAGCTGTCTATTGTGAGTACCAGGAGACCCTCTCCAGAGTCTACTTTGGAGTTAGTAGTAATTTCTTTTTGTTATGTTGCTTCAACTCCTGGGCTCTGTAAGTTTCACTTATTTATTTATTTTTCTACTTCTCTTAAAAGCTCACATATAAGGCTTCATGTAGTATGTCAGTGTTGTTGGCAGAAAAATGTGCTGACAGGTTTCCCAAAAAAAAATGTTAAGGATCAGGGATGTGGCACAGGCCAGAGAAAGAATTAGAACAGCAGAGTCTTGTCTTTGGGAGGAGGTTTGAATTATGAAGGGAGGAGGTCGGGCACGGTGGCTCACGCCTGTTATCCCAGCACTTTGGGAGGCCAAGGTGGGCAGATCACTTGAGGTCAGGAGTTCGAGACCAGCCTGGCCAACATAGTGAAACCCCATCTCTACTAAAAAAATTAGCCAGGCGTGGTGGCGGGCACCTGTAATCCTAGCTACTCAGGAGGTTGAGGCATGAGAATTGCTTGAACCCGGGAAGTGGAGGTTACATTGCGCAGAGATCACGCCACTGCACTCCAGCCTTGGTGACAGAGTGAGACCCTATCTCAAAAAAAATTAATTAATTAATTAATTTAAAAAATGAATTAAGGGAGGAGAGCACAACACTGGAGGAGAAAGGTGTCACTCAGTAAGTCCCATATAGCTGGGTTTTCCCCTGGAGCTGGAAATTTACTATTTCTCTGGATGGCCATTAGGTGAAGTAGTTGGCTTTGGCCTCAAGACACTTACGAAATTCGAGGCTTACCCTTCACTTGGCAAATTGCTGTGGAAGGAAAGACTCAGGAGAGCTGAGACCAACCCAGTCAGGTTAATGCCTGTGTGAGTTAGGACTGGGTTCAGTTGCTTAGAACTAAAGCCCCTGCTAACATTGTAAACAAGAGTGACCTGTATCCCTCCTTACGCTGGAGAAAAGTCTCGAGGAGAGGAGTCCAGGGCTGGTTTGGCAGCTCCGAGGGCATCAGGGTTCCGCCGCATTCTTTCTTGCTCCTCGGCTGTGTTGAGTGTTGCCTCACATTCATGTTGGTAGACAGAGGGAGGAAAGGGAAAGAAAGATGCGCCCCCTCCCATTTAGGAAGACTTCTTGGGGTCCCGCAACACTTTTAGTTACATTTGTCTTGAAGGTGTGATCATGGGCCACGCATAGATGCAGGGAGGCTGAGAAATGTAGCAGCGTGTCCATCTACAAATGGGGCTGTGCCCTGGAGGAAACAGTGAACTTGGCAGGCCATGGGGAACGCTTGGCCTCAACGCCTCTTCTCTTCATTTTTTCCTCCCAGGGTGTGTACTCATTGAACAGAATGATAGGCAGAATTGCTGGACTATTTAAATTGAGTCTTTTTTTTTTTTAACTGTACAGAGTTAACTTAGAGCAGTGATTCTCAACCAGGAGTAATTTTTACCCCTGGGTCATCATTTGGCAATATCTAGAGACATTTTTGACTGTCACAGTTCTGGGGGTGGTACTGACATTTATTGGGTGGAGGCCAGAGATGGGGCTAAACATCCAACGGTGCACAGAATTAATCTCCCACAAAAAGTTATCTGGCCTCAAATGGCAGTAGTGTAGAGGGTGATAAACCCTGATTCAGAGTAGGTTAAAAATAGTTCTATTATGTGACTCCGCTGTCATATCAAAAATTTTAGTATTTGTCTGCTGACTTTGAGAACCCTGACTTGAGTAGAAATTTGAATCTCCAGTGGTTTTTAGTGACTGTATTTTTCTTCTTTGAATATATATTTCTTTCTCTTGGGTATGTAAATGGCTCTGTTGGAAAACAATGAACATACTGCCTTCGATTTTTAAAATATTAATGAATTTTATGTCTCTGCAGAATCTGTTTATGGGATCTGAAAAAGGTAAGATGAGTTTGTTGTTGTTTTGATGGGAAAATTCTGGCATTACTTTTAGTATAATTTTACAAAGGAAAAAAGTTTTATGTGATATGATTCTGATGTTTGATTCAGTTGGAGCTGCTATTTCTTAGATTGTGGATAGACGTAGAAATAAAATACATATTTAGAGCATGAATTAAAAAAATACCAAATACCAGCACTTTGGGAGGCCAAGGTGGGTGGATCATCTGAGGTCAGGAAGTTTGGTACCAGCCTGGCCAACATGGTGAAATCTCGTCTCTATTAAAAATACAAAAATTTGCTGGGCGTGGTGGCGCACGCCCGTAATCCCAGCTACTCAGGAGGCTGAAGCAGGAGAATCACTTGAACCTGAGAGGCGGAGGTTTCAGTGAGCCAAGATTGCATCATTGCACTGCAGCCTGGGTGACAGGAATGCCGTCTTAAAAAAAAAAAAAAAATACAGCCGGGCACGGTGGCTCACCTGTGTAATCCCAGCACTTTGGGAGGCCAAGACAGGCAGATCGCCTGAGGTCAGGAGTTTGAGACCAGCCTGGCCAACATGGTGAAACCCCATTTCTACTGAAAATACAAAATTTTGCTGGGCGTGGTGGTACATGCCTATAATCCCAGTTACATAGGAGGCTGAGGCAGGAGAATCGCTTGAACCTGGGAGGCGGAAGTTGCAGTGAGCCAAGATTGCACTCCAGCCTGGGCAACAAGAGTGAAATTCCGTATTAAAAAAATATATATATATGGCCTGGTGCGGTGGCTCACACCCGTAATCCCAGCAGTTTGGGAGGCCAAGGCGGGCAGATCACTTGAGGTCAGGAGTTCGAGACCAGCCTGGCCAACAATGTGAAACTCCATCTCTACTAAAAAAAAAAAAAAAAAAAAAAATTAGCCAGGCATGGTGACAGATGCCTGTAATCCCAGCTACTCAGGAGGCTGAGGCAGGAGAATCGCTTGAACCTGGGAGGCGGAGGTTGCAGTGAGCCAAGATCGTGCCATTGCATTCCATTCTGGGTGACAGAGCGAGACTCTGTCTCAAAAAAAAAAAAAAACAAAAAAAAAAAACAAAGAGGTTACTAGGAGTAAAACGTAAGCTTACTGTTTAAGAATTACAGAGGAAGTAGTCTCCCCCTCATTGTGCCTCCCTCACCAACTGGGTTTTAGAGAGCCTTTCCCTTGCCTTAAGTCTTTTCCCTTGTGCAATAAGGTATGTTGGTGAGGGGGTCACATGCTTAGTCTTATACGTCACTGGTCCCTGAATGCAGTTCTCAGCTTCCTCTCCTAAGACACACAGTCAGAAGCTCTGGACCAGGGTGTCTCAAACTGCCGTGTAGCAGGATTTCCTGAGGAACTTTTGTATGAATATAGATGCCTGGCCCCCACTTGCTCAATTAATCTTGCAGGATGGGACCCCAGAATTCCTATTTTGATGCTCCAAGGGGATTCTGGAGCAACTGACGGATCATGTGCTGCTGGGTGCAGATGAGCACAATCATAGTTCATTGCAGGTCTCTGATATGGCAGCTGCCACTCTCCCCACGGCTCTGCTGGATGAGACAGCACGTTAGAAATCAAGAGAGTGGGAACAGCTTTGTTATGCATAGAATTTTTTTTTTTTTTGAGATGGAATTTTGCTCTGTCACCCATGGTGCAGTGCAACCTCTGCCTCCTGGGTTCAAGCAATTCTCCCACCTCAGCCTTCTGAGTTACTGGGACTATAGGTGTGCACCACCAGGCCCAGCTAATTTTTGTATTTTTAATAGAGACAGGGTTTCACCATGTTGGCCAGGCTGGTCTCAAACTCTTGACCTCAAGTGGTCCACCTGCCTTGGCCTCCCAAAGTGCTGGGATTACAGGTGTGAGCTACCACGCCCAGCTTGTTATGGACAGAATTTTGATCCCAGACCATAAAAGGTAAATCATACCCACCAGTTTGTAAAGATCAAATAGAGTGATGATACCAAGTGTCTTAGTTTGTTTAGTGGTACTATAAAGGAATACCAGAGGCTGGCTAATTTATAAGGAAGAGAGGTTTACTTGACTTATGGTTCCACAGGCTATATAAGAAGCATGGTGCAGCATCTGCTGTTGGTGAGGGCCTCAGGCTGCTTCCACTCATGGTGAAAGCAAATGAGAGCAGGTGTGTGCAGAGATTGCATGGCAAGAGAAGGGAGGAGAGAGAGGGAGAAAATGCCAGGCTTTTTTCAACAGCCAGTTCTCATGGGAAGTAAGAATAACTCATTACTGCACTCATTACTGCAAGGATGGCACCAAGCCGTTCATGGTGGATCCCCCACTACAACCCAGACACCTCCCACCAGGCCCCACCTCCAACACTGGGGATCACATTTCAAAGATGAGACTTTGTATGAATATAGAGCAATAGGAGCTCTCATATGCTGCTGGTGGGAATGTAAAATGGCACAACCACCTTGTAGAACACTTTTGCATTTTTTATTTTATTTGAAGACAGGTGCTGTGGTCTGGTTGTTTGTGCCTAACCCCACTCCCCTGCCCCGATTCATATGTTGAAATCCTAACCCCAAGATGATGGTATTAGGAGATGGGCCCTTTTCAGAGGTGATTAGGTCATGAGGGTGGAACCCTCATGAATGGGATTAGTGCCCTATAAAAGAGGTCCAAGGGCACTCCCCTCACCCCTTCCACCAAGTGAAAACACAGCAGGAGGGCATCATCTATGAACCCAACCGGAAAGCAGGCTGTCATCAGGCACTGGGACCTAATCTGCTGGGACCTTGATCTTGGACTTCCCAGCCTTTAGGACTGCGAGAAATACATTGCTCTTATTTATAAGCCACCCACTTTGTAGCATTTTGTTATAGCAGCTCAAAGGGATTAACACAATGAGCCAACCCTTTGATCCAGCATTCCACTACTAGGGGTATCCCCAGATCAGGGGTTGGTAAACTGCATGCTGCAGGCCAAGTCTGGTCCACTGCCTGTTTTTTAAGTACAGTTTTATAGGAACAGAGCCCTATCAATTTGTTTACATATTATCTATGCCTGCTCTTGTGCTACAACAGTAGAGTTGAGTAGTTGGAGCAGACACTTTGTGACTCTTAAAACCTAAAACATTTGTCAGGCTTACAAAAAGAGTTCTGCAGCTCGACCCTAAGTCCACATTTCTTTCTTTTTTCTTTTTTTTTTTTTTGAGATGGAGGTTACAGTGAGCCGAGATCGCGCCACCGCACTCCAGCGTGGACGACAGAGTAAGACCCCATCTCAAAAAAAAAAAAATGCTAGAACAGAGGCCCCCTAAAGATGGGGGAAGGATTCTGAAATAGACGGCCGCAGAGGGCAGCAGTCAGCTAGATGCATCGCCCTGCCTTGTGGCTGGCCTGTGGCCTGGGGGCCCTTCCTTCATCCCTCCACCAGTCCCTGCTGATGGCGAAATTGTGCTGACAGATGCTGGAAGGAGGCACAGCTAGTCCTGTTTGCTCGAAGAGAGGGCTTTGAAGCCCTAGTGTTTCCACCCTGGGTAGACAGTGAGATGGTTGTTTTGTTAGCAGGAGAGCACAATTCTACGCTGTGAGTAAGAGCCTAAGAGGGCCTTTTGTTCATAGAAAACAATTAGATGACGGATTTTTGGCATCCTTATCTGGACTGCCTTTCTTTAGGAATAAACAGATGATACAGAGCAAAGTTTGTAAATCTCAAATGCAGCGGTTAACCTCTTTGAGGCTGGCCCACTGGGCTCCCAGGGGCAGCTTCTAAGTGGGAAATGTTTCGATGGAATTCTGGTTACATAAGGAAGTTGCTTTGAAAATCTGGGATAGTTTTCTATAATGGAATCATTCCCTTGTGTCTTTATTCACGATGAAGTGTAGAGTGAAAGATGCCTCCACTGGGGGTATTGGTGCACGAGAAAAGCCACCTGTGTGACGTAAATTCATTCTGTTTAGGCAAAGCTGGGACTGCCACATTGGCAATGTCAGAGAAGGTGCGGACCCGGCTGGAGGAGCTGGATGACTTTGAGGAGGTGAGCAAGTCATTTGTGGAATACAGGGAGTGGGAGAGCTTTTCCTTCCTCCTGCCAAGTGAGATCAACCTCGGTGGCTGCTCTTTGATTAATTCCTGGGCTGCGCATTGTGCTTGGTCCTCTCGAGGCAATGACTCCATCCAGGGAAGGGTGCCAGTGTGCAGTTGGCCGAGCTCACGGAAGCCTGACTGGGGCTGCTTTTCTAGAGGCCTCTTTTCTCATTGTGATGCCTGAGCAAGGCTGGGTCGCCTAGCAACAGTGTCTAATGGTAAAAACCAACTGCAAGGCCAGGCGCGGTGGCTCACGCCTGTAATCCCAGCACTTTGGGAGGCCAAGGCGGGAGGATCACCTGAGGTCAGGAGTTCGAGACCAACCTGGCCAACATGGTGAAACCCTGACTCTACTAAAAATACAAAAATTAGCCAGGCGTGATGGTGGGTGCCTGTAATCCCAGCTACTCGGGAGGCTGAGGCAGGAGAATTGCTTAAACCTGGGAGGCGGAGGTTGCAGTGAGCCAAGATCATGCCACTGCACTCCAGCCTGGGCGAAAGAGCAAGACTTTGTCTAAAAAAAATAACCCAACTGCAGTCACCTCCCTGAGAAGCAGCCTTATATGGAGCACAAAGACCTTGCTTTGCAACAGACGCTGCTCAGGCTGGCTGGATATGGCCCACAGGAATCTTTTAATTGGCCTACATGTACTTTGAAAAAAAAGTGAGTCTTTTGCCAACACTTAAACAGTGGTAAATGTAACCAACAAATACAGAATTTCTTGAAAAAAAAAATCTTTGCCAGGCGCGGTGGCTCATGCCTATAATCCCAGCACTTTAGGAGACCGAGGCAGGTGGATCTCCTGAGGTCAGGAGTTTGAGACCAGCCTGGCCAACATGGTGAAACCCCGTCTCTACTAAAAATACAAAAATTAGCTGGGCATGGTGGCGGATGCCTGTAATCCCAGCTACTCAGGAGGCTGAAGTAGGAGAATTGCTTGAACCCAAGAGATGGAGGTTGAGATCGCTCTGTCACCCAGGCTGGAGTGCAGTGGTGCGATCTCAGCTCACTGCAACCTCTGCCTCCTAGGTTAAAGCAATTCTCCTGCCTCAGCCTCCCGAGTAACTGGGATTACAGGCACGCGCCACCGTGCCCAGCTAATTTTTGTATTTTTAGGTGAGAGGGTTTCACGATGTTGACCAGGCTGGTCTCAAACTCCTGACCTCAAGTGATCCACCCGCCTCAGCCTCCCAATATGCTGGGATTACAGATGTGAGCCACCATGCCCAGCCTACTCTTATTTCTTTAATAAAGCGTTTTTCACTTTGAATTGTAGGAAATATACATATAAACCTTTGGTTCCAGGTCTCATCATGTGTGTTTGCATGACCTTCACTCCTGTGAGTTGTGTGAAGAGCCTCTTAACAATAGCCCAGGGTTAAGGAGCATTTACTGTGCGTCAGGGACCGTGCCAAGTCATTACCTACATGGTCATTTCATCCCCATGACGATCCCTTGCTCAGCTGCCGAGGGTTTTTGCTATGGTTGTCTTTCTGTCCTGATTACTCTCTCCTTGGTCTAATTAACACCCCCACACTCTGCAGTACCTGTACTCCCCTGAGAGTTTGTCTCAAGTATCACTCCTCCAGGAAGCCATTCCTGATCCCCCCATCACAGTTTACAGTCCATTTCTTTGTTACCATATTTTTTCCAGTCTGAGATGTACCATTTCTCTCACATTTGAATATCTCTGAAATTGGGGTATATGTTCCTCAGTTGGTTCCTGTCAGTGATCAGCATATTTTTCTTCCTTAGTAGCCCGTGAAACAGTTGCGCTTTTTTCAATGGGCACCTCAGATCCAGTATATGTGTCCCCATAGAATTGTGTTTTCTCCTGAGCATTTATCTCAGTTTGAGTTAATATCCGTCTGTCTTCAGAATCTTAAGCTCCATTAGTGCTGAAATACCCTGTCATGTCTTATTGCTTGGGAATCTTGAGCAAAAATGTCTTTGTATCTCGATCATCTAGTCCCATGTCCTGCACACAGGGGGCCCACAGTTGGTTGAATGAGGTAAGTCTTGTTACCTCAATTCACAGATGAGGCTGTGAGAGGAAAATAGCTTACCCAGGGTCACACAGCTACTTGGTGTCCAAGCTGGGAGGTGGCTTAGGTCTGACTTGCTTCCAAGGCCAGACTTTCAACCCACAGCACTCTGTCCATCTTTGTCAGAAAACTCAAAAGAACCTCTTTGATTGCAAATTGCAAGGCAAAGCTGTCAATCCTGGCGGGGATATGAGGAAAATTTAGAGACCAAAACTCAGCCAATACCTAGTATTCTTTATAAGGGTGTAGTCGAGCAATGTTTTTCCTGCTATGCCTTCACCTTCTGCCTTCTCCCCACAGGGTTCCCAAAAGGAGCTGTTGAACTTGACTCAGCAGGATTACGTGAACCGCATAGAGGAGCTCAACCAATCGCTGAAGGATGCCTGGGCCTCAGACCAGAAAGTGAAGGCTCTAAAAATAGTCATCCAGGTTAGCTCTAGTGATCCCCCACCCCCACCCAGAATTTCCTATGTAAAATTCCACTGTGAGACTTAGAGTTTTCAGGGGCCTACCTGCAGGGTCTTACTCTTGTTTTCTCATCCCTTTCTTTTTCATATACTTCCTGTGAAAAGCCATGATTATGAATCTGTGTTTTTATGAGATGGCTAATCCCAGGGTTACCATGTGCAGCTGCACAGGTTGTGCACTGCACAACTCCAGGAAGCACTCTTCACCCTAGGTTACAGAACTGATGATACCCCATGTGTTGTGCAGTACATTAACCATGGTGCAACCCCTGACACATTTATGATTTGTACACACTAAAGATTGAGCAACTTTCTTTCGGGATTCCTTGACCGCATTCGCTTGGTGTCTTTGGGATTAATGACGTGTCCCTAATAAATGAATATTTCAGACATATTATGCATGCTTATGTGACAAGGAGAAGTTTACAGCGTTGGGAGAGGTACATACATTGAATCTTCTTTGTTGATGAATTTGTTAAGCCAGTGACAATTCTTGAACCACAAGAACAAGTACTATGTGGAAAACAGCTTATATGTCTTGGTCCTAAAGATCCTGCTGTCTCAGCAAAATGTGCTCAGAAGCATATTTGGAAAGGAATAATTCATTAAATTATCATTTTCAGAGCAGAGTCTACAAAGGATTTCTGAACTGCCATTTTAGTTCAAAAGGACAGATCCCATTCTCATTCCATGTTATGATAATGTGACATTTGTTTTCTCACCTGTTCTTTTGAAAGACAGGAGAGTCCGGGAGTCTTCACACTGGACACATGAAGTCTTTTAAGATGACTCCTTGTATAGTACGGGTGATTTCTTTGGTATTTCATGATGGGAGGCAAACCCACGCCCGTTTCTCTTCAATCACTGTTGTTAGTTTACAGAGTAAATAGTCCCGAAGGCCAGGCCTCTCATCCTGGAAGCCCGTGGAGAGGGTTGCTTGCTGAGTGTCTCGAGTGAGAAACTATCTGAACTAACAAGTACTTCTTCACAATATTTGCATTGGCAGCATCTCTCCGTAGATTATTGTAGTTTAGAACTGTGTCTTCTAAGAGGTTTACATCTGGGGGAGATTTGATTCATGTCTTCACAAACAAAATAATCATTAAGTGTGTTTCATCAACTCCACATCTGGCTAATAGTAACGATTCAACAATACATTAAGGACTGCCTTCTTTATCCAAAAGACATAGTCAAGGCTGGGCACAGTGGCTCACATCTGTAATCCCAGCATGTTGGGAGGCTGAGGCGGGTGGATCACTTGAGTCCAGGAGTTTGAGACCAGCCTGGCCAACATGGTGAAACCCATCTCTACTAAAAATACAAAAATTAGCCAGGCTAATTTGCTATACGGTAAAGTTTTTTTGTGTGTGTTGGGGGGGTACCCAGTGGCTGCTTTACTAAGGCATATTTTACATATCATAAAGTCCACCCATTATAAGTGTGTAATTCATTGATTTTTTTTTACTTAACTTATAGAGTTGTGCAACTAACACGCAATCTAGTTTTAAAACATTTTTATACCTCCCCAGATTCCCCCGAGCCTGTCTGTAATCAAACCCCACTGCCATACCCAACCCCAGAAAACCACAAGTCTGTTTTCTGCCTTTATAAATCTACCTTTCCTGGATATTTCATATACATGGGATTATTCAATAGATAATCTTTTGGATCTGGCTTCTCTCACATAGTGTAATGTGCCTTTTTAATTGATAGATAATAATTCTACATATTTATGGGGTACAGAGTGATATTTTGATACATGTATCCCGTGTGTAATGATCAAATCCAAGTAATTAGCATATTCATCACCTCACACGTCTCTGATTTCTTTGTGTTGGGAACATTCAAAATCTTCTCCTCTAGCTATTTAAAAATACACAATAAGCTGGGCCTCGTGGCACACCCCTGTAATCCCAGTTACTTGGGAGGCTGAGGCACGAGAATTGCGTGAACATGGGAGGTGGAGGTTGCAGTGAGCCGAGATCGCACTACACCACTCCAGCCTGGGTGACAGAGTGAGATTGTCTCAAAAAAAAAAAAAGGAAAACAGAAAGAAAAGAAAATACACAATAAATTTTGGACTATAGTCACCCTAGGTGCTATTGAACACTAGAACTTATTCCTCATATGTAGCTGTAATTTTGTACCTGTTAACCAACCTCTTTGTTCTCCCCTTGCCCCTACCCTTCCCAGCCTCTAGTCGTCGCTGTTCTACTCTCCACTTCTATGAGCTCAACTTTCATAGCTCCCACATATGAGTGAGGACATGCAGTATGTATCTTTCTGTGCCTATTTCACTTAACATGATGGCTTCCAGGGTCATTCGTGTTGCTGTGAATTACAGAGTTTCATTTTTTTATGGCCAAATAATATTCCTGTGTGTGTACCATGTTTTCTTTATCCATTCATCCATTTATATACATTTAGATTGATTTCATATCTTAGCTATTGTGAATAGTGCTGCAGTAAACATGGTACTGCTGGTATTTCTTTGATATACTGATTTTCTTTTCTTTAGATGATAACCTAGTTGTGGGATTGCTACATCATATGGTAGTTCTATTTTTAGTTTTTTGAGAAATTTCCATACTGTTTTCTAGAATTGTTACACTAATTTGCATTTCCACCCATAGTGTGTAAGAGTTCCCTTTTCGGCTGGGTGTGGTGGCTCACGCCTGTAATCCCAGCACTTTGGGAGGCTGAGGCAGGTGGATCACCTGAGGTCAGGAGTTCGAGACCAGCCTGGCCAACATGGTAAAACCCCATCTCTACTGAAAATACAAAAATTAGCTGGGCATGGTGGCAGGTGCCTGTAATCTCAGCTACTTGGGAAGCTGAGGCAGGAGAATCGCTTGAACCCAGGAGGCAGAGGTTGCAGTGAGCCAAGATTGCACCATTGCACTCCAACATGGGCAACAAGAGCAAAACTCTGTCTCAAAAAAAAAAAAAAAAAGAGTTTCCTTTTCTCTGTATTCTTATCAGCATTTTTTTTCTTTCTTTTTGTTTTTTTTTATTAAGAGATGAGGTTGCCCAGGCTGGAGTGCAGTGACTAGTCACAGGCATGATCATTCTGCATTACAGCCTAGAAGTCCCAGACTCAAGTGATCCTCCCACCTCAGCCTCCCAAGTAGCTGGGACTATAGGCACATACCACCATGCCCAGCCTATTTTTGTCTTTTTGATAGTAGTCATTTTCATGTGGTTTTCATTTGATGATTCCCCTGATGATGAGTGATGCTGAGCATATTTTCACATACTTGTTGGCTAATTTGTGTATCATCTTTTGAGAAATGTCTCTTCAGCTCTTTTGTCCATTTTTTAATTGGATTATTTTCTTTAGCATAATATGTTTGAGGTTCATCCACATCATATTACATGTGGGTAGTTCGTTCCTTTTTACTGCTGAATCGTATTCTAATGTGTGGTTATCTTAACAAGTTGATGGGCATTTGGGTTGTTCCCACTCTCTGGCTGTTATGAATAATGCTGCTCTGCACATTTGCGTACAATTATTTGCGTGGACTTACATTTTTATTACTCTTAGGTAAAATTTTAGGAATGGAATTGCTGGGTCATATGGTAAGTTAGGATTAACTTGATGAGAAACTGCCAAACTATATTCCAGATGGCTGCACCATTTACCTGAGGGTTCTAATTCCTCCACATCTTCTCTGACACTCGGTATTGTCCATCTTTTCTTCTGTTTTCTTTTTTCTTTTTTTTTTTTTTTTTTGAGACAGGGTCTCTGTCACCCAGGCTGGAGTGCAGTGGTGTAATCATAGCTCACTCCAGCCTCAAACTCTGGCCTCAAGCGATCCTCCCGCCTCAGCCTTCTGAGTAGCTGGGACTACAATTGGCCACAACCATGCCCAGTTTATTTAAAATTTTTTTTTTGTAGAGACAGGGCCATGCTGTGTTGCTCAGTCTGGTCTTGAACTCCTGGCTTCAAGTGATCTTCCCATCTCAGCCTCCCAAAGTGCTGGGATTACAGGTCTGAGCCATCACACCTGGCCTATCAGTTTTGTTATAACCCTCCTACTATCCTAGTGGGTTTGAAGTGGTACCTCATTGTGGTTTTAATTTGTATATCCCTAACAGTGATGTTGAGCATCTTTGTACACGCTTATTGGCCATTTGTATATCTATAGTGAAATGTCTATTCAATGCCTGCCCATTTAAAAATTGTGTTATTTGGTTGAGTTGTAACAATTTTTTTTTCCTTGGGAGACAAGGTCTTGCTCTATGACTCCAGATGGAGTGCAGTGGTGCCATCACAGCTCAATATAGCCTTGACCTCCCGGGTTCAAGTGATCCTCCCACCTCAGCCTCCCCAGTAGCTAGGAGTATAGACATATGCTGCCACACCCGGCTAATTTTTAAATTTTTTGTAGAAACGGAGGGTTTTACTTTGTCATGCAGGCTAGTCTCAAACTCCTGTGCTCAAGCGATCCTTTCATCTTGGCCTCCCAAAGTGCTAGGATTACAGGCATGAGCCAGTGCACCTGGCCAGTTGTAACAATTCTTTATATATTTTTGACACTATTTCTTTGTCAAGTATAGGATCTCCTACTCTGTGGCTTGTCTTTTTGTTTTCATAATTGTGTCTTTGAAGTGTGGAAGTATGTATGTATGTATGTGTATATTTATTTATTTATTTATTTATTTGAGACAGAGTTTCGCTCTCGTTGCCCAGGCTGGAGTGCAGTGGCATGATCTCAGCTCACTGCAACCTCCGCTTCCTGGGTTCCACCGATTCTCGTACCTCAGCCTCCTGAGTAGCTGGGATTACAGGAGCCTGCTATCACGCCCAGCTAATTTTTGTATTTTTAGTAGAGATGGGGTTTTGCCATGTTGGCCAGGCTGGTCTCGAACTCCTAACCTCAAGTGATCCACCTGCCTCGGCCTCCCAAAGTGCCAGGATTACAGGCGTGAGCCACCGTGCCCAGTCAGAAGTTTTTACTTTCAGCTCCATTCTCAATTTTCTCATTTTAGCTTATGCTTTTGTAGTTGTATCTAAGAACTCTTTGCCTAGCTCAAGGTCATGAAGATTTTTTTGTTTTCTTCTAGAAGTGTTATAATTTTAGCACTTACATTTAGGTCAATGGTTCATTTTGAATTACTTTTTATATATCCTATAAGGTAAGGATCTAAATAATTTTTTTGCATGTGGAGCTACAGTTGTCTCAGCAACGTTTGTTGAAAAGACTATTGTATTAGTCCATTCTTGCATTGCTATAAAGAACTACCTGAGACTGGGTAATTTATGAAGAAAAGAGGTGTAATTGACTCACAGTTCTGCAGGCTGTATAGGAAGCATGGCTGCGGAGTCCTCAGGAAACTTAAAATCGTGGCAGAAGGCAAAGGGGAAGCAGGTACATCTTTCCATAGCAGAGCAGGAGAGAGAAAGAGAGAGAGAGAGAGAGAACAGGGAGGTGACACAGGTTTTCAGACAACCAGATCTCATGAGAACTGTCTGACAGGAACAGCAAGGGGGAAGTCTGCCCTCATGGTTCAGTTACCTCCCACCAGCCCTTTCCTCCAACACTGGGGATTACAATTCGACATGAGATTTGGGTGGGAACACAGAGCCAAACCATGTTAACTATGTTTTTCTCTACTGAGATCTTGGCACTTTTGTTAAAAATCAATTGACCAAGGCTGGGCGTGGTGGCTCATGCCTGTAATCCCAGCACTTTGGGAGGCTGAGGTGGGCGGATCAGCTGAGGTCGGGAGTTTAAGACCAGCCTGACCAACATGGAGAAACCCTGTCTCTACTAAAAATACAGAATTAGCTGTGTGTGGTGGTGCATGCCTGAAATCCCAGCTACTTGATACTCAAGGTTGAGGCAGGAGAATCACTTGAACCCAGGAGGCGGAGGTTGCGGTGAGCCAAGATCGTGCCATTGCACTCCAGCCTGGGCAACAAGAGTGAAACTCCGTCTCAAAAAAAAAAAAAAAAATTAATTGACCACTGGTGGCAAATTCAGACTACTTAAAAAACAAAAAAACAAAAATCAATCGACCATAAATGTAAGAGTTTATTTCTGGACTCTCACTGTCATTCTGTTGATCCATAAGTCAATCCTTATGCCAGTTCCACATTGTCTTTTTTTTTTTTTTTTTTTTGAGACACAGTCTTGCTCTGTCACCAAGGCTGGAGTGCAGTGGCGTGATCTCTGCTCACTGCAACCTCTGCCTCTCAGGTTCAAGCGATTTTCATACCTCAGCCTCCCCAGTAGCTGGGATTATAGGTGTGCACCACCACACCTAGCTAATTTTTGTATTTTTAGTAGAGGTGGGGTTTCACCATGTTGGCCAGGGTGGTCTCGAACTCCTGACCTCGAGTGATCCACCCACCTCGGCCTCCCAAAGTGCTGGGATTAAAGGCATGAGCCACTGCGCCTGGCCAGTTCCACATTGTTTTGATTACTATGGCATTATAGCAAGTTTGAAACTGGGTAATATAAGTATGTATGTATGTATGTATGTATGTATGTATTTATTTATTGAGACAGAGTCTTGCTCTGTTGTCCAGGCTGGAGTGCAGTGGCATCATCTTGGCTCGGCTCACTGAAACCTTCACCTCCCAGATTCAAGCGATTCTCCCACCTCAGCCTCCCGAGTAGCTTGGATTACGGGCATCTGCCACCATGCCCGGCTGATTTTTGTATTTTTAGTAGAGATGGGGTTTCACCGTGTTGGCCAGGCTGGTCTCAATTCAAACTCCTGACCTCAGGTGATCCACCCACCTTGCCCCCCGCAAAGTGCTGGGATTAAGGCATGAGCCACCACGCCTGGCCTGGGTGGTGTAAGTCTTTTAACTTTTTTTTTCTTCTTCTTTTTTTAAATTATTTTCACTGTTCTGGGCCCTTTGCATTTCTGTATGAATTTTAGGATCAGCTTGTCAATTTTTACAAAATAAAAAAAACCTTCTGGGATTCTGACAGGTATTGCATTGAGTATGAAATCATTTTCTGATGCATAAATTTTGCCATCTGTTGATGAGCATCTGGCTCTGTTCTTTTTTCACTACATGGACAATGTCACTGTGAGCACGTTTGGTCACGTCTGCTGGTGCCCATGTAAAGCTTTTCTCTAGATAAGAGCCTATACCTAAGAGTAGAACTGCTCTGTGCCTCTTCAGCTTTTCCAGATAATGCTAAGTTATTTTCCATAGTAGCTGTGCCAGCATACGCTTGTAGTAGTATGTGGGCGTGTGAGAGTCTGTGCTATTCAACATTCTACCACCATTTGGTATGAGCAGATTTTCTATTTTAATTTTTCCAGTCATATTTTCTTGTGGTTTTAATTTGCAGTTCCTCGATTACTAATAAAAATGAGCATCTTTTCACATATTTATAGGCCTTTGGGGTTTCCTTTTCTGTAAAATGACCTTTGCTGATTTCTTTTGCCCATTTTTCCATTTTGTTATCTGTGTTTTTCGTACTGAGTTTTGCAATTTTTAAGATGTATTCTGGATAGTAATGGTCTACTTCTTTCCTTCCTACTCAGGTCATCTTTGAATGTATGCATTTGTTGTGGCTATTCAAATTTTTTTAACCTTTTTTCTGAGACAGATTCTTGCTCTGTCTTCCAGACTGGAGTGCAGTGGGGCGGTCTCGGCTCACTGCAACTTCTGCTTCCCTCGCTCAAGTGATTCTCCCACCTCAGCCTCCTGAGTAGTTAGGGCTACAGGCACACACCACCATGCCTGGATAATTTTTGTATTTTTTGTAGAAACTGGGGTCTCACTACATTGCCCAAGCTGGTCTTAAACTCCTGGGCCCAGGCGATCTTCCTGCCTCAGCCTCCCAAAGTGCTGGGATTACAGGCATGAGCCACCATGCCCAGCTGGGATTTGTATTGTTAACACATACCTGGGTTACCTGATTCTTATCAGACAAGTTTAGGAAGCGGCACCAAAGCTTTAAAAACTGTGGCATCTTCAAAACAGTAATTTAAAAAGTAACTTCAATTTATAAGATCATTATAGCTTTAACTTTGGATTAAAAACAAAATCTTATTCCTGTTGTCCTTTATAAAATATATGTTCTATGAAACCAGCTTGGGAGAAAATCAATGCACAGATGTTTGGGAAGCCCCAGCTGTGTTTAATTTGAAATCCTCTGTTTAAATTCTCTCTCTCTCACCTCACCAGTGGGCAGTAACTCATCTCTGAGAGACTGTCCAAGCCCAGCTCTGGGTAGAACTCAGAGATGTCACATCCCTAGGAACCGAGAACTGTGTATTGTAAACAGTCTCTGAGATTTGGAGTTGTTAGCTTTTTCCAGCCTTGAAATCTCATGGGGGCAGCTGTTTAAGTTGGAACTCTCACAAAGGGCATATGAAAATCGCAGAGCGAGGTGTCAGGAAATGGAATTCCACATACATCCAGTTGCCACGTTTGGTGTCAGCACTATTGTTTTTACAGCTTACATTCCCGCCCCGCCCCCCCCCCCCCCCCCACAAATAACATTTGGGCTGTAAGGGGATGTTTCGCAAATCAGACACGTTGTTTACTTTTAGGCCTGTAATGCTATGGAGAAACTTGGTGACTCTAACAATTTAGATGTTGGGTAACAACACCAAACTGAAAACACATGTCAACCTATCTCTTGACATGGTGAACGTTCTCACCATTCTCTGCATATTGGAATTGCATATTAAATAATCCTTTCTAAATGTCTGAACATCTTTTTTTTAATTTTTAAATGACATTTTTCTTTCTGAGGGTCAACCATTGAGGTGATGAAGTGTGGCAGTTATTTAATTCCTTATGCTGACTTTTGAATTTGTAAAGTCTTCAGGGCATGGCATTAAATTTAGTTCTTCAAAGTAGAAAGAGCTTTTCTGTTTCTGATGATAAAAGATAATCAAAGGTGTTTGGGGCCACATTGTGTGACTGCGGTCTTCCATTAAAAGTCCTGAACGCTAAATAGCAGACGAGTACTCAAAAAAAGAGTTCTGAACATGTTGGCCGGGTGCAGTGGCTCATACCTGTATTTCCAGCACTTTGGGAGGCTGAGGTGGGAGGATTGCTTGAGGTCAGGAGTTCAAGACCAGCCTGAGCAACATAGTGAGAACCTGCCTCTACATAAAATTAAAGAAAAAAAATTAGCCAACCATGGTGGTACATACCTGTAGTCCCAGCTACTCGGGAGGCTGAGGCAGGAGGATTGCTTGAGCCCAGGAGTTCATTGCTGCAGTAAGCTATGATTGCACCAATGCACTCCAGCCCGAGCGACAGAGCAAGACCTTATCTCTAATAAAATAATAATAAAATTTAAAAAAATTAAATAGTCCTGAACATGGCTGTGACCCTTTGGCATGAATGAGAATGTAGAATTCAGCAATTCCCCGCAAAGCTGAAATGTTTTCAGCATTGAAGGTCATATTTCCAGAGTAACATGTATTCACTGAAGCTTATGTTCCTTTTGGGGGGAATTTGGGACTGAGTATAAATAATCAGTGTGAGTTTATGAAGCCTTGGGGATTTACTTATGGGGTCATTTCTTAGAAAAGAATGTTTAAGGATGCTGATCACCCTGAAATCAACAGAAGAAGCCAGTCTGCAAAGCAATTGAACAAAGATGGGGCCACAGATGAGGACTGTGATGAGAGAGATGTCATTCACTTCTCTCAGTGATTTTGAGTGCTTCCTGGTTCAGTATACAAGCAGGATCCTTTTGGATAAGGCTTTCCTGAAGAAGGTGATAGTGTATTTTCTTAAGAGACTGTTATGGGCCGGGTGCGGTGGCTCACGCCTGTAATTCCAGCACTTTGGGAGGCTGAGGTGGGAGGATCACTTGAGGTTGGGAGTTTAAGGCCAACCTGGGCAACATAGCGAGACCCCATCTCTACAAAAAAAAAAAAGGAAGGGAAAACAAAGAAGAGGTTCTGTTGTAAGCAGAGTCCGGCTCTCTCTGTGAAAAGCACAGTGGTTTAGCTTGTCATTGTATGCTCAGCACCTCGCACAGGCCTTGGCACATAGTAAGTATCTCAACTTGTATATAGAAACCATTAATTTTTCAGATCTGGAGTGTCCTACCCATACCAGACATGCCAGAGTGAATTTTCTCTTTTTTTCTCTTTTTTTAGTGTTCAAAGCTTCTTTCAGACACCAGTGTTATTCAGTTCTACCCAAGCAAATTTGTCCTTATCACCGACATACTTGATACATTTGGTAAGTACCTGTCATATGCATCTTAGATCTAGGAAATGTGTTCGTTTTGTCAAGAATTGGGTGGTAGAGTTACTGTAAATTAGGTTCTGCTGTGGTTTAAGTTATTAAGTAAGTCATGGGAGAGATCAAACCGTTCCCCCCCACGCCCATTAATAAGGGCGCTATTTTTGAAACATTCTAAAATTTCTAAAATTTTATTTTTTCTTCTTTTTTTTTTTGAGTCAGGGTCTTGCTCTGTTATCCAGACTGGAGGGCAGTGGCGCAGTCATGGCTCACTGCAGCCTCAAACCCCTGGGCTCAAGCCGTCTTCCTGCCTCAGCCTCCTGAGTAGCTGGGGCTACAGGCTCATGCCACCGTGCCCAGCTAAGTTTTTTTTTTTTTTTTTGGTAGAGACAGAGTCTCGCAGTGTTGCCCAGGCTGCTCTCAAACTCCTAGCCTCAAGTGATCCTCCTGCCTTAGCCTCCCAAAGTGCTGGAATTACAGGCATGAGCCACCATGCCTGGCCTGTTTTTCCTAATCTTGTGATAGACTAGTAAAGTGAATGAGTGAAGCAGGGCAGGCTGGGGGCACTAAGCAGCATGGGTCCCTTGCCGTCTCACAGGCACCTGAAACTGAACTTGGCATCTGTTCCCAGCCCTTTCTCTTTTCCCACTGAGTTTCTGTCTCCAGGAATGGCACCACCATGTACCCAGTTGCCTGAGCTGGGAATCTGAGCATCTTCCCCCACATGCCCATGTCCAGTCACCAGATTCTTCGGTTCAGCCTCCTAAAGCTCTCCCCAGCATGTCTATTTTTTTCTTTCTTCACTGTTAAAATTTTTTTTTTTTTTTTTGGAGATAAAGTCTCTGTCACTCAGGCTAGAGTACAGTGGCGTGATGTTGGCTCACTGCAACCTCTGCCTCCGGGGTTCAAGTGATTCTCCTCCCTCAGCCTCACCAGTAGCTGGGATTACAGGCACGCACCACCACGCCTAGCTAGTTTTTGTATTTTTAGTAGAGATGGGATTTCACCATGTTGGCTAGGCTGGTCTCAAACTCCTGACCTCAAGTGATCTGCCCTCCTCGGCCTCCCTAAGTGCTAGGATGACAGGCATGAGCCACTGTGCCCAGCCTCACTGTTAAAATTTTAATCCTAGCCACAGTCCTCTCCCACCTGGATAGCTTCCTGCATCACTGTGGCTGCCCCTAGTCCCACACACCACCTCACAGGTAGAGAGACCTTTTGGAGCCAGGTAGAAAGGTTTAGACTGAAGAGAATAACCTGGAGGAGCAGGAGGCCCCTGTGCTGCTTGGCAGTGGTTGGTTAGGCCAGAACATCGTGCCATTAGCAGTTTGCTCAAACCATGCAGCCCTCTAAGCTGTATATGATGTGCCCCACAGCAAGGCACCCCACCAGAACCAGGAAATAGGGGCGCCTTCTGAGAGCTGAACACGTGGAAGATCAGAACAGAGACATTCACTGTCTTACAGGGACTAATGGGCTCCCAACCCAGCAAATCTTATCTGTAAACCCATCGAAAGATACAATGTGTCAGAAAGCAGACTATCAATCTGAGAGACTCATTCATTTCTGTGCATCCCAGTCCTGTCCAAGAGACCGGAGGCCTGAGTGCGCTAGCTAAAACAAGTGACAAGAAAGCTAACTAACCTTGAAAAAGTGGGTCTTTATTGGCTTATGCTGAAAAGTCCAGGGGTAGTTTGGCTTCAGGTGCAGCTGGATCCAGGAACCCAAACAGTGTCATTAAGACCTTGCCCTTGGGCCGGGCATGGTGGCTCATCACACTTGTAATCCCAACACTTTGGGAGGCCGAGGTGGGTGGATCATCTGCAGTCAGGAGTTCAAGACCAGCCTGGCCAACATGGTGAAACCCCGTCTCTACTAAAAATACAAAAATTAGCTGGGTGTTGTGGTGCACACCTGTAGTCCCAGCTACTTGGGAGGCTGAGGCAGGAGAATTGTTTGAACCCAGGAGGTGGAGATTGCAGTGGGCCAAGATCACGCCACTGCACTCCAGCCTGGGCGACAGGGCGAGACTCCGTCTCCAAAAAAAAAAAAGAAAAGAGAAAAAAAAAGACCTTGCCCTTGGTTGGGTGCATTCTCGAGCTTCACAAGCTGTCCTCAGCTTCTGCTAGCTTTATTGCTAGTGGTCCCAGGGCATGGAAAGAGCTACTTTCTCCAAGCATTCCCACAGAAGTTTCAGAATCCCATCTTATTGGCCTGGCTTGGATCACATGTCAGTCCCTGAGCCAGTTGTGTTATCTGGGGGATGAAATGCACTGATTATCCAGGCCTGGGTCACCCCAAAACTAAAAGAGTGATACAGTTAGCAGAAGAAAGGGGAGTGGATGCTACCTGGGCAAAAAGAAGAGATGTCCCAGCTGACAGATGAGCCCTGATGGGTTCAGATGGCCCGGAGAGGTGGTATCAGGCTCTCTGCAGGCCACTAGGGAGGTGTCAGCAAACAGAAGGGATAAAAATCCTTGCCTTGGCTAGGCACAGTGGCTCACGCCTATAATCCTACCACTTTTGGAGGCTGAGGTGGTTGGATCACTTCAGGTCAGGAGTGCGAGACCAGACTGGCTAACATGGTGAAACCCCATCTCTACTAAAAATATAAAAATTAGCCAGGCTTGGTGGCAGGCACCTGTAATTCCAGCTACTTGGGAGGATGAAGCAGGAGAATCGCTTGAACCCGGGAGGTGGAAGTTGCAGCGAGCTGAGATCGCGCTGCTGCACTCCAGCCTGTGCCACAGAGCTGAGATTTCGTCTCAAAAAAAAAAAAAAAAAAAAAAAAAAAGAAGAGAAAAAAAATCCTCGCCTTTGTGGTGCTTATGTTTCCAAAAAAGAGAATTTACAAAACAATTAAGTCAACCCAATTGTATGTTAGACAATGATCCATGCTATGGAGAAAACCAGAGTGGGGTGAGGGGGTGAAGAGGAATGGAGGGAATTAGGTGAGGGGGTAGGGGTGCAAGTTTAAGTAAGGTGCTCAGAGGAAGCCTCGTTGAGAGGTTACCTGAGCAGGTGCTTGAAGGCGGTGAGAGGGGAGAGGTGAGCCCTCTGGGTCTGTGGGGTGGAGGCCAGGGGCAGAAGAGGCCAAGGAACAGCTTGTGCGGAGATCCTGGGGTGGGAGCATTGGGAGCATGCCAGGCTGGCCTGAGAACCAAGGAGGCCAAGAGAGAGGCGATGAGATGAGCCCGGGAGAGGGGCAGAAACTGACATGGTCAGAGATCATGGTGGCCTTGGGGGCCACTGGGAGGACTTGGGCTTTGACTCTGACTCTGAGGACAGGAGGGGCCACCAGAGGGTGTTGAGCAGAGGAGGGAGGTGATCCCACGTGGGATTTAACAGGCTCCGTGTTGAGACTAGACTGTAGGGCGGGGGTAGAGCCCGGAGCCTGTGGCAGCACTTGCGGTGAGAGGCAGGGGTGGCTTGGCCCCGGGAGGCGGTGGAGATGGTGAGGAGAGACCCAGGATGGATGAGGGCTTTAGGTTCTCAGGTTAGATGTCAAATCATACACTGCTGGTCCTTGACGTGTCCATGCACACAGCTTACCTTCGGCGAGTGTGAGGCCCTCATTGGTGGGGAGAGGCTGGTGGCTGTGTCTGGCTCCCCTGGCAGTCTCATTCCTCCCGTGAATTAACCTCTTGGCCGTCTGGTTCCCTCGCCCGCCTCTCCTAAGTTTCTTTTGTATGAGTCAGCTTTCCTGAGCAAGATTAACTCTGAGACACTGATTAGCTCTATCCTGCAAGCCTGGCCAGACCCAGACAGCTCACTCACCTTGCAAGAACTCTGGGCAGCCACTCTGCCAGCTCCTGCCAGCAGCACTCCAGCCCCGTCCTGTACTCCCCGGGCTGTAGTGCAGATGCTGCTGTCCTTGTTGCGTCCCAGAAAACAGCTGGGCTGGGAGTTGGGAACAGCAGTGGTAAACCTTCAACAGATGATGACCTTGGACAGACTGTTTAGGTGCTTTATAGATATTAAGTCCCGGCCAGGCGCAGTGGTTCATGCCTGTAATCCCAGCACTTTGGGAGACCAAGGTGGGTGGACCACAAGGTCAGGAGTTCAAGACCAGCCTGGCCAATATGGTGAAACCTCGTCTCTACTAAAAATACAAAAATTAGCCGGGCATGGTGGTGGGCACCTGTAGTCCCAGCTACTCGGGAAGCTGAGGCAGGAGAAAAAAAAAGATATTAAGTCCCATAATCTGCATAACAGCCCTATGAGATGGGTCTGGTTGTTGTCCCCATTTTATAGATGAGGAACCTGAGGCTTGGAGAAGGAAAGTAGCTTGCCCAGGGTCACCATCATAGTGAATTGCAGAGCTGAGGCTCAACTAGCTCTCTGCAGTCAAAGCACCTACTTTATTTCTCTTTATACATTGCTTATGGGGGAATGCATATACCATTTTTTTTTTTGAGACAGGGTCTCACTTCATTGCCCAGGCCACAGTGCAATGGGGTGATCATGGCTCACTGCAGCCTTGATCTCCTTGACCCAAAGGATCCTCTTGTCTCAGTCTCCCAAGTAACTGGGACCACAGGTGTGTGCCACCATGCCCAGCGAATTTTTTTTTTTTTTTTAGCAATGGGATCTCACTGTGTGGCCCAAGCTGGTCTCAAACTCCTGGAGTCAAGCCATCCTCCCACCTTGGCCTCCCAAAGTGCTGGGATTATAGGCATGAGTCACTGCACCTGGCCTAAATGCATGTACATTTAACCCAACAGTTTCACCTCTGGGAATCTATCCCACCTGTAATAGCAAACTATAAGAAGCAACTCAAGTGGCCATCAATAGGAGCTAGCTCAATAAATTATGGTGTGTCTGTATAGTGGAGTACTAGTGGCTCTGTGAAATGAAAAGGCTGGGCATGGTGGCTCACACTTGTAATCCCAGCACTTTGGGAGGCCAAGGCGGGCAGATCACTTTGAGCTTAGGAATTCGAGACCAGCCTGGGCAACATGGTGAAACCCGTCTTTACTAAAAATACAAAAATTAGCTGTGCGAGGTGGTACGCGCCTGTAATCCCAGCTACTCGGGAGGCTTAGGTGGGGGAATTGCTTGAACCCAGGAGGCAGAGGTTGCAGTGAACTGAGATCAAGCCACTGCACTCCATTCTGGGTGATAAAGTGAGACTCTATCTCAGAAAAACAATCAAACCAACAACAACAACAACAAAACAACAACAAAGAAGGGAAGGAAAGGGCTGGGCATGGTGACTCACACCTGTAATCCCATAATCCCAGCACTTTGGGAGGCTGAGGCAGGAGGATAACTTGAGTCCAGGAGTTCAAGACCATCCTGGGCAGCATAGCAAAACCCCATCTCTACAAAACATTTAAAAAAAATAGCTAGGTTTGGTGGTACAAGCCTATAGTCCCAGCTACTTAGGAGGCAGAGGCAGGCAGATTCCTTGAGCCCAAGAAGTTTGAGACTGCAGTGAGCTATGATGGTACCACTGCACCCTAGCAAAAGTAAGACCCTGTCTCAAAAAGAAGAAAAAAAAAAAAAGAAAGGAGGAAAATGTAGACTACATGTTGGTATTCACTTGTGTCTCCCTAAGGAGACATTAAAATGATAGCCAAGAAACCGATAGAAATGGTTTCTCTCAGAGGGTGTGCAGGGCAGTGAGGTGGATGGGATGGGCCAGGAGAGAAACTGCGCTCGGTACCTTCTGCAGCTTTTTTGAATTTTGAACCAAGGGAATGTTTTACCTATTCAAAACCAAACATTCACACAGAGTAGCTGCTTTCAGCACTTCCCAAGGTCCCTGTCCTTCCTCTCCACTTCAGAATGGTGTTCCCACGGTGCTGTTGTTTAAGTCTATTGTGAATAATATTCCTCAGGACTGTTGAGGCAGCCTGCATGGACAGATGCTCAAAGAGTCTTTATTAAGGTTTGGGGCTAATGAGTGTTCACTTTATAAAAAAGGAGTGAAACCCTGACTTGCTTGGTGGAAATGTGGAGTCCTGAGCTCCATTTTTCTGCACATGGTCATTACTCTGCTCTAAAAGAAGATGCATGACAGTATAGGGACAGGTGTTTCATGGTTGTTGACATCATTGACAAGAGGGTCAGAGCATCTTGCTGTGCCAGGGATGCAGGCTAAGGCCCCAGCATCCACAGAGACTGGCATGCACAGTGGGAAGACGTGTGCCTGGTTTCTGCTGGGATTTCACTGGAGGCATTGGGTACAGAGGTGGGCTTCTGGCTTCAGTGCCTGCGTCTCCTGTTTCAGGGTTGTGTGAACTTGAGCCTCAGTTTCTCCACCTGTAGAATGGGGCTATCGTAGACCCTGCCTCTAAGGGTTTCTGGAGAGGATTAAATGAGAGGATTCATAGGAAGTATAATGTCTTTCCTTTTCTAAGAGCTTGCTGGCAGGATTAAAGTAAATGACCTTGAATAGTGCTTGGCACAAAGTAAGTGCTCAGAAAATGCTAGCTGTTACCACTGTTATTATTTATCTCTTTTAGTGTCTTTGATTTGTAAGAAAGCAAATCAAGACAGGAAATAAATCTAGGATCAAGTGTTATTTCTCAAAATAGTTGTCTACTAGCTTAATAGACAAATCACTTTTTTCAGTAAAACTAATTTTGTAGTTAAAAGATCCTTAAAATATGAAAGTGAGGCCCAGTACAGTGGCTCATATCTGTAATCCCAGCACTTTGGGAAGCCAGTGCAGAAGGATTGCTTGAGCCCAGGAGTTCAAGACCAGCCTGAGCAATATGGTGAGACCTCGTCTCTACGAAAAATTTAAAAGTTAGCCAGGCAAGGTGGTGTGCGCCTGTGGTCCCAGCTACTCAGGAGGCAGAGGTGGGAGGAGCCCCTGAGCCCAGGAAGTTGAGGCTGCAGTGAGCTGTGATTGCTCCACTGCACTCCAGCCTGGGTGACAGAGCAAGATTCTGTCTCTTAAAAAAAAAAAAGTGAAAAAGAATGTGGAGATGAAATTTTTTTTAAAAAAAAGAAAGCTAGTTTTAGAGGGATGGCAACTTTCGTGTAGGAAATAAAGGTGTTTTGTGCTGGGTTCATTCTGTGCACCATGGGAGGTGAGAAGTTATGCAGCCACCTAGTGTGGTTTGCTGTGTGATGGTCCGAGGTAACATTGCATGCATCCCTAATGCCAGGGTTCTGGGGTCATCACAAGGGAGGCCTCTCTCTACACGAGGTGTGGCGCTATAGGGAACCCAGAGCCGCTGATAAGGAAAGCTCGTTCTGCCAGGAGGAAAAAGGCAGGTGGCTTTGAGAACTGGGGCTTGTTCTCTAAGGCCTTCCAGGGGCTTCTAAATGGAGCCAGTGGTTTGGAGCAGTGCTTCTCATACTCAGCTGCACATTGAAATCACCTGGGCAGCTTTACAAACACCCACAAAGTCCCAGCTGCATCCAGACCATTTAGAAGAGGACCTCTGAGGATGGACACAGACATCCACATATTTTCAATAGTCCCAGGTGCTTGGAGTCTGCAGCCCAGTTGGAGAAGCACTGGCTCAGAGGGAAAAGGGAAGTTTGTTGCTATTTCTGTAGATTCCAGAGGCAAGGCAAGTTTTAGCTCAGAGACCCACTGGTGTCTGCCTAAATCAGTGGTTCTCACATTTCAGCATGTATAAGGATTTCCCAGCAAGGTTATTCAGAAATCCATATTCCTAGTCCTCATCCTCCAAAATACTTTTTTTTTTTTTTTAAAGACAGTGTCTCACTCTGTTGCCCCAGGCTGGAGTGCAGCGGCACAATCATAGCTTCTATCTCTGCCTCTCAAGTAGCTGGGACTACACGCGTGCACCACCACGCCTGGCTATAAAATATTCTTTTCCAGTAGCTCTAAGGTGGGCACCAGGAATCTGCATTTTCAACAAGTGCCTTCAGGAAATTTTAATGTAGGTGGTCCAAGGCCAGGTGTGGTGGCTCACACCTATAATCCCAGCACTCTGGGAGGCTAAGGCAAGCAGATCACTTGAGCCCAGGAGTTCAAGACCTGCTTGGGCTGGGAATATAGGGAAATCCCATCTCTACAAAAAAATAATTAGCCAAGCATGGCAGCGCATACCTGTGGTCCCAGCTACATAGGAGGCTGAGGTGGAAGGATTGCTTGAACCCAGGAGGTGGAGGCCGTAGTGAGCTGTGATCACGCCACTGCACTGCAGCCTGGTGCCAGAGTGAGACCCTGTCTAAGTGAATGAAGGAATGAATGTAGATAGGAAGGTATTTAGGTAGGTGGCTCATACTAGGAGAAGCACCTGGGTGGAACCTCTTAGCTTGGCTGGCTTCCTTCACTTAATCCTGCCTGATCCCACGTTCTTTAACCTGAAATGATCTTTGTATTTTCCTGTCTCTTTTTCCATGTATGGACAAGCTGTGTTGTTCTTTATTGCCCTGAATAAAGGGTTATGAAAAAAAAAAAAAAATCTCATAGAGGGAAATACTTTCACATTGAAGGTGACTTAGGAGAGCTTAGAAAATGAATAAGGACTCTAATTTTTTACTTCCACATATTGATAACATTTTGAAAATACATGCACAGAATAAATAAAACTTTTGATACCAGTTTAGGGGTCCAGGCTGCCTACCTGTTGTGTAGAGTTTTATTGGAACGCAGCCACATCAATTTGTTTGCACATTGTGGCCACTTTTATGCTACAGTGGCAAAGATGAGTCGTCAGGAAAGTGACCCATGACCTACAAAACCTCTAGTATGTTCATCCATCCAACAAATATTGAGTACCCCCTGTGTGCCAGGCACTGATCAGTACTAGGAATATGTCAGTGAACAAAACAAGCACAAATCTCTGCCTTTGTGGAGCTTGCATTCTAGTTGAATCTCAAATTCTGAGGCTTCTAGGGACCAGGCAGGTCACATAAAAGAGTGAAAAGCACGCTGATGATGAGAGACAGTAGGGGGTGGTTGAGACTGGCAAACTGGTTAGTGTATATGCCATTTCAAGGGGCAGCTACTAATTTGCTCTAGCTGTGTTATCCTATAGAGATATCGCCACATTTTTGACATATTTTATGTGAAGAAGGAGAAAATATGGCATGTGAGTTCTCCCAAGTTGTAGAGTTTGTTTTAGTTTTTGTGTTTGAGACAGGGTCTTGCTCTCTCACCCAGGCTGGAGGGCAGTGGGTGATCATGGCTCACCGCAGCCTTGAACTCCTGGGCTCAAGCAATCCTCCCACCTCAGCCTCCCAAGTAGCTGAAACTACAGGCGTGCACTGCCATGCCTGGCTAATTTTTAAATTTTTTGTACATACCCTGTCTCACAGTGTTGCCCAGGCTGCTCTTGAACTCCTGGGCTCAAGCAGTCTTCCTGCCTCGGCTTCCCAAAGTGCTAGGATTACAGGTGTGAGCCACTATGCCCAGCCTCTTCCAGTTTTTACGTGTTGGTAACCAATTCAAAAAATGTTAAAACACTTTGTGGGCTGTTGTGTGTTGTGGAGTGGCCATGCACAACTGGTCACAGGCTGGATTCAGCCCGTGGGCTGCCTGTTTTCACCTCTGGCCTAGCATGGAGTGTGGACCATCGTCTGAGTGGATGGAGATACTTGAGACTCCTTTAGATTCCAAAGGGTAAAACGATCACTTTTCTGCCTTTCAAAGAAAGTAAAAGTCTACTGGAAAAACTAAAAACAAAACAAAAAAAATGTGGCTTAAAATCTGTCCCACCAGGTGGCAGCATACCATCACAAGTTAAAGCCTGTCTGGGCGATGATAGCTCTGGGTCCCTAATTAACAAACATTTATTTACTGTTTGCTCCTGAAGAGTGTGATACTAACACCATCTGTCCTTTTCCTCCCAGGAAAGCTCGTGTACGAGCGCATCTTTTCCATGTGTGTGGATAGCCGCAGCGTCTTACCAGGTAATGTCGCAGCTGTTCCTGGGGTGTCATTCTGCCCTGGAGTCAGGACTAGAAGGCTTTTATTGAGTCAGGATTCATTGAAGCTTGATAAAGGTTTTAATTTTGGGTGTGTTAAAGTAAAAGAAACACCTTTGAAGATTTCTGATCACCTCAGTCTTCTAAAAACATTAGAAGGTTTCTAAATGGCCCGTGTAGGAACTCAGGCAAGTCATTTGAATCTGCAAAGGCCTCACAGTTAGATTCAGCCAAACTTTCACACGAACATATTTTCCTCTGCTGCTTGACTTTAATATTTTTCCTATGTATCGTTCCCTCCTAAGAAGCAACTTGCTTGGAAAAAAAAATCAAAAACGACTTTATGCATATTAAAGAATGATGTCAAATAGATCAATAGTAATTGATGCTTTGAATTCACAATCTATACCCAAATGATTTTGCATTAAATTGACTGTCAATCAAGTTTAAATTCCCAGGAGGTTATAATGGGACAAGTGGATGATGAATTTCTTTTGTCGTATAAATGGTAAGAATGATGTGTCTGGCAATGCAGGACTCTCAGCTGCAGCATCCTTTGCCTTTATTCCTCTTTTTAACTTCCGAGCACTGCTATGAGGAAACGTTCTCATCCGTCCAAGCTAGAGCAACCAGCTTGCTCCATTGCCGCTCCACTTCCCTCCGCTCCTGCAGTGGGGCTTCCCAGGAGGTGAATAGAAAGTGTTTGTGACAGTAACCTATAACCTGACCTATATTCTTCCTTCTTTCCTCTTTCCTTTATTCCTCCCTCTCTCTCCTCCTCTCTCTTCCTCTCCCTCCTCCTCTCCCACCCTCTCCTTTTCTCTCTCCTTCTGCTTCCTATCTGTCCATCAATCGATCAATTTATCTTTATTTAATTTTTTTGAGATGGACTCTTGCTCTGTCACCCAGGCTGCAGGGCAGTGGCACAATCTTGGCTCGCTGCAGCCTTCGCCTCCCGGATTCAAGCGATTCTCCTGCTTCACCCTCCTCAGTAGCTGGGACTACTGGTGCCTGCCACCACACCTGGCTAATTTTTGTATTTTTAGTAGAGACAGGGTTTGTACCATGTTGGCCAGGCTGGTCTCAAACTCCTGACCTCAAGTGATTCATCCGCCTCGGCCTCCCAAAGTGCTGGGATTATAGGCATGAGCAACCGTGCCCGTCCCTTTTTTTTTTTTCTATTTAATATTTTTACTTTTTCATCTTTGTAGACACGGGGTCTCCCTATGTTGCCCAAGCTGCTCTCAAACTTCTGGGCCCAAGCAGTCCTCCCACCTCAGCCTCCCAAAGTGCTGGGATTATAGGCATGAGCCACTGTGCTTGGCCTGTCTTTTTAATACTATTTAATGTGCACATTTGTCAGAAAGAAAGAGACAGAACTCAACAGGCTTTTAGGATTTTTAGCTCTTGAAGGCTTTTTAGGTCTTGAAGTGCTTTTAGGACCCATCTTGTTTCATCAGAGATGGGCAGACCCAGTACGGAAGAGTCTTGCCCAGGGCCCTGCCACCAGCTACTGAGAGCCTTGCTCTTTCTTAGTGCTGCATCTACATTGTCCAGTACAGCAGCCACTGGCCACGTGTTGCTCTTGAGCACTTGAGATGTGGCCAGTCCAAATTGAGATGTGACGTAACTATTAAAAAAGACACCGGATTTCAAAGAGTCAGTACAAGTAAAAGACGGTAAAGTAGCTCACTAATAGTGTTTATGTTGATTACATGTTGAAACGGTATTCTGGATGAATCGGGTAAAGTACATGATTAAAATTAATTTCCCCAGTTTTTGACCTTTTTAATGTGGCTCATGTGGTTTTTCTTTGGGACCCTCCACGCCACTGCGTCACACCTGTGACGATGTTTTTTCAGCAGCTCCTCCTATGTTCTGGCCATCTCAGGGTTGGAGGCAGTGATCTGGGAGAGGCAGGCAGAGGCCAGCCCAAGTGGAAAGGAAAGGCCTTCTCCGCTGGCTTGAGGATTTGGGAAATCTGAATTGTTTATTTATTTATTTATTTTTGAGATGGAGTTTCACTCTTGTTGCCCAGGCTGGAGGGCAATGACGCAATCTCAGCTCACTGCAACCTCCGCCTCCTGGGTTCAAGCGATTCTCCTGCCTCAGCCTCCCAAGTAGCTGGGATTACAGGTGTGCACCACCACACCCAGCTAATTTTTGTATTTTTAGTAGAGATGGGGTTTCACCATGTTGGCCAGGCTGGTCTTCAACTCCTGACCTCAGGTGATCCACCCACCTTGGCCTCCCAAAGTGCTGGTATTACAGGCATGAGCCACCACGCCCGGCCGAATCCATTTATTTAATATACACTTGCCAGCATGTAGCATGCTATACCATTGGCAGCAAACTTGAGCCAACAGGTGGAACTGAACCAAAATAGGTTTTTTTTTTTTTTTGGCAACAACAGCATTTAAAAAAAAATGACTTTTGATACAGGCTCTAGTTCTTCCTATTGTTATATACCCAACCTCTTAAAAATTTTCATATTTACCTGCCTGGCCCCCAGAAGCATTTGAATTTGCCTCTACTGCAATAATCTTCCTTTCTCCCAGTCTTCAGTGACTATACAAACAACATTTTAGGGCCAATTAAGGAAAAATTACTAATAACTAACTCCTTGCCTAAACTTAAAAGTTCAAAACAACAGATCAGTCCTCGTTTAGATACATTAATTATAGCACTTTTATCACTAAAATTCTTCCCTCTCCAAATAACTATTTTTGATCTTGAGCAAAGCAAATGATTTGGTTTTTTTTTCTTTAAATGATATCATTGTTTGTTTTCCTTTTAGCTAAAATCTTCATCTGCTTGTGTTAGCTCCAGTTCCAAGAACCTGAAAAGAACAGTAGATTATGTTTTTCAAAGTTGTTGGTGATCTGAGGAATGACTCTTAAGTATAATTATCATGAAAGCTTTAGAAATCTCCTGTGCAGAATTCTGCCCAAAGAGATTATGTGTGAAGAGAAATTTGGTGGCATTTGTACTCATTCTTTCCATTTAAATCAAGTTCTGTTGGGTGAATTTCATACTTGAGCCCTTTGCCTTCAGGAATTTTAACTAAGGTATAGCTCTTCGGAGTTGAGAAAGATACAGTGTCTTTTGGGTTCATGAAAATCACACACTATTAGATGTGGTCATTTTTTCCCAACAGTTCTTAATCCAGCTTATGCATAAAGAGACCATCGACTCTGAGAAGTCAAATCATTTTATTTCCAGCTTGGGAGAGATAATTTGGGTTTATTGTATTATGGTTCCCATCACCATCTTCTCAGCATTCCCATCTTCAGTTTTCCCCTGTGGCTGATGTGGGCCACATCGGGATAAGCAGTGGCCTTAACTGACCTGGCCTTTCCAGCACATGCTAACTAAGATGGTGCCAATCCCTATAACACTGTTACGTAAAGAGACCTCTCGCTGCTAGGGTAGAGACTTGGCAAATAAATGAAAGAACTAGACTCATTGGTCTCCTGCCTTCTCTTAAAATACCCACAGAAGTTCAGGTTTGAAAAAAAGCAGCACCATAAAAGAAAAATAAGTGGGAGCTAGAAAAAAAATCTCTGTTCTTTGTTATATTGAAGTGTCTTCTGAATTAATTTCCAGATTTTGAAGGAGTCCCCATGTAGCAGCCCAAGTGCTGAAGTCTAAACTGTGTCATGTCATTGCCATTCCTGTGCCCAGAACCCTTCAGGGGGTTTCCATTATGTTTAGAAAAACTCTCAAACTCCTCACCAAGGCTTCAGCCCTGTATGAACTGGCTTGTCATGCTGGCTGCTCCCCTTTCTGCTCAGCAAATTGGCTTGCTTTTTGTTCTTTGACCATAGTGAGGTTATACCTACCTCAGGGCCTTGCACTTGCTGTTTTCTTTCCCTGGAATATGTTTCTTCCACATCTAGGCATGGCTGGCTCCCTTTCGTAGTTCAGGGCTCAGCTCAAATGCTGCCTCTGTGGGAGCCTTCTCTGACCACTACATCTAATGAGCCCCTTCCCCTAAATCACACTCAAGTCACTCTTTATTCCAATACCTAGTTTAGTATCTTTAATAGTACTTACTGCTGTTAGATATTATCTTATTTGTTTGCCTGCTTATTCTCTTTCCTGTTTAGCATTTGTCTCACCCCACTGGAATGTAAGTTTCATGAAGATAGGATCTACCTTGTGCACTGTTATCTCCCCAAAGCCTGGAACACCACCTTTAGTTGGCCCTTAAGGCATTTGTGTTGAGCACATGAAGTAAAGGAATATAATATTTAGTTTGCTGTAAGATTTTAAAGTCCCACGTAACATAATCCTTTTCCTAAATTATCTCTTGAGCTGGAAGGAAAGCCTAAAGATTCTGTATTGGTGTATGCAGATTGTCGTATAGCTTGTAGTCAATGCGTGTATGCAAGGCAGCCTGCCTTTAGCCTGATTTCCAACTCTTTCAGGCAACCTGAACCAGTTTGTTTTAGCCATTGCTGAATCTCAGTTCCTTCAGCTAGACAGTGAGAGATTTTGTAGATGACCTCAGAGACCTATTTTTGCTTTTGGATTTTAAGCCACAAGATTCAGTCATATGAAGGGAAATTAACACTGCTCTTCCCTCTCCCCAAAGAGAAGATTGACAAATGAATGTAAGAATAACTGCTATCTTTTCCTGTCTGGATCTCTTGAAAGTAGAAAAAAAAGTTACTTCATGTGTAGAGATCTAGGCTGGAAAGGGGAAAATGGTCATTTCCCATCCTTTTGAAAATGGTAAGCAAATAGTTCTCAAGTGAATGAAGCATGCCAGACATCCAAAAATAGAGTGAGGAGATTGCAATTTCAAAATATCTGCAGTGATTAGTGACTGTTCTCTGCTAGAGAAGTACCTAGAGGTTTATCTTTTTTTGCTGATTCTATGGGAATTTTGATCACCTTCATATACTACCAAATGACAGAATCAGGGATGAAAATGACTCATTGCAAAACAGGATGAAAGCCAACAAGCTAAGAATCATTTGCTATATTCTAAAGTAACTAACTTCTCCCTTTTAATTTATTTATTCATTTTTTAGAGAATAAATAAATAAGGTCTTGCTCTGTCTTACTCTGTCTCGCTCTGCCCAGGCTGGAGTGCAGTGGCTCAATCATAGCTCACTGCAGCCTCAAACTCCTGGGCTCTATTGATCCTGCCACCTCAGCCTTCCAAGTAGCTGGGGCTACAGGCATGAGCCACTGTGCCTGGCCAGCTTCTCCCTTTTTGAATTAATCCTAAAAGTATAAAACATCCAGTGGTGGGATGGAGCTCTAATCTTTGCTGAAATCATTTCCATGTGAGAGGTTAACAAAGGCCTTCATGGTGTTTGTAAGTTTTGTGTTTTTTCTTTCATTTCTCCATATTCTCTTCCATTCCTTAAGATGTATGTCAAGTCCAGAACTGTGAGAAATAAATTTCTGCTGTTTAAAAATATGTATGTCAAAATCAAGCTTGGGTACCAGTTCCAGAAAACTCAAAATAACAGTAATGAAGGTCAGGGCCGATGGGCCAGCTAGCCCCTGGTACCAAGGATCCTCACTTCTGTCTTGTTGCTCTCATGGTCAGTATGGCTGCAGAGGTTCCAGCTGTCATGTCTGCATTCCAGTCAGTGAGCAGAAAGAAGAAGTGAGGGAAGGCAAGCCCCTTTCCTTAAAGATACTTCTCAGAAGTTGCCCTTCTATTTATATATCCTGGGACCAGAACTTGACCCACGTGACCACACCTAGCTGCAAGGATGGCCCTGTGTCCTGCAGGAAAATGCGAGTTCTTTTATTAAAGAGGAAGAGAATAGCTAATGGAGTAAACTGGCAGTTTCACAAGATGACTCTCTTGGAGCCAGTCGTGAGCCGGCAACATAATTCTGGCTGGTTTCTCACCTCAGAGGCCTTGTTTTACCTTCCTCTGGCCCATTGTGATGTGTAGAGCAAAAGCTTAGATCACATTTCATGTTGCAGTCGCAGGTCCGTAAAGCATCTGGAATTCTCAACAATGTTGTCATAGTGACTGGTAGGTAACCAAGAACCTCTGGATTATATTAGAGGCAGTGGCTAAGAATGTCGGCCGCAGGGCCAGAGTGCCTGGGTTGAATTCTAACTCTTACATTTGCTTGCTGTGTGCCTTGGGTGAGTCACTACATTCCTCTGTGCCTTGGTCTCTGCATCTGTAAAATAAGATAATAAAACTACGTACCTCAGAGGGTTGCTATATGGGATCAGGTGAGCTGTCTGTAAAGCACTGCGAACGACACTTGGCACTTAGAAAGCCTGTGTCTGTGTAAACTATTGTTATCATCAGTTACTTCCTAATAGTGATATTTGGAAGGAAAGAAACAGGCTGAGTCACCCCCTTTTCTGCTCCAGGGTAATGTATTCCCATCCAGGGACTCACACAGATCCTGAGATTTAGGAGGGCTGATGGATCTTGTTTTTTGTATTACAGATCACTTTTCTCCAGAGAATGCAAATGACACGGCCAAGGAAACATGCCTAAATTGGTTTTTCAAGATTGCCTCCATCAGGGAACTCATTCCAAGATTGTATCCTTTTTTTTTTTTTTGGTCTGATGATTTTAAAGATAGGCTAAAAGAATTGTACTGTTAATAGAAGCCATGTGATGGGATGCCCTGACATTCTTATTGAAAGTTTGGTCCCGTTACGGTTGCTAGCCTGAAAACACATACAGGGCAAGCCACATTGTAGAAACCCTTGGACTCTTGCTCTTTCCAGTTTTTTGTCTTTTACTTTGAATACGATGCCATGTGTCAAGCATTTGTTTCCTTGAGGAACATTCCCACCTTAATTCTCTCAATTAAAATGCTTCATATTTGTGTTTTCTCTGATTCCAAGAACTTGAAAGAACAGGGTCAAGCTTTGCAGGGCAAATGCTACTATTGAAGAACAGATAATTTGACTTATACATAAATTCCATCTTAGTTACCTAAAGTTCTTTCTTTCCCCATAAAGCATTGATTAGAAATGCTCAAAACCCAGTTTATATTTCAGCATGCAACTATGAATCAACGTATAACATTTCCCACAATTTATTTCAAATAAGTATGAAACTTTGAAAACCATATGTAGAAACCATAAGCTACCTTAGTTCGCTGGATTGTTGAGGGCCACTGTGGTCCCCATCTCCTAAGACCCGCCTACTTCTATTCATGGATAGTTTAGTCTTTTCTCCATAGGGAGTAGACCTTCTGGAAAACATCTTCCTTAACAGGATGTTTTTGTAGTTACGTGGAGGCATCCATCCTGAAATGTAACAAATTCCTCTCCAAAACGTAAGGCTCTTCGGTAAAATCTAGAACCATAAAATTTCTAAAAATCTCCCATGTGTACACAGATAGTAATGGCAATGTAATAGTAGCCATTATTCACTGAGTACTTAATGTGTGTTAAGCACCTTCTGTTCTTTTTCTCATTGAATCCAAATGAAAACTGAATGAAGTAGAGACACCATCCTAATCCCCATATTAGAGAGAGGAAAACTCAAGCCTGGAGAAGTTGGTTAAGGAGGTCATGGAAGATCAGCTCAACTGGATTTGAATCTTGGCTGTACTGGTACTAGCTGTATGGTCTTGAACAAGTTACTTACAGCCTCAGAACCTCTGGCTCCCTCTCCTGGGAACATGACCCTAAGAAGAGGTCTGAGGGGGTCCTTTGGGTCACACATGCAACAATGAGAGTCACCCCTGGCACACGGTGGGCCCATCCTCCATGTTGGCTGCTGTTGATGATGATGATGATGAAAATGACGTCAGAAGCAGAAGCCTTTGCCCTTAGTGGCTTAGGTCCATGCCACTCAATTTATCACAATGTTTTGAGAGTAGTTACAGGACGTGGGGGACCCAGATCTGCTTTCTGCAGAGCAGGTGAAATGCTGAGTCATGTTAGATAGCTAGATAATAAATTCCTTGAAGCCCGGGAGTGACTGATTCATGGTGCTCCACAGATAGCTCTACCGATTGGATTTAGAATTTATCTCAAGTGTGTTGGATTTGGATCTAGGGTTGCCTGGAATAGTTTGGGGGAATAACATGGGGGCTGAAGAAACATTATTTTGCCTCACCAGTTGGAGGAGGATAATGCCTTAGGCAGAGGGAAGACATACGTTGCAGGAGAAATAAATTGTAATTCACATTGTTGGTGGTTGGAGGATGTCAGATGCCAGCCTGAGATTCACGGAAGGAACAGGGTACGGGACAGTAAATCTGTGGCAAACGAAAATACATGTGGAGAGAAGATCAAGGGGTGCCCAGTCGATGGAAAATAATTGAAGACAAAAACTGTTAAAATTAATAAAATAAATGTGACCTCGACTGGGGAAAAAATGTGGTTAGCCTCCACCACTGAGCAAATGATAACGATGAAAGAAATCATTCAATGAATGAATTGTATCAGAAGAGAAAGACTGTTGTTACATTGCCTTAGAAAACTGAAACTTTGACCTTGGTTTGTTACTGAAACTTGATTTTTCCCCCCCTCCCTGAAATTTAGGAAGTCTTTATCTTTATTTAAAAAATTAAAGAACAGCGAGTTCTCACGTCGAATATAATGCTGGCCTGTTTTTGTCTCTTGCAGGGGAATTTCAGAGTGCCTGCCCCGGTTGACATGCATGATCAGAGGGATCGGAGACCCACTAGTGTCGGTGTATGCCCGTGCCTACCTGTGCCGGGTAGGCCATGCGAGTCACTGCCCTTGACGGCACGGCTGCCACCCGTCTCCTTGAATGTTCACACAGGGCCCTCCTTCCCCACCACCCCGCAAGTCATTGAGAGAAGGACTTTATTAGTGGCTAATTTTAGATCATGGCTCTGCCACAGAAAGTAGAACTGTAGGGTTTCTTTTAAAAATTAATTTTAAAGTAGACCAACTTACTGTAGCTCTAATTAGGGGACGTTTAAGGTCATCTTCTTACAAATGAACTGGTTTTCAGAAGTAATTGTTTCTCAGTTCTTGCTGGGAAGGAGGTTCCCAGGGCCTTTGGGCTAACAGGTTGCTTTTCATTGACTTCAAACATGCTCTTCCTTTGTCTTGACTTTGATTGCTTTATTAGTTTTCTGCTTGGCAGGGGAGCAGTGTCCCACATGATGGCAGGCCTCAGGGTCTGTGTGGCCTGGCTTAGGTGGCTGCTGTGAAAGGGGGTAGAGGGACTGATTAGAAATTACTTGCCCATGCCCTGCTTTAAAGCACCGTGAGGCTTCAGCTAAGCTATTAAGTTTTTTGTGTATGGAAAAAATGTAACCAATGGAGGTTATATGGTCTTTCTTTTTTTTGGAGATGGAGTCTTACTGTGTCGCCCAGGCTGGAGTGCAGTGGCGCCATCTCGGCTCATTTCAACCTCCACCGCCTGGGTTCAAATGATTCTCCTGTCTCAGCCTCCTGGGTAGCTGAGATTACAGGTGTCCGCCACCATGCCCGTCTAAGTTTTGTATATTTAGTAGAGATGGGGTTTCACCATGTTGGCCAGGCTGGTCTCGAACTCCTGACCTCAAGTGATCTGCCCACGTTGGCCTCCCAAAGTGCTGGGATTACAGGCGTGAGCCACTGCGCCCGGCCAGTATATGGTCTCTCCATAGTTTTCTTCAGCTCACACAGGGGCTTTGCCTCTGTCAGGACTCCCCCTAGCAACGAGAATCTTCCCTATCGTCCCATCAGTATTGCACATCCTTAGAGAGGGATCATTGCACCTGATAAGCCCCAGACTTCCTTGAGGACAAAGCTGCAGTTAGAGCCTCCCCCATGAGTTTGCACCTTATTAAATCAGAAGGCGAGAACATGTAGCCTGTGATTTGCCTCTTCTGCATGACAGCCAGCAAATGTCGGAAGCCCTGTGGTCTCTCAAGTTTCACGAAAAACTAAGTCAGTGCCCTCAGAGTGAGGAGCAGATATCCATTAGGAAGGGCACTTTTTATAGGTCTGTTTCTTGATACTGAGAATGAAAGAAAAAGCCTTTCGTTTAAGGGCATCCTCTTCCCTCTTTGCAGCAGAGGCCAAAGTGTGTATGCATCGCCCACTGCTTGAAACCTGGGGGGGATTTTCCATCCAGAGATATCAGGTGTGTTTCCAAGGACAACTTTTGAATATATTAAAGCTTGAATACTCCTCCCAAGTCAGTGTTTGCTGAGGCCCTACTGTGCACAGAACACAATGCCACATCCTCTGGGAGAGATGCAAAGATATTGTTTGCATATTTCTTTTTCCTTTTTTTTTTTTTGAGATGGAGTCTCACTCTGTCGCCCGGCTGGAGTGCAGTGGTGTGATCTCAGCTCGCTCTAACCTCTGCCTCCAGGGTTCAAGCAATTCTTCTGCTGCAGCCTCCCGAGTAGCTGGGACTCCAGGTGTGCGCTACCACGCCCAGCTAATTTTCGTATTTTTAGTAGAGACGGGGTTTCACCATGTTGGCCATGATGGTCTCAATCTCTTGACCTCATGATCCGCCTGCCCCGGCCTCTCAAAGTGCTGGGTTTGCAGGCATGAGCCACTGCACCCGGCCTTTTTTTGTTTTGTTTTGTTTTGTTTTGTTTTTTTGCACCAGAGTCTCACTCTGTTGCCCAGGCTGGAGTGCAGTGGTGCAATCTCAGCTCACTGCAACCTCTGCCTCCTGGGTTCAAGCGATTCTCATGTCTCAGCCTCCGGAGTAGCTGGGATTACAGGCACCTGCCACCATGCCCAGCTACTTTTTGTATTTTTAGTAGTGACAGGGTGTCACCATGTTGGCTAGGCTGGTCTTGAACTCCTCACTTCAGGTAATCTGCCTTCCCCGGCCTCACAAATTGCTGGGATTACAGGTGTGAGCCCCCGTGCCCAGCCTTGTTTATGTATTTCTTCTCTGCTGCCTTTTACCTTGTAGAACATAGCAAATGCTTTGAACACACCTTGACATCATTTGAATAAGGCCTGATATCGGAGACCCGGTGATAAAGACTTAGAATCATGCTGTCTCTTCTGCAAATAATTCTGGTTATTAAAGAGAAATCAGAATGTGGGGAAGTATGTATTTTTTGCAAGCCTGTTCCCTTTTAATGTTTGAGATCAGGTATGTGAGTTAGGGTACACGATCATGTTTGTTACATATAAAGTGCCTTTGAATGGCAGATGCAACTTGAAACACAGTGACAATGAGGAGAAGATGCAGAGGACAGAGCAGACCCCCCACAAGATTGGTAGTAGAGTGCCCTGCGTCTGTTGAAATCATTTTTGTCAGTCCAGGCAATGCATTGATTCCGCTGGTTGGGTAGTTTCTAAAAGTCTCTTTAACATTAAAAGAGTAAGAGAGACCAAGCGCGGTGGCTCATGCCTGTAATCCCAGCATTTTGGGAGGCCGAGGCGGGCAGATCACTTGAGGTCAGGAGTTCAAGACCAACCTGGCCAACATGGCAAAAACCTGTCTCTACTAAAAAATACAAAAAATTAGCCGGGCGTGGTGGTACACGCCTGTAGTCCCAGCTACTCGGAAGGCTGAGGCACGAGAATCACTTGAACCCAGGAGGCAGAGGTTGCAGTGAGCCAAGATCGCGCCACTGCACTCCAGCCTGGGTGACAGAGCAAGACTGCCTCAAACAAACAAACAAAAAGAGACAGCCTGTGTATTAGTAAGATTTCTTTCAGTTCCAAGTGGCAAAACCCAGTTCATACTACTTTAAGCAAAAGTAAGAACTTACTGGCCAGTGTCTGGAGAGGCCAGGGTTAGTGCAGGCATGGCTGGATGCAGGCCCTCAAAGGGTGCTGTCAAGAATCAGCCTCTCCCCACATCACTCAGCTCTGCTGTTCTTTGAGTTGGCTTCATTCTGTGGCTTGCTTTTTTTATATGATGGCCCATAGCGGCCTCTGGCTTCCATCCTACCACCTTAGGAACCTTATTGGAAAGTGTGTCTTCTTGCCAGTAGATCTAGCCAGAGCCTCAGGGCTGATTCTTGGTGGATTACCTCGGGTTGTTTGTCCACCCCTAGACTAGTCACGTGGCCATGGGTTGGGGTCTGGGGTTGGTGTCTGGGTACTTACTGACTGGGTCACATGCCCTTGCATGGAGCTCAGGGTGAGGTGGATCTAGCTCCACCACAAACCTCATGGTCCAAGAGGAAGGTTTGATTCCCCAGAGACAAATCTAATTTGCCGATACCAGCAATGGGGGGGATGAATGCTGGGCAGGCCGAAACAGCAGATGGGAATCATGAGCAATACCCTTGCTGCTCTGGGTAGAAATCTTTTAGACCCAAGCAGATATCCAAGCTGCTCATTTGGCCCGATGAGAAGAGAAAAACAGAAAACAAAAGCTCTGAGTGGGTAGAGCGTGGGGGGAGCTTGAAGCTGTTATTAAAGGAAGGTATGATTAACTCCTAACTCACAGCCGCTTCAGCTCATCTCCATGGCTCAGCCACCAGGCCAGCCTTTGCTGTCACCTAACAGATAATTATTGTCTTTTCTACAATATGATTAAGTGGAAGGAGAATCAGAACACTGTAGAACTGGATCTGATATTTCTTGTTAGCATATATATATATATTTAATCTATGTGCTTGTCCTTGAAAACAGCACTTCCTGTACCCAGCAATCACAGAGCTGCTCTTGGAATTTAACACCCTGGTGGTTCTCAAATGCCATCTGAAAAACATTATTAGTGTTACCCATCATGACCTCTGGGTAGTGGAAGGTGAATGGGAGAAATCTCTCCCCATTTGAAGAAATAGGGAACCAGTCTCACTTTGTTGCCCAGGCTGGAGTGCAGTGGCACAATCTTGCTCACTGCAACCACCACCTCCCGGGTTCAAGCGATCCTCCCACCTCAACCTCCCAGGTAGCTGGGTCTACAGGCGTGCGCCACCACACCCGGCTAATTTTTGTGTTTTTAGTACAGAAAGAGTTTCACCATGTTGACCAGGCTGGTCTCAAACTCCTAACCTCAAGTGATTGGCCCACCTGGGCCTCCCAAAGTGCTGGGATTACAGGTGTGAGCCACTGCAGCCCAGCCTACGAAGTTGTTTTTGCGGTTAAGCAGCAATTTGGAAACGAAGCATTTCTGAGGAGCTCAGTTTAAGAAACACTGTGATGTTGTGTTTTAAACCTATGAACTCCCCTCCGTAGCTCATCCCTCTACTTTTCCATCTAACCCCAGTACTGGCACCTTCTCTATGATTAGTAAATTTCTTCAGCTAGAAATGTTACAGTCTGTTTTTTAACAATGAAGTCAGGACCCAGTGGATTATAGCATTGTTACACTTCATGCTCATGTTATATAAAATTGCATAAAATGTATTAAAATTTATGTCTGCTCTTATCTCTGCCTTGCAAAGAATGAATTTGTATAGCTTTTAACTAAGCATGTAACGGGGGCAGCACCACATCTGGAATTCAAGCTGACTTTCTCACGTACCGTAATCTTTGTGCTTGGTCTAATAAGTACAACCCCATGTGTGTTTATCATTTTTTTATTGTATGCACAATCTTGAGAGTACATTCCTTTTTAGTTCTGTATTGATTTGTTCTCTTGGTCGTCTGTTCAGAAATACATTCAATACCTTTGGGGAAGGGCAAAGATGATTTCTGCAAATGTTGCCCTTTTTTATTAAAAATAGCTTCTGTGGTCTTTCTTATAAAAGCAATACATGTTTATTGAAAAAGAAATCAGGCTGGGCGTGGTGGCTCACACCTGTAATCCCAGCACTTTGGTAGGCCGAGGCAGGCAGATCATCTGAGGTCAGGAGTTGGAGACCAGCCCGGCCAACATGGTGAAACCCCGTCTCTACTAAAAATACAAAAATTAGCCAAGTGTCGTGACACATGCCTGTAATCCCTGCTACTTGGGAGGCTGAGGCAGGAGAATTGCTTGAACCTGAGAGGTGGAGGTTGCAGTGAGCCAAGATCGTGCCACTGCACTCCACCCTGGGCAACAGAGCGAGACTCTGTCTCAAAACAAAACAAAAAACAGATAAGGAAAAAAAAAATAGGCCGGGCGCTGTGGCTCACACCTGTAATCCCAGCACTTTGAGAGGCCAGGGTGGGCAGATCATGAGGTCAGAAGATCAAGACCATCCTGGCCAATGTGGTGAAACCCTGTCTCTACTAAAAATACAAAAATCAGCCAGGCCTGGTGACACATGCCTGTAATTCCAGCTACTCGGGAGGCTGAGGCAGGAGAATCCCTTGAACCAGGGAGTCGGTGGTTGCAGTCAGCTGAAATCGCACCCACCGCACTCCAGCCTGGCAACAGAGCGAGACTCCATCTCAAAATAATAATAATAATAATAATAATAATAATTTTCTGGACTTTTTCTGTGTCTATAAACATAGGTATATATATTTTTTAATTTCCAAAAATAAAATCATACTATAGTCATTATTTGCAACCAGTTTTTCCATTTGTCTGGCTGCAGGTGGGAATGGAAGTGGCCCCACATCTCAAAGAAACCCTAAATAAGAACTTTTTTGACTTCCTCCTTACGTTCAAACAGGTAAGAGAACACTATCAGAATAGCTCATCGATATAACAGTTCTATGATAGCAAATTCACAAAACCCAGTTGGTTTTCCAAGTGGAGAATGCCTTAAAGCTCTTTAAATGTGCAAGCCCTGGAAAATTACACTAGCTTCTGTTGTAGACAATTAAAATGTGTTGATTGTACTGAATAAGCGGAGAAAGTTAATATGCATGTGTTAACAGGAAACGTCTCCAGTCGATCAGCCTTGCTTCTGAGCATCTGCTGGCTCCATTTTTATCAGGTTCCTGCTTTCCACAGCGCTCATTCCCAAAACAGCTCGGCTTGGTGACATGAGAAACTTTCTGTGTTTTTTTTTGGTTTAAAAAAAAAAAACAACCGAGAAACCAGGCTATTTCTCTCAGGGCTGTCCACATGCTTACAAGTATGCACAGTCTGTGAGTTGTGTATGTTTTGTTTGTTGTTTGGTTTTTCCCCTCCTTTTCTAAGTGTTTGTTTGGCCTCCTGTAGATTCATGGGGATACGGTCCAGAACCAGCTGGTGGTCCAAGGAGTGGAGCTCCCATCTTACCTCCCCTTGTACCCGCCTGCCATGGACTGGATCTTCCAGTGCATCTCCTACCATGCCCCCGAGGTAACTGCCAGGTGGCTTCAGTGTGACGCTCACCTCCTGTATGGTGACAGCCCCTGCCCACTGTGCCCTTTAACGTTAATGGGACCCTTTCATAACAGCTATAGCAATGTTAGTGCTAGCCAGCCTTTATAGAGGGCTTGCCATGGTGGCTGGCTCTGTGCTGAGTGCTTTTCTGAGATAGTCTCATTTTGACAGCTGTGGAAGGGGAATGTGGTAGCTCCAGAGGCCATGTACCTAAGTGAGGCCACACAGCTAGAAAGCAGTTTGGTGGCTGGGTGTGCTCATATCTGTAATCCCAGCACTTTGCAAGGCCAAGGTGGGAGGATCACTTGATTTTAGGAGTTTGAGACGAGCTTTGGCAACATAGCAAAACTCCATCTCTACAAAAAAATAGAAAAAATTAGCCAGACACGGTGATATATGCCTATAGTCCCAGCTACTCAGGAGGCTGAGGTGGGAGGACCACTTGAGCCCCAGAGTTCAAGGCTACAATGAGCTGTGACTGTACTACTGCACTCCAGCCTGAGTGACAGAGCAAGACACTGTCTCATTAAAAAAGAAACAAAAAGGAAGATGGTTGGTGACTTGATACAAACCCATAGAATTGGGCTCCAGGGCCAACAAGCCTTATTGCGTCTTCACTTAACCTTCATGTACCCCTTTTGTGTTTATAATAATCCAATAAAGTCTGTAGAGCAGGTATTTTATGGAAGGAAAACAAAACTCAGATGCTTAATTTCTTTTATAATTTTATTTTTCTTTTCTTTTTTCTTTTTTGCCAGTTGAAGTATTGTCAGGAATTGAAGTGACATCAGAATCATAGCAGACACATATTTTCTTTCTTTTCCAAGACTGAGAAGCAGTTTTAGTAGAACACCAATTCAAACTGTCATGAAGACTGTGATAGGCCGGGCACGGTGGCTCATGCCTGTAATCCCAGCACTTTGGGAGGCTGACGTGGGTAGTTCACTTCAGGCCAGCAGTTCAAGACCAGCCTGGCTAACATGGATATATAGGTGTATATCACCATGCCTGGCTAATTTTTTGTATTTTTTTGTAGAGATGGAGTTTCACTATGTTGCCCAGGCCTGTCTTTTGTAAAGACCCTGTCTCTACAAAAAATACAAAAATTAACTGTGCGTGGTGGTTTGTGCCTGTAGTCCCAGCTACTCAGGAGGCTGAGGCAGAGAATCGCTTGAACCTGGGAGGCAGAGGTCGCAGTGAGCCGAGATTGCACCACTGTACTCCAGCCTGGGCAACAGAGCCAGACTGTCTCAAAAAAAAAAAAAAAAAAAAAAAGACTGTGATAGATGAAGCTTTCCTTGTCTTTATTTGATCATTGAAAAGTAAAGAGAGACTACAAAACAAGGACATATAGAGCAAAGCAAAGTTGAAAGACATCTGCCTTTTCCTAGATCTTGCCAACACATGTTGAAAGCTGTACAGAAAAGAAAAAAAAAGGACATGACTTTAACCGAGCAATCCCACTTTTACGAATTTATCCTGTAAGTTAGACGAGTGCATAAACATTATAAACACACACAGAGATGCACACACGGTTTGTTCACGGTAGTGCAAAATTGGAGGCAAGCATCAGAGAGGACTGGTTATGGTATGTGCATTCAGTGGGGTGTTAATGGGGCCATTTAAAATGATGGAGACTCCCGATGATCTGTACATACTGACGTAAGGGTATTCATGGTATATGGCTAAGTGCAAAAAGAAAGTTACACACATTGCTGTGTGTGCTGTAAGTGGCAGTGTGGCCTAGTGTTCAGGTGTGGGCTCTGGAGTCGGGGTGCCTGGGTCTGCATCTCAGCTCCGTTAACAGCTGTTGTGATAGAGTAGGGAGCAGGTAACTTGTTCCTAACCACTCTGAGTCTTCTCTCTTTATCTGTAAAATGGGAGCAATATTAATGATTCCTATTTTCTAGTCCGTTGCAAGAATCAAAGAAGTCACTGTATCTACGGTGCTTAGTGTAGCGCCCCACATCTTAGTACTCGCAGACATGATTTTTATATCTGTGCGAGAGAGTTGGGAAGGAGAAATGACAGAACATCACTGGAGTGTGAGATTTGGGGCCAGCGTAACTTATTTTTCTTTGCCTATCTGTTTTTTTTTTTTTTTCTTTCTTCCTTTGAGACAGAGTCTCACTCTGTCTCCCAGGCTGGAGTGCACTGGTGCAATCTCGGCTCGCTACAACCTCCACCTCCCAGGTTCAAGCGATTCTCATGCCTCAACCTCATGAGTAGCTGGGACTACAGGCATGCATCACCACACTCAGATAATTTTTGTATTTTTAGTAGAGATGCAGTTTCACCTTGTTGATCTCGTGCTGATCTCTAACTCCTGGCCTCAAGTGATCCTCCCGCCTCGGCTTCCCAGAGTGCTGGGATCACAGACAAGAGCCACCGTGCCCAGCCGCCCATCTCTGTTTTCTAACTTTTCAACAAGTATGCACTGCTTACCTTTTTACTTTTTGAGATTCTAAATTATGAGGAGAAAAACTGGGACATCTTGTACTTCAGGTGAATAGTCTTACCATTAAGTAAATTGATTTTAAATCAAGCCAGTATAAAGGAAAGATTGTTTGAAGTTTTGCTGCTGGTTCTCTATGGTCCTCAGCATAGTTTCAGCAACCACATGCTGTCCTCCGCTTCTGGGAAGGGTACCATGAACTCGACTGTTTTCTTGGTATTCCACTGAACGACGGAAACATACAAGCAGGATTGACGTGGTGAAATGAGAACGCTTTTTTTTTCTTATTTTAGCGAAAGGCAAAATCAGATTAAAAACAAAATGTCACAAGGCAGTCTTCTTTTTATTTTAAGCCCCAGTCATCTCAAAGGATGGCAGAAGCTGGGAATAAGCTCTAGGAAATCATTATTGCACTAGAATAAGTGATTAAAAAATTAGGTCAGCTGAATAATAATAAACTCTGATTCTTGGGCACACTTAAAGGACATGCAGTGTCTTGTTAAAAAAAATAGTCATTTTCAAACTGCAGAAGAATTGATGTCGGTATGGAAGGTGGTGTTAAAGGTGCATGTGACAATTTGGTGCCTAAAAGCTCTTTGATAATGGCCGCTATGAGTCACCTGCAGAGTAGAACTGTGTGTATCCATTAGAGGCCAAGACTTCAAAATAGGGGATGGTAAAGTTCGGCTGCAGCAATTGGTAATATACAGGGCAGGCAAGTGAGAGAGGGAAAGGAGAAATACCTTTAGTTGTGAATATCTCATCTACAGAATTTCAAATCGAAATTGAAATCCAAGGTAAAAAATCAAGGCATGTCTTAGTCCGTTCGGGCTGCCATAATAAAGCGCCATAGAATGTTTAAAATAGAAATGCAGCCTTGGCCTGACTTCTTTTCTCTCCTCCTGTACTTTTGAAGTGGGTAAATAATTATAAATAACCTAATCTGGAGATCACCTTAAAAAATCCAACAGTTAAATATGGTTGTGGTTCTCCAACTCCATATATATTGGTAAAATGGTCATTGAATTAGACACAAAGACATGCTCTTTTTCCCCCAAAAAGTATGCATGTAAAACTTGGTGAAATTGTCTAGTTAGTTGTGTTATACTAGTGTCAGTTTCCTAGCTTTAATAATGCATTATAGTTATGTAAATGGGAGAAGCTGGGTGGTGGGTACCCAGGACTTCTCTCTACTGTTTTTTTCAATTACTGACGAGTCTATAATTAATTCAGAATGAAAAGTCTTTTAAAAATCCTTCAATTGGGATGAATACTCCATTCTCCATGATGTGATTATTATGTATTGCATGCCTATACCAAAACATCTCATGTACCCCATAAATATATACACTTACTATGTACCCTCAAAAAATAAAAATTAGGCCAGGCGTGGTGGCACATGCCTGTAATCCCAGCACTTTGGGAGGCCAAGGCGGGCGGATCTCTTGAGGTCAGGAGTTTGAGACCAGCCTGGCCAACATGGCGAAACCCCATCTCTACTAAAAATACAAAAATTAGCCGAGTGTGGTGGCATGCGCCTGTAATCCCAGCTACTCGGGAGGCTGAGGCAGGGGGATTACTTGAACCCAGGAGGTGGAGGTTGCAGTGAGCCAAGATCACACCAGTGCACTCCAGCCTGGGCGACAGAGCAAGACTCTGTCTCAAAAAAGAATAAATTAAAAAAAATAAATAATTAAAAATTAAACAGAAAACAAAAACAGACATCTGTCAGTTAGGGGCAGTTTGAAAAATGCTGTTATATCCATGGCATGGATTAAATAGCCATGGATTAAAAGAGTGAGGTAGATTTGTGTAATAACATGGAGAAGAGAGGGCCATCTAGATTCTCCATTAAAAAAGGCCATATTTAAATATCTCCAACCCAGTATTTATAAGAGTATCCCATTGTGTAAAAACAAAACTAGGCTTCTGTAATAATATATATCCATAAAGCACAGGCAGAATTCTAGATAAGAACATCAAAGTCCTAGACAAACACCAAAGTGTTGACAGTGGTGATTTCTAGGACATGGAAGTTGGGAGGGGGGGACATTCGCATCTTTCTTGATGCATGTCGATGTTGTTGGGACTTTTGTCTATAAAGCATTTCTTATTTTTACAATTTTTAGAAAAACAAATGTTACATAAATAAGTGGCATGTAGGGCCAACAGCAACAATAACAAAAGCCTAAAAAACAAACCAGCACACCAAGCAAATGCCTGCCTTGTGAATCTTCTGAATCTTCAAGTTCTGCTGTGTGTGAAAATGAAAGAAATATGCTGAGCTGCTTTTTCAGTGGTTGATCCCAGCCAAAGGGCTTGTTTCAATCTCTGTCTGCTTTGAGCTGTTGTTCATCGTGTTCTTGCCAAAGATAATCAATTCTGTCACTTCTTAGAGGGGAAAAAATCAGTAACCTCCAGCAGACCTGCCCGAGGATCTATAACATTTGGCTCTCCGAACACTTACATGTATTCCCAAGTTCCTTTATGACAACAGAGCCTTTGGTTTTTTAAAGTTATATTCTTGGATGCATTTTTAGTGCATTCATCTTTTGTGAGAGAGGGAACTTTTTAAGCATTTAACTTGTCTTAGTGGTAAGAATCTTTTGTCCATATGTTGGGATTTGCCCTAGTTAATCTTTCCAGAATTGGTGGGCCAGGAGGTCTCATTTATGTGTGTGTGTATGTGTGCATGTGTGTGTGCACGTGCATGCATATGAGATACAGTAAACCTCACGAAGGCATGGGTTTCTGTGTTTTCCTCCCATCTTACCCTCAGTGTCTGGAACAGTGGCTGGTATAGTCATCCCTTGGTATACTTAGGGGATTGATTCCAGGATCTCCATGTATATCTTTTTTTTTTTTTTTTTTTTTTAAGACGGAGTCCTGCTCTGTCACCCAGGCTGGAGTGCAATGGCCCGATCTCCACTCATGGCAACTTCTGCCTCCCGGGTTCAAGCAGTTCTCCTGCCTCAGCCTCCCAAGTAACTGGGACTACAGCCACGCCACCACGCCCGGCTAATTTTTGTATTTTTAGTAGAGACAGGGTCTCATCATCTTGGCCAGGCTGGTCTCGAAATCCTTACCTCAGGTGATCCACCCACCTGAGCCTCCAAAGTGCTGGGATTACAGGCGTGAGCCACTGTGCCCGGCCCCCACGTATATCAAAATCCATGCTGTGAGACTCAAGTCTCACAGTCTCACAGTTGGCCCTGTGGAACCCGTGTATACTTGAGTTTGGTGTCTCACAAATACTGTATTTTCGTTCAGCATATGGTTGAAAAAAATCCGTGTCTAAGTGGATCCACGCAGCTCAAAACCATGTTGTTATTCAAGGGTCAACTGTATACTAAAGTTGCTCGTTAGGTAGGCGTTGAATGATTATTTCTGTGTGTCAGGGAGTGTCAGTGTGATGATTACACAGAATCTCTTTTCCTCTCTTAGCCTTTTCCAAAGGCCACTTTGCTATTGGTCTTTAAGAATGACTTTTCAAATGTAAATACCCAAGAGTGGGTTAGGGAAGCCATTTATGATGTGGTCAATTTTGTCACCAGCTAGGGTGCTTTTGGCTGCAAGGAACAAACATCTAACTAGTCTGGCCTCCACATATAATTCCATGTGTCCTCCTCCACAACAAGTGGAGGCTCTCGGGTGATCAGCTTCAGTGCATCTTTTTGCTCTGCTGTCCCTGATTAGTAGCAAGGTGGGGGCAACCATTCCAGGCATCACGTCCAGAGCCGACAGCATCCAGGGAATCTTTGATTCTTGGGTCCTTGTTTAAGAACAGGAAACCTTTCTCCAAATCCCCCCGAAGACTTCCCATCCTGTCTCAGCAGCTAGAAATGGATCATGGGCAAGGGGAACGAGAGCCACTGTGATTGGTTTGGGTCTGTATTAATCTGCTTGGGCTCCCTTAACAAAATACCCAGACTAGGAGCTTAAACAACAGACTTTATTTTCTCATAGTTCTGAAGGCTAGGAGACCAAGATCAAGGGGCCAGCAAGGTTGGTTTCTGGTGAGGCCTCTCTCCTTGGCTTGGAAACTGCCACCTTCTTGCCGTGTTCTCACATGGCTTTTCCTCTGTGTACACGCATCCTTGCTGTCTCTTCCTATAAGGAGGTTAGTCCTGTGGGATTCGGATCCCACCCTTATGACTCCATTTAACCTAGAATAGTGATATTAGGGGTTAGGGCTCCAACATAGCAATTTAGGGGAGATATAATTCAGTCCGTGACAGAAGCCAACCTAGTTTATGTGAGGCATAGATGGAAATCTGAATAAAATCAGGGTTTTGGGGTAGGGATTCCAACAGTATCTCCAACGTCAGCTCTCACTTATTCAGGCAACATGACAGAGAGGGGTGCCACCAGAAAGGGTGGAATTGCACTTAAGAACCCTCCTTTTATTTTTTTACTTTGGGTCCAGACGTAGATATAGATCCCTTTTTTTTCTTTATTTTTTACTTTTTACTTATTTATTTATTATTATTATTATTATTATTATTATTATTATTATTATTATTATTATTGTTTTAAGACAGGGTCTTGCTCTGTTGCCCAGGCTGAAGTGCTGTGGTGCAGTCTTGGCTTACTGCAGTCTCGACCTCCCAGGCTCAAGTGATGCCCCCACCTTAGCCTTCTGACTAGCTGGGACTATAAGCACACACCACCATGCTTGGCTAATTTTTAAATTTCTTTTAGAGATGAGGTTTCGCCATGTTGCCCAGACTGGTCTTGAACTCCTAAGGTCAAGCCATCTGTCCCCATCAGCCTCTCAAAGTGCTGGGATTACAGGCATGAGCCATCGTGCCTACCAGGTCTTTTTTTTTTTTTTTTTTTTTTTTTTTGAGATAGGTCTCACTCTGGTGCCCAGGCTGGAGTTCAGTGGCACAATCACAGCTCACTGCAGCCTCCACCTCCTGGGCTCAAGTGATCCTCCCACCTCAGCCTCCTGAGTAGCTGGGACCACAGGCACGTACCACCACACCCAGCTAATTTTTTAAAAAATTTTATGACTGGGCGCGGTGGCTCACTCCTGTAATCCCAGCACTTTGCAGGGCTGAGGCGGGCAGATTGCCTGAGGTCAGGAGTTCAAGGCCAGCCTGGCTAACAGGGTGAAACCCCATCTCTACTAAAAATACAAAAAAATTAGCCAGGCATGATGGCACACACCTATAGTCCCAGCTACTCGGGAGGCTGAGGCAGGAGAATCTCTTGAACCCAAGAGGCGGAGGTTCTGGTGAGCCGAGATCGCGTCACTGCACTCCAGCCTGGGCAACAGAGTAAGACTCGTCTCTCTGTCTCAAAAAACAAACAAACAAACAAACAAAAATACTTATGTAGAGATGGGATCTCACTATATTGCCCAGACTGGTCTTGAATTCCTGGGCTCAAGCGAGCTTCCCACCTCAGCCTCCCAAAGTGCTGGGATTACAGGCATGAGCCACCACCCCTGGCCTGCACAAATCCCATTTTTGCCACTTATTAGGAAGTGTCTTAACCCTGTCTGAGCTTTGGCTTTTGCATCTGTAAAATGGGGATAATGTTCCATGGACCTCACAAGGACATGGTGAAGAGTAAGAGAGTAAAGGGAAGTCAAGGACTTAGCCCGAAACCTGGGCAGTGCTCAGTGTCCTGTAATTACCTCTGGTCTTGGGCTTGACCTTCCCCAAACCACTGCCCTAAATGATCCTTCTTCCATTGATTTTCTTAAAAACAGGAGCTCTTTTAAAGATATGTAATTGTCTTAAGATAGCTCCAAAGCCATTAACAGTATTCCAATGAGTTAAAAAAAAAAAATCTGCTTCCTTTGGCGGAGGCGGGGAAAATAGACTTCAAACTGTGTTGGAGAAGAAATGTATTGAAGAACGTGGCCTTTGATCCCAGTCTGCCCAGGTTCATGTCTGCCTGCCATCACTAACTGTGCGACCTTGGGTGAAAAACACTGCTATTCGTGGCTTTGTTTTTCATCTGTGAAATGGGAGAATAGAGCCCCTGCTTCAAGGGTGGTTGGGAGAGGTAAGATCGTGAGTGCAAAGTGCTTCTCACCATGGCTGGTGGGCACTAAGCTCTAGCCCAGTGTTTGTTGCTGATATTACTAAGTGCACCTTGGGCACCTCTTAAAATGGGGAAGAATGTGGGGTTACAGAAGAGGTGGGGAGCAGAGTAATTATCGTTCTCATTCATGCCCTGGAGTGCAGGAGTTATCTCCCATCATCCTGTAGTGACCCCACAGATGAGATGATACCACTTGTAGCCTTTCAATAAGGACAAGGAGACCCAGGTTCGACAGAGTTGGCAACTCTTCCGAAGTCTCATCATTGGTAGTTGGTGAGGTTGGATTTGAATCCAAGTGTGCCTGATGCCAGGACCCTAGCTTCTGTTGATTGATCAGTTGATTGATTGAGACAGGGTCTCCCTCTGTCTCCCAGGCTGGAGTGCAGTGGCATGATCTCAGCTCATAGCAGCCTCCACCTCCTGGGTTCAAGCGATTCTCCTTCCTTAGCCCTCTGAGTAGCTGGGATTACAGGCACCCGCTATCACACCTGGCTAATTTTTGTATTTTTAGTGGAGACGGGGTTTTACCATGTTGGCCAGACTAGTCTCGAGCTCTTGACCTCAAGTGATCCACCTGCCTCGGTCTACCAAAATGCTAGAATTATAGGTGCGAGCCACTGTACCCGGCCCCCTCCTTCTATTTATTACACTAAATGCCATGAAAGTGAATTTTTTTCTCCCCAAGCCTCCCCATCCCTACCAGACACTGAGAATTATCTTAATGGACATGTGGCTACATTCATTTTAGAGTTCGACTTTGGAAATCTCTTAGAAATGTTACTTTAGCTCCTCCAACCTGATTTTTTAATTATTATTATTTTTAACATAATAGGCTCTGCTGACCGAGATGATGGAAAGGTGTAAGAAACTAGGAAACAAGTAAGTATTTTAAGATTCATAAAGCATGAGTTTGAAAATGGCGTTGGCTGCTATTTTTGAGCTTGGCCTGCTTACCTGGGTATGAGCTGAAGAGAGAGAGGCAGGACTGCATGGAGGTTTAGAATGCTGGAGTCCGGTTGCCTGGCCTCAGACCTTGGCTCTGTTCTGTCTTAGCCCTGTGACCTTGGGCCGCTTGCTTGACCTCTCTGTGCCTCTGTCTCTTCATCTGTAAAACGGGAGTAATAATAGTTCTTTCAACTGGGCGTGGTGGCTGATGCCTGTAATCCCAGCATTTTGGGAGGCTGAGGCGTGTGGATCACCTGAGGTCAGGAGTTCGAGACCAGCCTGGCCAACGTGGCAAAACCCCATCTCTACTAAAAATACAATAACTAGCCGGGCTTGGTGGTGTATGCCTGTAGTCGCAGCTACTCAGGAGACTGGGGCAGGAGAATTGCTTGAACCCGGGAGGCAGAGGTTTCAGTGAGCCGAGATCATGACACTGTACTCTAGCTTGGCGACAGAGTGAGACGCTGTCTCAAAAAACAAAAGAAAAAAAGTAATAATAATAGTTATTTCCCCATGGGGCTGTGGTAGGTGGTTGGGCTAGGATGAAATTGATCTCCCTGACTCTCACGAATATGAGGTTGTCTCTCTGCTTTCCTTTTAGTGGTAGATACATGGAAACAGCCTTGCATGGGCTTTGTTTACCACTGTGTCCCCTGTGCCTGGTGCCTATAACATAAGATCTCTTTACTAAGAAATCTCTTGCATAAACTGGCCAGACACAGTGGTGCATGCCTATAATCCCAGCACTTTGGGAGGCTGAGACGGGTGGATCACCTGAGGTCAGGAGTTTGAGACCAGCCTGGCCAACATGGTGAAACCCTGTCTCTACTAAAAATACATAAAATTAGCCGAGCATGGTGGCGCATGCCTGTAATCTCAGTTACTTGGGAGGCTGAGGCAGGAGAATCACTTGAACCCGGGAGGTGGAGGTTGCAGTGAGCCAAGATCGTGACACTACTCCAGCCTGGGCAACAAAGTGAGACTCCATCTCAAAAAAAAAAAAACAAAAAAACCAAAACTCTTGCATAAACGATGTGGATATATATTTACAACATGGATCAATATCGTTACTTAATGTTCTGTCTCATTAGTGCACCAGCTTATTGAATGCTCGCTCTTCTTCTCCTTAAATGAACTGGATCACTTGCTGATCTGTCTATCCACCCTGCCATCTAGCCATCCATCCATCTAAACATCCAGTTAATTCAACATTTATTGAGTTGCAGATATGTACAGGACACTGTGTTAGTCTCTCCAGTTTACCTTTTTACTCTGATTTTTTGTTTTTCCCCAACCCTACCGCTAAAGAGCTGTTAGTCTTCCTTCCTGGCAATATATATTCAAAAATTAAAGCAACTTTGATTGAGGAGAAGCCAGGCTGACTTGGGGATCTGTGTCTTGCAGTGCCTTGCTGTTGAATTCTGTGATGTCTGCCTTCCGGGCTGAGTTCATCGCCACAAGGTCTATGGATTTCATTGGCATGATTAAAGAGTGTGATGAATCTGGTTTCCCCAAGGTAGGCTCTTGACTTCATGCTCAGTAGGACACAAATAAGCGGTGTGTATCTGATAGCTCTTGAGAGACAGTCCGGTTTTGGGAACAGCATGGGCCAGCAGGAACACAGGCGAAGGCTCTGTTTCTGAGGAACGCAATGGAAGATGAGTTAGAGGTTGGGATTGTCAGACACTGTGTGATTGCTATGCTTCAGGCCCCCATGAGCCCTAAATCTATCAGATTGGCTCACTATGAAGGATTTAAGAAAGACTTTGGTCTAACATATTTAAGAATATATCAGGCTGGGCACGGTGGCTCATGTTTATAATCCTATCACTTGGGAGGCCAGGGCAGGAGGATCACTTGAGGCCAGGAGTTCGAGACCAGCCTGGGCAACACAGCAAGACCCCATCTCTACAAAAAATCAAAACTTAGCTGGGTGTGGTGGTGCATTCCTGTAGTCCCAGCTACTTGGGAGGCTAAGGTGGGAGAATTGCTTGGAGCCCAGGAGGTCAAGGCTGCAGTGAGCCATGATTATGTCATGAAGCCTGGTGACAGAGTGAGACCCTGTCTCAAAACAAACAAAAGGATATATCTTCATTCATTATTTATGAAAAACTTTGTCCAGTAGAATATTATGGCCCCACATTAGACCAACAGATGGAGCTAACTCTGTGTGAGCCTCTCAGTGTAGCTGGGGCAGATATGTGTGATAGAACTTTAGAAGGAGGTTGTTGGAAGATTAGCCCCAAGAAGGATTAAACATTACAACCTTTTCTCTTTTCTTTTCTTTGAGCTTCAAGTTAATTTGATTTAAAATTTCCATAACATGATGGTTTGACATGTTTCTTAGCATCTTCTTTTTCGATCACTGGGATTAAACTTGGCCTTGGCTGATCCTCCTGAGAGTGACCGACTTCAGATTCTCAACGAAGCTTGGAAAGTCATCACTAAGCTGAAGAACCCACAGGTGAGTGGCCATTTTATTTTTATTTTTATTTATTTATTTATTTATTTATTTATTTTGAGATGAAGTCTTGCTCTGTCGCCCAGGCTAGAGTGCAATGGCGCCATCTCGGCTCACTGCAACCTCTGCCTCCTGGGTTCAAGCGATTCTTCTGCCTCAGCCTCCCGAGTAGCTGGGATTACAGGTGTGTGCCACCACACCCAGCTAATTTTTGTATTTTTAGTAGAGACAGGTTTTCACCATGTTGGTCAGGCTGTCTCAAATATCTACCCATCTTGGCCTCTCAAAATGCTGGGATTACAGGCGTGAGCCACTTTGCCCGGCCTGCCATTTAAACTTTAAATCAACCACTTTTTGTCCAAGTTTTGGCATCTGCTCTTTTAAAAAATTACCCTTCCAAGCTGAACATGGTAGCTCACACCTATAATCTCAGCACTTTGGGAGGCTGAGGCAGGAGGATCACTTGAGGCTGGGAGTTTCAGACCAGCCTGGACAACATAGCAAGACCCCTGTCTCTATTTGAACTAAAAAATAAAAATTATCTTTTCATTAGTTATACATTTTTCCCTAAAGAAATCTATTTATTATAATTGTATTATTTGTTTACCTGTAATGGAGAATGGATAGCTTTAAAGATGTAATTTCTTTGATTTTTTAAAAATTCAATTCTCACAGCCTTAAGATGTGCTAAAAGTATAAAATTACATGATCATGCGTTCAGAACTGCCATAAAAAATACAACTTAAAAAAAATGCATAACATTACAGATATTTGAAACTTTATGAAAAATCAGTTAACTTTATAGTGGGCATCCAAAATATAACAGTTCGTAAGATTTAGGCTTGAAAATATCGTTAGTAGGATATTCCTAAATAAAAGATCAGCCTTTAAGCCAGTAATTAGCAAAAGGAAATTCCCGTTTCCAACCATTGAACAGAGCCAGCTGAAGCCTCCTGTTTGCTGTAATGCATACTATGTTGTACTTAATGTTAAGATGTTTTCCTTTCTCTTTGTAGGACTACATTAATTGTGCCGAAGTGTGGGTGGAATACACCTGCAAGCATTTCACGGTATGTGTGACTGTGGTATTGTTTTTGAAAGAATTAGATTTTTTCATGTTTATAATAGTGAATTAGCCTAGTTTAGGTATTGAGGCATTTGACAACGGTACTTGCTCTTGTAATTTATAAAAATTGCATTCTTCATAATAAAGCGTGATGGAGCATTAATATGTGTACTATAACAAAAAATAACTGTTCCATGTTTACATTTAAGTTTGGAAAATGCAGCATTACACAAAGTTAAACCATTTTTTTTTTACCATAGGATACCTTAGATGCTTACATGCTAAAGTGCATTGCGACTGTACATCAGAGTCTAGTAAGCAGCATTTCCCAAACAATTTGACTGGCATGTAATTTTTTTCCTAAGCAAATATTTCTTTCCCTAGGCACAGACTAGAACCACAGTTAGGGGAATACTGGGCTTCTCAAAGAGCAGAGACTTTAGAAGAAGATAGAAGTGGGTTCAAAACCCTTGCCAGAGTAATTTGTTTATTTTAATCAAGTCCTAAAAGTTTTTTTTTTTTTTTTTTTTTTTTTGAGATGGAGTCTCGCTCTGTCGCCCAGGCTGGAGTGTGGTGGCGTGGTCTCGGCTCACTGCAAGCTCCGCCTCCCGGGTTCACGCCATTCTCCTGCCTCATCCTCCCGAGTAGCTGGGACTACAGGCGCCTGCCACCACGCCTGGCTAATTTTTTTGTGTTTTTAGTAGAGACAGGGTTTCACCATGTTAGCCAGGATGGTCTCGATCTCCTGAGCTCGCAATCAGCCCGCCTCTGCCTCCCAAAGTGCTGGGATTACAGGCGTGAGCCACCGCACCTGGCCAAGCCCTAAAAATTTAAGTGTGGCATTGCTATGGTCTGAATGTCTGTGCCCTCCCAAAATTCATATGTTGAAATCCTAGCCCCCAGGATGATGGTATTAGGAGGTGGAGCCTAGGTCATGGCAGGCAGAGTCCTTATGAAGGAGATTAATGCCCTTATAATAAAAGAAGCCCACCAGCCTGGCCAACGTGGTAAAACCCCGTCTCTACTAAAAATAAAAAAAAAAATTAGGTGGGTATGGTGACACCTGCCTGTAGTCCTAGCTACCCAGGAGGTTGAGGGAGGAGAATCGCTTCAATGTGGGAGGCAGAAGCTGCAGTGAGCCAAGATTGCACTCCTACACTCCAGCCAGAGCGACAGAGTGAGACTCTGTCTCAAAACAAAAATAATAATAAAATAAGTCCTGAGTTGCTCACTGTCCCCTTCCATCCCATGAGGACTTGGGGAGAAGATGCCGTTTGTGAGGAATGGGTCCTCACCAGACACCAAATCTGCCTTGATCTTGGACTTCCCAGCCTCCAGAACTGTGAGAATTACATTTTTGTTGTTTACAAGCTTCCTGGTTTATGGTATTTTGGTAGAGAAGCCCAAACAGACTAAGCCAAGCACACATGCAAAAAAGTGCACGTATCATAAGTTTGCTGCTCAATGAATTTTCACAAGGTATGACCATATAATCACCATCCAGAGTAAGAAATAGGAAATAAGTGACCCCGCAGAACCCCCAGAACTGCCTCTCCCTGTCACAACAGCCTTTGAGGAGGTGAAGGTAGACACCATCCTGGCCTCTAACACCAAAATTGATGTTGCCTCGTTTTGAGCATTAGGTAAATGTTGGTCCATTGATTTTTGTGGTTTTTTTTGGTCCTATTTTTATTTTACATTTTATTATGGAAATGTAAAACATATGCACTCCCTTGTACCCATCAATCAGGAATTATCAATTTATGACAGATCTTGTTTGATTTATATCATTACCATGTCCCCTGACCCCTGGAATATTTTGAAGCATATCTCAGACATTGTATCGTTTCATCTGTCAGTATTTCAGCACACCTGTAAAAATATAAAGATTCCATTGATTGATTGATTGACAGACAGGATCTCACTCTGTTGCCCAGACTGGAGTCCAGTGGTGCAATCGTCACTCACTCCAGCCATGACCTCCTGAGCTCAGGCAATGCTCCTGCCTCAGCCTCCCGAGTGGCTGGGACCACAGGCACATGTGGAGATGTAGAGATGGGGTCTTGCCATGTTGCCCAGGTTGCAGGGTTCACTTCCTTAAACCAAATCTAAATACATTATTCTAAGGAAAAAAGTTACTAATTTTTTTTTTCTTCTGTTTTTGAGATGGAGTCTCACTCCGTCACCCAGGCTGGAGTGCAGTGGCATGATCTCAGCTCACTGCAACCTCCGCCTCCTGGGTTCAAGTGATTCTCCTGCCTCAGCCTCCTAAGTAACTAGGACTACAGGTGTGTGTGACCACACCCCGCTAATTTTATGTATTTTTAGTAGAGACGGGGTTTCACCATGTTGGCCAGGCTGGTCTCGAACTCCTGACCTCAAGCAATCCACCTGCCTCAGCCTCCCGAAGTGCTGGGATTACAGGCATGAGCCACTGCACCCAGCCGAGTTACTAATTATTTAATATCATCAGTACCAGTCAATATTCTGATTTCCCCAATTGTCTCATTTTTTTTAAGTTTATTTGTTGAAATCTGGTTGAAAATAAGGCTTCTCCATTGCAATAGACATTTTAGGATACTTTTGATGTATAAGTTCTCTCTCAAACTGTCTCCTTCTCTCCTTCCCCTTTCTTTCCCTGTAATTTATTTGTTGAAGAAATTGGGTCTTTTGCTCTATAGAGTTGCAAAGACTGGATTTTTCCCATTGCATCCTTGTGATGGTGTCTGGCGTGCTCTTCTGCCTTTTGTATTTTCTATAAATCAGCAGTTAATTATAGAGACTTAAAAGCCATTCTTAGCTTGTGGGCCTTATAAAAACAGGCCCTGGGCTGGATTGGGCTGCAGTTGGCTGACTCCTGCTATAGGTGACAAAAGTGAACAGTGAGCAGTTAGGTCAGACAGCTTGTAAGGGTGAGCCTGCAGTCTTCCGCAGTGCTTCACTGTTCTCTCTGCAGGCACCTGAGGGAGGGCCTGGGACAGGCAGGTGGAGAGAGGCACGGCCGATTCAACCATCACTCTGGGAAAGCAGAGACAATGTAAAGCCCCAGAACTTTTGAGAAGAGCGTTTAGTCCTGACTAGGTGTGGGGCTGTGGTACTAGACCGGGTGATATGAGTGAGATTTCCTCCCTTCCGTTATTTTCAGCAGAATACTGAAATTGATTTCCTGGAAGGTGTGTGATATATTCTGAATACGTTAGTCCTTTCCCCCAGGAACATGGTCAGCAGTTGCCATACAGTGTCTAATTCAGGTTTGGTTCCTTTTTCCTGCTTAGAAACGAGAGGTGAATACCGTTTTGGCAGATGTCATCAAGCACATGACTCCAGATCGTGCATTTGAAGATTCCTACCCCCAGGTAACAGATTTGCATTTCTCATTTCAACATTGTTAGGAATTTTGTTCTGTTGAATTAAATAGGCGTGTTGTATGGGTCAGGCTATAAAGGCACATAATCCTGTGTTTGAATCATAGCTCTGCCATATCCTAGCCATGTGCCCTTTGATCAGTTACTTAACCTTGTTGTGCCCCAGTTTTCTCACCTGTGAAATGGAGATAGTAATAGTGCTACCTGAGAGTTACTGTGAGGATGAAGTGAAGCCCTCACACAGTGGCCTGGCACGTGGTAAATGCTCAATAAGCGTTGTCTTCATTGTTGTCACCAGTAAGTAAACTGCGAGTATTTTTAGTTAAATCAACTTTGTTTTTTCCTTTTTTTTTGAAACAGGGTCTCGCTCAGTCACGGAGGCTGGAGTGCAGTGGTGCGATCACCGCTTGGCACAGCCTCGACTTCCTGGGCTTAAGCATAATTTTTTTATGTGGAAATAAATTTAAGCTTATTGGAAAGTTAAAAGAAAGCTCAAAGAATTCCTATTATTCTTTAACCAGATTTACTAGCTGTTAACATTTGTTTTTTTTTGTTTTTGTTTTTGTTTTGTTTTGAGACGGAGTCTTGCTCTGTTGCCCAGGCTGGAGTGCAGTGGTGCGATCTTGGCTCATTGCAACCTCCACCTTCAATTCTTCTGTCTCAGCCTTCCGAGTAGCTGGGACTACAGGGGCGTGCCACCACGCCTGGCTAATTTTTTGAATTTTTAGTAGAGTTGGGGTTTCACCGCGTTAGCCAGGGTGGTCTCGATGTCCTGACTTCGTGATCCACCCGCCTCAGCCTCCCAAAGTGCTGGGATTACAGGCATGAGCCACTGCACCCGGCCAACTGTTAACATTTTACTACATATGCTTTATCATTCACGCATTCCACACATATATACATGTATGTGTGTACATTTTTTTCTCAGAATTATTTGATAATAAGTTGCATACATTATGTCACATTTTGCTTCTAAAGAGTTCAGTGAGGCAAGGTGTGGTGGCTCATGCCTGTAATCCCAGCACTTTGGGAGGCCAAGGAGGGCAGATCACTTGAGTCCAGGAGTTCAAGACCAGTCTGGGCCATCTCTACAAAAAATATAAAAATTAGCCATGCGTGGTGGTGCATGCCTATAGTCCCAGCTACCTGGGATGCTATAGTAGGAGAATCACCTTACCCTTGGAGGCTGAAGTTGCAGTGAGCCCTCCAGCCCGGGTGAGAGAGAGACACGGTCTCAAAAAAAAAAAAAAAAAACCCACTAATGTGAAATACCCATGTGAAAAGGGTATAAGAGCAGCTTTTGAAGGGGCTCTCACTTGCTCCCAATTTGAGGATCAAATGGAATTAGAACAGTAACAGATTATAGCCCATTGAGTAAAATAGGAATCCAAGAGTCCATCCTTATGCTGAATAGATAAATAGATGAGCGGATTGAGAAATGTGAAAGAAATGGTAGAATTGGAAAAATCACCATTTTGTAGCCATCCCAGTAAAGACAAGAATTGTCTTCCTTTAGGTAAGAATTATCAGTGTATGCTAACCCTGGGAAGAAGAGTTTTGCATGCATTGAGGAGGAGAGAGATTTTGAGAGTTTGATGAGGAGCAGGATATTTGCATATCTCAAGAGGTCTTCCTACTGAGCAGGTATCAATTGCAATGAGGAAAATAGTGACTATACAGCAGAGACAGTGGACAGTCCAGTTAATGAGAGTTCATCTCACCAATGAGGAGCAAAAGGCCATCATGTGCCTGCAGATGTAGTACCCTAAGAAAGACACAGCATCACCTGTATAGCATTTCAGTTGAGAATGCACAAGGGAATGTCACACATGCGCAGATTGAGAAGCATTTTATAATTCTTCAGAAATATCACCATGGCCAGGCTCCATGGCTCACACCTATAATTCCAGACTTTGGGAGGCTGAGGCAGGAGGATTATTTGAGGCCAGGAGTTCGAGTCCAGTGTGGGCAACATAGCAAGACCCTATCTCTGCAAAAAATTAAAAAAAGAAAGAAATTAGCCAGGTGTGGTGGTGCATGCCTGTAGTTCCAGCTATTCAGGAGGCAGAGCTGGAAGGATTGTTTGAGCCCAGGAGTTAGAGGCTGCAGTGAGCTATGATAGCACCACTGCACTCCAACCTCAGTGACAGAGTGAGATCCTGTCTCTAATTGAACTAAACTAAAAATAAAATAAATAAAATGAAATAAAACCCAAAAACCCCACATATATCATTGCCCTAAATGACAAAGACAGACGGAAGAACTTGTGAACTAACACAGACTAAAGAGACGTGAAAATGGAATGCAGTGCGCAATCTCAGACTGGATCCTGCACAGAAGATGGAAAAAATAATGTCAGAAAAGACTAATTGAGACAATCAACAGCTTGGAAATGGGTGATAGATGAGATCAAATTAGTTTAGATTTCATTATATCAGTGTTAACTTTCCCAATTTGATGACAGCAAGTGGAAATGTCAGAGAATATGATTATTCTTAGGAAATAAAAAATGAAGTGTTAAGGGGTAAGGGCATGATTCATGCAATCTACTCTCATATAGTTCAGGGAAAAAATAGTATGTTTTGCATAGAGACAACCACAAAGCACATTTGGCAAAATATTAAAAATTGATGGATTTGGGTAAAGAATATATGGGAGTTCTCAGTACTATTCTCTCAGCTTTTCTGCAAGTCTGAAATTATTTCAAAATAAAAAGTTAAAGCCAGGTGAAGTGGCTCACGCTTGTAATCCCATCACTTTGGGAAGCCAAGATGGGCGGATTGCTTGAGCCCAGGAGTTCAAGACCAGCCTGGGCAACATGGCAAAACCCCGTCACTACTAAAAAAATATAAAAATTAGATGGGTGTGGTGGCGTGCACCTGTGGTCCCAGCTACCCTGGAGGCTAAGGCAGGAGGATTGCTTGAGCCCAGGAGGTCAAGGCTGCAGTGAGCTGAGATCATGCCACACTGCATGCCAGCCTGTGCAACAGAGAAAGACCCTGTCTCAAAAAATAATAATAAAACAAATAATAATAAAACAATGATAGAATTGTTTACAAATTCTATCATTAAATGGATGGATAAGTGAGATGATAAAGTAAATGTATTAAATTGCTGGCTTTTGTAAAATCTAGGTGGTGAATAAATGCGTGTTTGTATAATTCTTTCAATATTCTTTATTTTTGAGCATTTTTATAATGAAATATTAAGGGGAAAAAAATCCTGTCTTTTAAAATCACAGTTTATGTGTAGCTGTGCTTAAGTGTTAACAAAAAATTTCTTGTTCTAAAGGGATTAGGTGCTTTATGCTTCAGAAACTATTTTAACCAGACAGCATTGCAGTGTCTTACAATGGTATGCCTTGGAGCATTGTTTATGATGAAGTTTTGAAGTCCTTTATTAGTTTTTTGCTTGACTGACCTAGTAAGCTGCCTAATTATGAAATGGGCACATAACGTTCTTCATGTTCTGTTTTTAGAACATGAGAGATTTTCTTTGGAAATTATTGAAACAGCAGTTTTTTTAGTGTAAACAAATTGTCAGTACATTTTCTTGATAGCAACCAGAGGTGGAGAGTTCTATTTTATTTAGAAACCGCATCTTCTTGGCTCTCCTGGACCAAGGCCCTGTCAGCCTTTCAGTCTGGACTGTGCATCGCAGAGTGAGGGGCGGTAACCATCAGTATCTGGGCATTTTTGAGGCAGACCTCACAGACTGTGCCACCATCCTTGGGTAATACCTTGGCCTTTAACTCTACCAGCACACTCTGTCCAAATCCTCTCCAGTGAATAATCAAGAAACACAGGGCCACACGATGATGTAGAATAGGGATTGGCCAACTACAGCCCATAGGCTATATGTAGCCTGCCACTTGTTTTTGTGAATAAAGTTTTATTGGCACAAATTCATTTAATGCACATTCATTTAATGTTGGCAATGGCTGCTTTTGCACTGCAATAGTGTTGAGTAGTTGTGGTGGACTGTAGGACGTTTATAGAAAAAGTTTGCCCACTATTCAAGGAATAACAATAGCTGACATTAATGGAGAACTTTCTAAAGGCGGGCACTGCACTCAGGACCTTCCACGAACCATTCCATTGAGTCCTTACTGCTTTGATCTCCAATTCACAGATGAGGAAGCTGAGACTGAGACTCAGTTACTTCCCCAGGACTATGAAGTAGGATGTACAGAGTCATTGGGCAAACTCAGCTTGAGACAGAGCCTACCCTAAGCCCAGTTCACCATTTGTTGAACAATCCAGGCTTACCTTATTGTAGTAATAATTGCAAATTATGAAAGGTGATTGCCTTTTTAAAAAAAAATTTAGGTTTTCCTGAGAGAATGTAAACCAGAAAGAAATTTTTAAAAATTAAGTTTTTAAAAATAATATTTTTGTTTGTTTGTTTTACAGCTTCAGTTAATAATTAAGAAAGTTATTGCCCACTTCCATGACTTCTCAGTTCTTTTCTCAGTGGTAAGTAGGATTTCTTAATTATCTTTGGAAATTTGTACCTGGCTCAGAGGTTCTCATTGTCTCAGTAATGTTTTCATGATGCCCCAGGCCAAAAGAAATATTCAGCAGTTCCTTTTATAAAGTAGTTAAGTCTGATCAACTTAAGTATTTATGTCCTAATAGATTAAGCCGTATTTGAAAAAATAATACACAAAAACTGAAAGAAAAATATTATTTCTGTTTCATTCCTTACTTATGGGATATGTATAAGTAAGGGCATTACACAACTTCTCAAACCTTCAAAACACTTTGGACAGCCTTCTCTTACTTTGCTCTTCCACAGTGATTTTCACAGGGCACTTGCTTTTTAATCACACAGCCTAATGTTGAAACTATGAAATACATTGACTAGTAGTTGTTTCAGTGTCTGACAGTTGAGATTTACCATGATTCCCTCAAAAATTTAAAATATCCTGCGATGTCTGTTCGAGTTTGTTCAGTGCCCTGGGCAAGTAGGGAATCTAGGTTATTCCCTGTATAGTAACATTCTCTGTCTCTCCCTTCACTTCCCTCTTCCAGGTTCCATTTACATGTGCTCACAAGATTGTAAGATTTTTTATTTTAATCATAGCAGCTAATATTTATTCGACATATACCACACTCCAAGCACTGTTCTGGGACTTTACATGTATTGCCTCACATTAGTTTCATACCACCACGGGGAAGTAGGAGTTATCACTGTAGTATTGCCTTCTTATCCAGGAGGAATATACATTCCAAGACTCCCAGGAGTTGCCTGAAACCGCAGATAGAACTGACTGCTGTGTATACTATGTTTTATCCTATACATACATACCTACGGTAAAGTTTCATATATAAATTAGGCACAGTAAGAGACTGACAACAATAGCTAAAATAGAACAGTTATAACAATATGCCAGCATTGCTACTCTTGCACTTTGGGAGCATCATTAAGTAAAATAAGTGTTCTTTGAACACAAAAATGCTGTGATACCATGACAGTGAATCTGATGACAAAGACAGCTGCTAAGTGACTAACGAGCAGGTAGCATCTACAATGTGGAGACGCTAGACAAAGGGATGACTCACAACCTGGGAGGGACAGAACAGTATAGCGTGAGATTTCATTACACTACTCTGAGCAATGCACAATTTCAAATGAATGGGGCTGGGCTTAGTGGCTCACACCTGTAAACCCAGCACTTTCAGAGGCCAAGGCAGGCAGATCACCTGAGACCAGGAGTTCCAGACCAGCCTGGCCAACATGGCAAAACCCTGTCTCTACTAAAAATACAAAAAATTAGCCAGGTGTGGTGGTGCATGCCTGTAGTCCCAGCTACTGGGGAGGCTGAGGTTGCAGTGAACCGAGATTGCACCAGGGCACTCGAGCCTAGACAACAGAGCGAAACTCTGTTTCAAACAAATAAAATGCAATAAAAATAAAAATGAAAATGAATGAAGTGCTTATTTCTAGAATTTTCTATTTAATATTTTCGGATGGCCGTTAACCGAGGATAACTGACACTATGGAAAGCAAAACCGCAGATAAGGGAGCAACTACCATATTCCCACTTTACAGATGAGAAAACTGATGCAGGAAGAGGTAGAGTAACTTGCTTACAGCCACACAGTCACCGAGGTTAGTATTCAGAGCCAGGCGGTCCAATTTCGAGGCCATCTGTGAACAGCTCTACTCTGACTCTTCTTCCATTGCTCATCAATATAATCACAAAAAGACTGAAGTCTGCCTTGCCCAGAAAAGCTTGTGGTCATCAAAGGTTGCCTGGATGGCTCACCAAAATGTTAACTGGTCCCAGCACCAATCCCTGGAATGCATATAAGTTGTTTTAATAGTAACAGCTTTTTATTTTGTTTGTTTGTTTATTTTTGAGATAGAGTCTTGCTCTGTCACCCAGGCTAGAGTGCAGTGGAGTGATCTCGGTTCACTGCAACTTCCGCCTTCCCGAGTTCAAGCAGTTCTCCTGCCTCAGCCTTCCAAGTAGCTGGGACTACAGGCATGCATCACCATGCCTGGTTTATTTTTGTATTTTTAGTAGAGACAGGGTTTCGCCATGTTGGCCAGGCTGGTCTTGAACTCCTGGCCTCAAGTGATCCACCCGCCTCAGCCTCCCAAAGTGCTGGGATTACAGGTGTGAGCCACTGTGCCCGGCCCAGTAACAGCTTTTTACAAGCCCAGTCAGGTCCTCTCCCTGATTTCAGAGGAGTCCTCATCTGACCCGACTCAGAGAGATGAACCTCTGTTCTGCTTCTTTGAACTCCACAGAAAAAGAGACCCACAGATTCCTTCCTTCCAATAACTTGTGTCATTTGCATATAGAGTGCTTGCTTTATTTATAGGAAAAATTTCTGCCGTTTCTGGACATGTTCCAAAAAGAGAGTGTGCGGGTGGAGGTTTGCAAATGCATCATGGACGCCTTTATCAAGTGAGTGCCACTGCGTGCAGCAGAAGCCTTGATTCCCAATGTCCTTGTGAAACCTGTTGATAAAAAATCAGTTCTTGCACTTTGAGGCCGAGTGATGTGTACGTATTTCATACAGAAAACCACACTGGAAGGAAAGCCACATTAAAAGCAGCAGTCTGATAAAAGTTTGTAATTCGTGTTTAAGAAGACAGAGTAGCAAGTGTTATCATGAGCCTGGCCAGAAAACCACACTGGAAGGAAAGCCACATTAAAAGCAGCAGTCTGATAAAAGTTTGTCATTCGTGTTTAAGAAGACAGAGTAGCAAGTGTAATCATGTGCCTGGCCAGCAGCTCCATTTTACTTTTGATATGTTTTTAGAAGGAGCAGTCTTTTGATAAATTCCCTCAAGAGTAACATTTTTAAGGATACAAATCAGGACATACATACTTACGAAGAAGGCACCGGTGCTAGAAAGGTTTTCATCTTCAGTGTTTAGTTATGTAGCTGACTAATGTGTGATCAGTTTTCAAATTTAGCTCTTTAACAAAAAAGAAAAAAAATCAAATTTAGTTCTTTTCATTTTTTTGATTAAGTCTGTGTTTCCCAAAACTGCCCGACTGCTAGTGGTACATGAAATAATTTTAAGGTGGTGCATGGAAAAAAGGTGTTTTTGTTTTTGTTTGGAGACAAGTTCTCACTTTGTCATCTAGCCTGGAGTGCAGTGGCACAATTACGGTTCACTGCAGCTTTGACCTTCTCATGCTCAGGTGATCCTCCCACCTCAGCCTCCCAGGTAGCTGGGACTACAGGTGTGCCCCACTACAACCCAGCTGATTTTTGCATTTTTTGTAGAGATGAGGTCTCTCTATGTTGCCCAGGCTGGTCTTCATCTCCTGGGCTCAAGCCATCCATCCACCTCAAAGTGCTGGGATTATAGGCGTGAGCCACCTCGCCTAGCTAGGGTTTTATTTTTATTTTATTATTATTTTTTTAATTTATTTTGAGGCAGAACCCTGCTCTGTCACCCAGGCTCGAGTGAAATGGTGCGATCTCAGCTCACTGCAGCCTTCACCTCCTGGGTTCAAGCAATTCTCCTGCCTCAGCCTCCCGAGTAGCTGGGATTATATGCACCCACCTCCACGTCCGGCTAATTTTTTTGTATTTTTTATAGAGACAGGGTTTCGCCATGGTGGCCAGGCTGGTCTCGAGCTCCTGGCCTCAAGTGATCCACCCGCCTCGGCCTCCCAAAGTGCTGGGATTACAGGCATGAGCCACCACACCCGGCCTGTTTTTATTTTTAGAGTTATATATTGATTTTAAATGTATTAGGCAGTTTATAACTAGTTTAATATGATTTCATTTACAATATATTATTTTTTAGGACAGGGTTAAGAAAAAAAAGCTAGTTACTTTAAATATTAGGTGTATAGATATGGTTCACTTTGGAAAATTGAGTTTGATATTGCTCAAATGTTTTAAGCTTTTCTTGTCATCTTTCTAAAAGATTAATTCCTTCCTAAGGATTAATATTAATTCCTAATTAATATGCTTGGAATAAATATACCTAATTTACTTACCTAAAGATTTGTTTTAAGAGCTTGCCCTTTTATATTATTTGAAAAACCAAATGAATAATTTTGCCTGGCAAAATTCGCCTGTTAAGAACACAGTGACAGGTTTTGGGCAGCTTCAGAAGGTATAAGAAGCATAGTTAAAAACAAACAAACAAAAACAGGTTTGCCCTTAGCCCACCTGGTTTAGGAAGGGGAACAGTTTTTCTGTGATTTTGCAGTTAGGAGAAGTTATCATGTGTATAGAAGAGCAAACTTGTTATTTAAAGAATTCTGGGCCAGGTGCGGTGGCTCACGCCCGTAATCCCAATACTTTGGGAGGCTGAGGCAGGTGGATCACCTGAGGCCAGGAGTTCGAGAGCAGCCTGGCCAACATGGTGAAACCCTGTGTCTACCAAAAATACAAAAATTAGCTGGGTGTGGTGACGCACGTATGTAATCCCAGCTACTTGGGAGGCTGAGGCAGGAGGATCACTCCAACCCAGGAGGCAGGGGCTGCAGTGAGCTGAGGTCACATCACTGCACTCCAGCCTGGGTGACAGAGTGAGACTCTGTCTCAAAAGTTTAAAAAAGAATTCTGAGACAACCAGAGAACATGGCTCGTTACTGGTAAACTGGGCTGGGTGAAATGCCAGCTGGATAATTTGCTGCTTTTCAAGTGTGTACAGTGGATGAAAACTGAATCCACTCTTGCAGTGCTGTCAGTGGACAAAACTTTGACTTTTATCTTTAAATGTCTCCTAGGCATCAACAAGAGCCCACCAAGGACCCGGTCATCTTGAATGCCCTTTTGCATGTTTGCAAGACCATGCATGACTCTGTGAAGTAAGCCATGCTTACAGCTGAAATATAACATGGATTGGGTCTTAATGCCACCTAATAGGACATTAGGGAATGACTGCTTTAAGCTGCCACTGTGAATAATATTACTTTATTGGGAGTATTAAGATTTTTGCTAACGAGGACATTCCAATCCAGGAGAGGAAGGAGGCTGAGGTTAACCTTCTTGAGAAAGCGACGTGGCAGATGTTGTTAGAAAGGAGTTTATGTTGCGGGTAAAAAGCTGGTTCCATTCAAGTGAACTCAAACTCCATGTCTCTTGGAGATTTCTGAGAGCAGCAGATAGTGTAATAATGAGCTCACTCATCCAGTAATATAGCCTTTTTATTTCATCTCTATATTAGCCAATTATTTGAAATTCAAATGAAACTGCTTGAGGCTGAGACCTATCCACAGGCATTACCTTTCAGTCAAAGGCTGAATAGTCACTGCCTTCTGGTTTTTGTTTGTTTATTTTTAAAATATGTTTTCGTTTGACTGTGCTTAGGGCAATTCCTGCTTATTTGTGGCTGAAATTTTAGTCCCCCAAGAATTTTTAAACACAGCAACTTGATTTACTGGAAAATGTTACAAGAATGGAGAAAATTGTTTTGGAACTTAACCATCAACAAGATGAACTGTATTTCTTCTTTGTTTTCTCTGCATTTTAGAATCTTCACTTCCATGATTTTTTGTGCTTTCAAATTCATGGGTAGTTACAAAAATCAAAGTGTCGAGGCATTTCATAAAAATGGAACCGGTAGACTTTAGTTGGACAAAAATAGAAATAAAGACACAAAAAGCATCCAGAAAGGCACTTAGATTCGTGAGACATTGGGTTTTGGCTTAAGTAAAATAGAATGTTGATTTCTCTCTTGTTAAAATTGTGCATAGTAGACAGACCAGAAGGTAGGGGTAGGGCAGCTCTTCTTTCAAACATCATCCAGGGACCCAGGTTATTTCTGTCTTATTGTTCTCCCAGTCTATCTGGGGTGTTGTCCTTATCTTCTTCCTGGAAGCTGATGTACCTCAACCATGTCCACGTTCCAGCCTGTGGGCATTGGGGAACAGCAGCTTTCTTTTAGGGACAAAGCTGGGAAGGCTCACACATCATATCCCATTGTTCAGAACTGTCCCATAGCCACCCCTAGCTGGGAAGGAGGCTAGGGAATGTTGTTCTAAGAACAAAGTGGGGCTGGGCATGGTGTCTCACACCTGTAATCCCAGCACTTTAAGAGGCCAAGATGAGTGGATCACCTGAGGTCAGGAGTTTGAGATCAGCCTGGCCAACATGGTGAAACCCCGTCTCTACTTTAAAAAAAAAAAAAATACAAAAAATTAGCTGGGCGCCTTGGAACGTGCCTGTAATCCCAGCTACTTGGGAGGCTGAGGCAGGAGAATCGCTTGAACCTGGGAAGCACAGGTTGCAGTGATCCAAGATCATGCCATTGCACTCCAGCCTGGGCAACAAGAGCGAAACTCCATCTCAAAACAAAAACAAAAACAAAAAAGAACGAAGTGGGCATTTGTATTGAAGGACAGTGGGCAATCTTTGCCAAAACATTTTCTCCGAGAACAAACCAACAAACAAAAACCTTGACTCCTGTTTTCTCTGGGCTCTTAAAAATTTTTTTTTTAAATAACTTTGGGGAACTATTTATTCCCCAAATAACTATTTATTTAACTATCCAAGTATAATCAAAACTGTAATGACTTTTTCTTATTTATATTTGTGTTACATTTTCTATTAAATAGAAGCAACTGAGACCTGAGATTTACTTTACAATGTATCAAAAAAATAAGATGGATTGATGGATGGAGAGGGGAATGGATAATTATGTGTAAAACAAGTAAAATGGTGATGGCAGGATTTCGATGGTGTATGGGTGTTTACTGGAAAATTCTTTCAACTTTGCTGTACATTGGAAATATTTCTGTTTCCTTTTTGGGGAGAACGGGGTCTCGTCATGTTGCCCAGGTTGATCTCCAACTCCTAGGCTCAAACGAACCTGCTACCTCTGCCTTCCTAAGTGCTGGGATTACAGGTGTGAACCAGCACACCCCGCTGGAGATTTTTTAAATAAAATATTCAATGAAATTTCCCTGAAATACAAAATTTGACATTAGACCTTGCTGCCCAAGTTCCAAAGAAGTGAAAGTTACCTTTTCTTTTCTTGTTAATAAATCTATCTTGAGAACAGCATATTTGAGGGAGATGAGAAACATATTTAAATTATGTTAATTGTGATTATGTATTTTTATCAAAGGAAAAATAAGCAGCCTGTTGGCAGTTTTTTAAATCTAGAAAATGCAAAATGTTCTTACCTGTTAAATTACTTACCCCTTGTGTATTTTTTTCTTTAGAAACTTTCATCTATTACCTCCGTGTTAATTATGTACAATTATTGATTTTAGTGCACTCACTCTTGAGGATGAGAAAAGAATGCTGTCATATTTGATTAATGGATTTATAAAAATGGTAAGTATTAGGGAAGAAGTTTCAGTGCACTTGGAAGTGTGATGTAATTGTTTATCCTTATGTTGGCGAAAGCAGTTAACATTATGTTCTCTGGTGCTTTTCATTCTTAGTGAGATAAAATGAAATTAGAAAACATCTTACATTAGCCAGGACTCCCCTGGGGGCAAAGAGAGCCAAGACAAACTGGCTTAAGAGGAAAAAGGTGGGGGGCGGGAGGGTGATGGGAGGAGGGATTTCTTGGCTCATGTGACAAAAAGTCCAGGGGCTGGAACTCTCCAAAGCAGCAGCCGGGCTCAGGGTCTCCGGGATGTCATCAGGACCTGCCTTCCCTGTCTTTTTTCTTTTTTTTTTTTTTTTTGAGATGGAGTCTCGCTCTGTCGCCCAGGCTGGAGTGCAGTGGCGCGATCTCAGCTCACTGCAAGCTCCGCCTCCCGGGTTCACGCCATTCTCCTGCCTCAGCCTCCCGAGTAGCTGGGACTACAGGCGCCCGGCACCACGCCCGGCTAATTTTTTGTATTTTTAGTAGAGACGGGGTTTCACTGTGTTAGCCAGGATGGTCTCGATCTGCTGACCTCGTAATCCGCCCGCCTCGGCCTCCCAAAGTGCTGGGATTACAGGCGTGAGCCACTGCACCCAGCCCCCTGTCTGTCTTTAGCCCTGGGCTCTGCCCTGTTGGCCTCCGGCTCAGCTGGGCTTGCCCCACCAGAGCTCCAGGTTTCCATCCCCCCCAGCTCTGCAGCCCAGCAGGTGGGATTCCAGCAAAGTCCTGGGATTGAGTCTCTTTGGATTAACATGGGTCGTGGCCCCAAGCACACCTGGGTGACCTGAGTCAGGAGGGCCGAGAGTGGAAAGAAGGTGTGTCCTGAAGCAGCTGATGCAGATCATCAGACGGTGATGGAAACTATGCCGGGCAGGCAAAACGCCAGATATCCACTCCCCATCTGTTTTACTTATCTACTGCTGAGTAACAGCTCATCCCAAAACTTAGTGGCTTTAAATAACAGGGCTTTTTTTTGCTGTTTTTTTTGGGGGGGTCGAGACAGGGGTTTCCAACTCCTGGTTTCAAACAATCCTCCAGCCTTGGCCTCCCACAGTGTTGGGATTACAGGCCTGAGCCACTGCGCCCAGCATGAGTTTTTTATTAGTTCTCAAACTCTGCGGATCAGCTTGGTAACCAGGCTGCTACAGGGAGTGTGGTGTGGCACTGGCGTGGCACGATTGGGCTGGAGGATCCACAGTGGCCTTGTTCCCTTCTCCAGGGTTTTGGTGCTGGATATGGGCTGGGGCATCTTGGTTTTCTTCCATGTCCTCTCTTTCTCACCACTGTTCTCAGTCAGTGATTCCAGTTGAGCTCTCTTACTTGGTGCTGCCTTCTATGAAGGCACAGACAGAAGCAGCAAGGCATTTTAAGGCCAAGGCTTAGAAATCACACAGTGAGGCCAGGCGCGGTGGCTCACATCTGTAATCCCAGCACTTTGGGAGGCTGAGGCAGGTGGATCACCTGCGGTCAGGTCGAGACCAGCCTCACCAACATGGTGAAACCCTGTCTCTGCTAAAAATACAAAATTAGCCGGGTGTTGTGGTGCATGCCTGTAATCCCAGCTACTCGGGAGGCTGAGGCAGGAGAATCGCTTGAACCCGGGAGGCAGAGGTTGCGGTGAGCCAAGACCATGCCACTGCACTCCAGCCTGGGCAACAGAGCAAAACTCTGTCTTGGGAAAAAAAAAAAAGAAATCACACAGTAAACCCCTGCCATATTCTACTGCAATCTGTGGGTCAAAGCAAATCACAGTCTTGAGGGGACCCAGTCTGGAGGGGAAGAGGCTCTGCCTTTTGATGGGGGGTAGTCCACAGAGACATTGCAGAAGGGCAAGCACAGTGGGAAGGTTTCCTGCAGCCTCCTTTGGGAACATCCCACCATTATACTATCCCAGCCTGAACAGTCTTCACCTTCATTCTGGGTGCTCTAAGCCAAAACACCAACTGCTGCAAATATCTTCTATTTTAATAGAAAAGTCAGGACCAAAGCTGACTGAGATGAAAATGACGAGATCACTTTGAAAATAACCTTGAAATTCTGACTTGTTCAATAGTGCGGGTTGATTAGTCTACCTGACTCTGCGGGTAAAATATCAATTTTGATGAAAATTCAGGATTAGCCTTTCAATTCCCGTGTTAGGAAACAGACATATGGATTTTCCCAAGTCGCTCTCCTTTGCCCTTGCTTTTTGTACTCATCATGTGGTATTTATCTTTTTACGGCATTGTCTGAAAGTTACCAAGTTATTATGGAAAAGAATATAAGGAAATCAGATATGAAACATGATAGCTGTAATGGAAATGGCAATGTTAAACCTCATCTGGACAAAAATGATTGATGTACAGTAAAGTTTTTCTTACTAACCAGCTATTCATAAATTTGAAGAAATAGGAGAAGAGAGGATGTTTAATGGTGGAAAAACTTCCATCTATGGCTTCTGTAGCCACCAGTGAGCTGCCAAGGTTGGGTCCCCATCAGGAAGCAGAAAGGTGTGACTGTTACGATGGCAAACCTTCTGACAAGGGGCCCCCAATAACCACATTTATGTTCTGTGAAAAGGCCACAGCTGACAAACAATATCCCATTATTCCCTTTCCAGTGGTTTCCTTCAGAGTCTGGAAAATTCTGCTTACACTCTGAGCTTCTGTTTTATACCCTTCGACTTCTTAGGTTCTAGTCCAGTGCCCACGTCATAAAGATGAGGTGGCAATAATAATATTTCAGTCATACCATGTGCCTGCGTTCTCTCTAAAAATACCACTGTCCCTTTCAGCGTCTTTCTCCTTGATTCTAGGTTTCCTTTGGCCGTGATTTTGAACAACAGCTGAGTTTTTATGTTGAGTCCAGGTCGATGTTTTGCAATCTGGAGCCTGTTCTTGTGCAGTTGATTCATGTAAGTATTTTCATTCATTAGTTTCTTCTCTCAGTAAATATTTATTGATCATCTACATCCCAATCATTTATTTTGATTTTATTTTATTAGAGACAGGGTCTCACTCTGTCACCCAGGCTAGAGTGCAGTGGCGCAATCATAGCTCACTGTAGCCTTGAACTCCTGGGCTCAAGCAATTCTCCCTGTCTCAGCCTCCTGAGTAGCTGGGACTACCAGCTCAAGCCACGATGCCCAGCTATTTTAAATTTTGTTTTGTGTTGTTTTTTGAGAGATGGGGTCTCTGTGTTGCCCAGGCTGGTCTCAAATTCCTCACATCCAGCATTCCTCCTGCCTTGGCCTCCCAAAATGCTGGGATTACAGGAAAGAACCACTGCGCCCACCCTTAATCTGGGTTTTTTCTGGTCCTATTTTGTTACTCTTCTCTATGGTATGAAAGGTGGTTTCTCAAAGGTTAATAAACTTACAACTTTGGTTTTATTGATCTGTTTTTCTGTGAGATTTGCATTTTCCCATTTCTGCCTGCCAGCAACAGAGGTAAGTGATTTACAATGATTAGTTACAGAAATCTAACCAGAAGGAGCCCCTTCTTACGTAACAAGAGGTTCCCTACTTTCTTGGATCATGGCAACTCTCAGTAACTTTTTATGGTGCCCTCAGACCAAAAGAATTAATAACAGCCCTGTTTATTAAGAAGTTAGGTTCAGGCTGGATGTGATGGCTCACACCTGTAATCCCAGCACTTTGGGAGTCTGAGGCTAGCAGATCACTTGAGGTCAGGAGTTTGAGACCAGCCTGCCCAATATGGTGAAATGCTGTCTCTACTAAAAATACCAAAGTTAGTCAGGCGGGGTGGCAGGCACCTGTTGTCCCAGCTACTTGGGAGTCTGAGGCAGAAGAATCGCTTAAATCTGGGAGGTGGAGGTTGCAGTAAGCAGAGATCGCGCCACTGCACTCTACACTCTAGCCTAGGCAACAAAGGGAGACTCCATCTCAAAAAAAAAAAAAAAAAAAAAAGTTAGGTTCAGACAACTTAAGTATTTATGTCTAACAACTTGACAGCCATTTGAAGAAAGTATATATATAAATTGAAAGAAAAATAATACTTTTTTTTCCTTTTCTTTTTGAGCTGGAGTTCTTGCTTTGTTGCCCAGGCTAGAGTGCAATGGTGCGATTTTGGCTCACTGCAACCTCCACCTCCCGGGTTCAAGTGATTCTCTTGCCTCAGCCTCCCGAGTAGCTATAATTACAGGCACCTGCCACCATGCCCGGCTAATTCTTTGTATTTTTTAGTAGAGATGAGGTTTCACCATGTTGGCCAGGCTGGTCTTGAACTCTTAACCTAAGGTGATCCACCTGCCTCGGCGTCCCAAAGTGCTAGGATTACAGGCATAAACATCAAGCCCTGCCAATTTTTTTCTTAACCATAATTAGTAATGATGGGTGTGTACTTATGAAGCATATCACAGCTTCATAAAATTTTGGAGTTAGATTGGTGATGCTATTCTTATTTCTTGTTTTACATTCACTGTTTTTTACATTTATTCTTGCACAGCGATTAAACTTGCTTTTGATCACAGTAGCCACGAAAAACAAGTTTTACAAATATATGATGTGGCTATAAGGGATGTAAAGCAGTCCATCATCAAATCAGCCTTGCACCAGTGCTTTTTACAACGTGCAACAAACAAGTATTGCTGTTTACAATGTGCGACAAACAAATATTCCCTAAAAAACGGTGGCGCCCCTGTGAGTTTGCTGCAGCACCCCAGGGTGCCATGGTGCACCGTTTGGGAACCACAGGTCCAAACTTTTTATATCTGTGGAAGGGTTCCCTAAGGCTCTTTCATTATTTCATGTCTATTCAAGGAGAATAACTTTCATATGTATTTGTTTGCTGGTTAGCAAGTTATTTAGCACAACTAAACTTAAGACCTAAATTTAGAAACTATCTGGAAATCAGGGGAGGTAATAGTATCCACCCTGGGATTATGAAGCTTAAGTGAACCAATGAATGTATAGCTCTTAAATAGTGCTTGGAACACTATTAGTGATGATGTGGCTACTATCATTATTGTTCTTATTGTTGGTACTGTATAGCTGAATGGTGTGGTCTGATTGTCTAAATGGTGTGCTTTGGAGTTGTCTCTTAAGATTTCTAAATTCTTAAACTTTGGTGTGGTAGGATTTCTGGAAATGGAGTAAGTGAGCCCCAGCTATTCATTAAGCCAGAAAATGGTCACTAAAATGCTGATCAAAAGGCATGACTGACGTAGCCAACACTGCCTTTTGTTCTACCCTCTTGGAGATGTTTGCTCAAGCCATGATTGGATCAGGCCTGATGACCCCTTTGGCATTTCAAGGTTTAGTGCTAACCAGTCTTGGTCCTAGAAAGCTTGTTCTCATTGACCTGTATGTAGTTAATGTTGAGATCTCTATGGAAGACACTCATCTGAATCGGCCATCGCTTCATTACCATTTCTATTTTATTAATAAATTCAGAGTGTGAACCGGTTGGCAATGGAGACAAGAAAAGTAATGAAAGGAAATCATTCCAGAAAGACAGCTGCATTTGTCCGGGTATGTTCTTAAGATAAGGACTGTTGGACCTCGAACTCCAGTGGGCTGTTTAGTTTGCAGGTTACTAAATTACATTTCCCAGAAAAAGATGAGTATGTCATGATAAGAATGGTTTAGTATTGATTTTTCAGATTAATTTTTCCCTGTATCTATGGGATGAGCCATTTTCTAATGTTTTCAAGAGAAATGGTTAAATGAGTCTGAATTTTAATACGTGTTGTGGGGAAGGTGAATGAGCGATGGATCTGCATTTTTATGTGCCAGCTGAATTAGCTTTCATTTTCTCTAATATACTAATATAAGACATATTTTATAACATTATAAAATATAAAATAGTTTTCTAATATAAAAATATGTATAATAATATTGTTCTTGTAACTGAAAGGCCTTTTTTCCTCTAGATAATAATGATGCCCAACTTTGTTTTTGTTTTTCTTGAGACGGAGTCTTGCTCTGTCACCCAGGCTGGAGTGCAGTGACGTGATCTCGGCTCACTGCAACCTCCGCCTCCCAAGTTCAAGCGATTCTCCTACCTCAACCTCCTGAGTAGCTGGGATTACAGACGCGTGCCACCATGCCCAGCTAATATTTTTGTATTTTTAGTAGAGATGGGGGTTTCACCATGTTGGCCAGGCTGGTTTCGAACTCCTGTCCTCAAGTGATCTGCCCGCCTCGGCCTCCCAAAGTGCTGGGATTACAGGCGTGAGCCACCACACCTGGCCTGATGTTAAACTTTGAAAAATCATTTTCAGCTTCTTGAAGCTGAAAATTTTATCAGATGTGATGCTGCTCAAAATTTATTTAGCTATTCATTCATTTATTTATTTTTGGAGACAGGGTCTTGCTCTGTCACCCAGGCAGGAGTGCCGTGGCACCATCATAGCTCACTGTAACCACCATATCCGGGTAATTTTTTTGTTTTTTGTAGAGATGGGGCATATCACTAGGTTGCCCAGGCTGGTCTTGAACTCCTGGCCTCAAGTGATCCTCCTGCCTCAGCCTCCCAAAGTGTTGGGATAACAGGTGTGAGCCACCGCACCCAGCCCTGCTCAGAATTTTAAGAAAGAAATATGTGTCTGTGTTTTTAAACATGAAATTATACTGAAAAGATTACAGTAAAAAATAAGCATCCTGGCTCTGCCCTTTGTCACCTTGCTTCTCTTTCCTCAGTTAGCCACCTCAAACTCTTTAGCAACTGTTTCTAATTACCTCCATATTTTTAAGCAATTGGTTTAAACAGCTGTCTCTCAATTTATCAATGTTAGGTGTTACGTATTTACTTCCCGTGATGGTGGGTGAGGATTTGTTTTTCCTGCATTATCACTCACTCCCCTCACACCCCTGTCCTCCTAGAGGGTCATCAGAGCAGAGTTGTACAAGAGGGGAAAATGGGGCTCAGAATGTGGAGATTCACTGTTGTAAGTTTCTTTCCTTGGAAATACATGAGGGATGAAAACAGGAGTATGATTCTGCCACCGTTGCACTGCTAGCGTTAATGTTTCTTCCCTTCTCCTAGGCCTGTGTTGCCTACTGCTTCATCACCATCCCCTCCCTGGCGGGCATCTTCACACGTCTCAATCTCTACCTGCATTCTGGTCAGGTGGCCTTGGCCAACCAGTGCCTCTCCCAAGGTAAGTCCATCATTCTCTCATCTCGGGCACTCCCTTGCTGCTTAGGAAAACTGACTCAGGTGTGTGCGTATGTGTGTAGAGAGAGACAAAGATTTCTTTTTTTAGAGACAGAGTCTCACTCTGTCACCCAGGCTGGAATGTAGTAGTGCAATCATAGTTTCCTGTAACCTCGAACTCCTGGGCTCAAGCAGTCCTCCTGAGTAGCTGGGACTGCAGGCGCACACCACCACACACAGCTAATGTTTTTATTTTTATTTTTTATAGAGATGGAGTTTCGTTTTGTTGCCTGGGCCTGTCTTGAACTCCTGGGCTCAAATGTTCCTGCTTCCCACCTGGGCTCAAATGATCCTCCCAAAGTGCTGGGGTTACAGGCCTGAACCACTGTGCTCAACCAAGAGAGATTCCTTTAAGGAGGAAAGAAAAAAAAAGATGAATAAATGATGAGTTTTAAATTTGTTTCTCCGCTAGGAAGCACATTGGACACATATGCATTTATAGAGTCAGACAGATCATAGAGCACAGATAGCTTCCTGTAAGAACCTTCTTAAATCTGTCTAGGACAGACCGGGTCATGCAGCTCAGACATCCTGAGCTCAGCACACCTGGAGAAAGTGAGACATGAGGACTGCTTCACAGTGGTAGATTCATGTTTGTTTGTTGTTGTTGTGGATGTTTGTGTGTTTGAAACCCCAGAAACACACAAGTACCATCTAATCTGTGATAGAACAAATACCCTACAGTTTGCTGTTACAGATAGTTTCTGCCCAAGACTGGTCTTTCCGTACTAGACACCAAAGCCATCCATTAGGCAAGGATGCTCAGGATCATTTATTTGGGAGAAGGTGATCTCAGTGATATCAGAAGAGTGATGTGAGATGAGACAGGGAAGGAAAGGAAGCCAGAAAAATAGGAACCATTGAACAGGTCGTTCCTGTGGGCAGCTGAAGCTCATTCCCATCTGGGAGGTGTTGTCAGACAGCCAGTGTTTCTCCATCTGAAGGGCAAGGAAGACAGGTGATTTTCCCTTTATTCTCATCTGTCATTGACAGAGTGCTGCTTCTAGGATATTAACCCCCTGGCATTCTGGCCTGCTCCACACTTGAGCCAAGAGAAGGCACTCAGGTGGAAAGCCCAAGTGTTTGCTGCAGGACACCCTGGTTACCTACTGCAACGGTGTACGCCAAGGGCCTGCAGGCAGGTTAGCAACAGGGTACCCACCCTGCAGGCCGTAACACAGAGGGTAAAAGAAATCTTTACGCGACATTTATGGAGTGTTTGTTATGTGGCAAGCCCTTTGCACAAGTTATCTCATTTCATCCTCCCAGAAGCCACATGGGGCCGGTGCTGTGGCTGGTGCCTTATTACCCAGGTGAGTAAACTGAGGGAGAGAGTGGCCAACTAACTTGCTTGGGGTAGATCCACTCCTGAGTCACTGAACCAGCTCTCAGCCCCTGATCTGTCTGGCTCAAGGCCATGCCCCTTCACCACTGCATTGACTGGGAAGCCTAAAGGAATGCCGGGGCAGTTCCATAGCGCCATAGGAGGTGGACTGAGGTTTTCAGTGGTGGTTCTTTTCCTGACACAACTGCACAGATTATGCCAAGGCTGGCGCCTCACCACTTGTTGCCATTGTCTTCGTAGGGCATTCTGGGCCAATTGGAGAGTGATCACTTCTCCATTCTTTGAACCACTGCCATGGAAGTTTTGGGGATCATCTGTGTCATGATTCAACTGGAGCAGCTCTGGGCAGTGAAGTCTTCATACATGGTTACTGCCCAGGAACCTTTAAAACTCGGCTTGGTTTTGCTTCTAACTCATGGGGGACTTCAGTAGCTTCTGAGTGCAGCTGAACACTTGCCTCTTGATTTCCCCTGTGAGCTGGTGCCTGCCCACCTCCATCCTCAACCACCTGCATCCTCATCTCCCATTTGCTTTAGTCACACAGGCCTGCTTCTGTTCTTTGAACACACTCAGTGGTCTCCCAGTTCAGAGCCTTTGTGGCTTTTTTCCCTCTTTCTACAATGATCTTTCCCCAGATAGTTGTATTTTTTTTGAATTACAAGGCAGATGGTGAGAACAAGCCACAGCTCCTTACGGAGGCCTCTGCTGGCCACTCTAGCTAGAGTAGCCGCCCTGCCCTACTCTGTCACCCCTGCAGCATCAACCTCATTATCATTGTTGCACACTCCACAATCCGATGCTTTCTTACTGTGTTTGTTTACTTGCTTATTGTCTCTGATACCCCCTCTCCCCACTAGGACAGGCACGTGTCCTCACTAGGACAGGCACGTGTCTTCATTGTGTGTAGGTCAACATGGAACTTTCTCCTACTGCTTGCTTTGGTAAGAATGATGGGTTATCGGGAGGCTGAGGCACAACAATCGCATGAACCTGGGAGGTGGAGGTTGCAGTGAGCCGAGATCGCACCACTTGAGCAACAGAGCAAGACTGTCTTGAAAAAAAAAAAAAGAAAGAAACAACAATGGGTTAGTGAGAAACAAAACAAAAATTAACAGTCACCACCAAAAACCTAGTGATGCACAGGATGAAAATTAGAAGACGCTTCCTTGGATATTAGAAATTTTAAATCTGCTTATAAATGGGTTCCTTCTTTAAAAGCTCAGGAATGGTGGACCTAGGTAGGCACACCTGAGTTGGTTTTACCTGCAATACTAGGAACAAATTGTGAGCTGCAGATACCAAAGCTATGACACCACTTACCAGAACTGCAAGGGGAGGCTTTAGAAGCCTAGATCTTTCTTCTTCCCATGTTATAAAATCAGGACCATGGATCTGAATGTTGTGGATCTTGGGAAATTTATAATTAGATCCCATGTAGGGCTTTATGATAATTTTTTTTGAAAAAGCAAAACAAAAATTCTCTACCTGGATAAAGGTATCCCCCTTATCAAAGATTTGGTGCTCCCAAGAACTGTTGAAGGAGAGCTGTAAGTAGTTTCTCCCTGTTGTGCTTCCTATAACGTCCTCGGTCCCCACTGAGGGACAACTGGTGTGAGAACAGCCCCATATACTGTGCATGGATAAAGACAGCATCCTCGGTGTCAGGACTCTGGGCTCCTTGTCTGTCTCCCCTGTCACTTTTCAGCTACTGCAGGAGAGTGGGAATGTGGAGTCCACTTCATGTTTAATAATTTATCTGATGATTTTTACTCAAGTCTCTAAATGCTGTGGCGCTAAACCTTAAAAGCCTATTATTTTTCTCCTGAAAGCCACAGGCAGCAATTGCTGGCCAAAATAAATAATGCATTCAATTACTGAGAATGAGAAGGCTAAATATAAATTAAATGAAGCTCATGGAAATGCGCTGCTTTTGTTTGCCTCCCTAAACATCCTCCCCTTGCAGCTGGTTATAAAATGTCCCCGTCCCTCCAGTTCATTTTGTTGCCTCCCTTAATCCGGCCTTGGTTGTATCTTCTTTGGCAGGCTGTGGCTTTCCCAAGGCTGGGTCCATCCCGACAAGTAAACTCCTGTTGAACCCTCAGGCAGGCTGGCGCAGGATGCTGATGAGGGCTTGTTGCAGGGGAGGCCTGGTTCTGTTCCTTTGTACACACCGGTGCTGTGCATAGACTGGATTGTGCAGGGATTTGGCACGCATGCTTGTGCCCACCACCCCAGAGTATTTAGGAGAAATGAAGGACTTGCAAGCTAGAGATTTGGTCGATCAGATGCTTCTTAACTGGAGATGGCCTAGCAATGTCTCTCTTTTCTTTCAGTCCCTTCTCTAGGTAACTTCTTGCCCTTGTTTGTCAATGGCTCTTTCTAGAAAATTATTTCCAGGCCACAGCAAGAGCAGGTTCTTTTCTCCTTTATTTTTACCTTTGTTTCTTTATCTTTACAGTTTATAATCTAGAAAAGGTACGTGTTTTACGGGCTAGGCGTGGTGGCTTATGCCCATAATCCCAGCACTTTGGGAGGTTGAGGTGGGCGGATCACCTGAGGTCAGGAGTTCAAGACCAGCCTGGCCAACATGGTGAAACCCCGTCTCTACTAAAAATTAAAAAAATTAGGCAGTTGTGGTGGTGTACTCCTGTAATTCCAGCTATTCAGGAGGCTGAGGCACGAGAATCGCTTGAACCCAGGAGGCAGAGGTTACAGTGAGTCAAGATATCACCACTGCACTCCAGCCTGGGCAACAAAGCGAGACTCTGTCTCAAAAAAAAAAAAAAAAAAGAAAGAAAAAAGAAAATGGGGGCATTTTACAATGGAAGTATGTTTAAGGTGGGTCTTAAAAGAAGAACATGTGTTTATGAGAACATGGGAAGGGAAGAAGGAAGGATTAGCATTCCTGGTTGAGTAAATGGCCTGAGCAAAGGCATGGAGATGTGGAATTACATGATGTATTTGGCCAACAGCAGAATGTTGGGATGAGGCCCTAATTAGTACTGACTTTCAAGTCTTCTGCTTGCATTGGTCCCAGTCCTGACTCTGCCACCTACAAGCCAGGTGCTCTTGGATGACTCGGCCTTTCTGTCCTGTTTCCCCATCTGTAAAGTGGAGACGATGACAGTGGTACCTATCTGTTGAGTGTTAAATGAGAAAATGGCCTTAGAGCACTTGGCCCACCGGCACATAGTAGCTGCTTAGTAAGTATTATCTTAGTATAAACATCTCTCAAATGATGAAAGTATGCCATGGGTTTTAGGAGCTAACTGTATACAGTACGTTGAGAGCTGTTTGATTTTATAGTTAGAAAGCCAGATTATTTTTCATATGCAAAGCATTGGGGAAGCTGTAGGAAACTTAATCTTTGTTTTGAGACAAACTGATGAATTATGCTAAAAAGACTTGCGGTTCCTCCAAAGCTGAAACAAGATAGAACAATTAAAGAGAGATAGTGGTCAAAAGAACTTGTTTTTTTTTTTTTTTTTTTTTGAGGCAGAGTCCTGCTCCGTCGTCCAGGCTGGACTGCAGTGGCGTGATCTCTGCTCGCTGCAACCTCCGTCTCCCAAGTTCAAGTGATTTTCCTGCTTCAGCCTCCCAAATAGCTGGGACTACAGGCGTGCACCACCACACCGGGCTAATTTTTGTATTTTTTAGTAGAAATGGGGTTTTACCATGTTGGCCAGGCTGGTCTCAAACTCCTGAACTCTGGTGATCCACCTGCCTCAGCCTCCCAAAGTGCTAGGATTACAGGCATGAGCCACCGTGCCCAACCAAGAATGATTTTATTATCATTAATAATCATGCTTTTCCCACCTTCTGTAGGGATCTCCCCTGTTCTTTTAGAACTTACTTTCTTTTATTTTTTGCATCTTCATCCTTCAGAGCTGGGTTCATATGTCATGTCTTTAGAAAAACCATCCTTGGCCTTCCCATTTCTGCAGATAAACAGAAAGTTAGGTCAGGTCATCCTGTACGATATATTATCCGCTCACCTGTGCTTTTTCTCCATTATGCTTATCACTGTTATTTAACAAGTAAATATGTAAGTAGTTGTCTGCTTTTCCCCCTGTAAGCGCATCACCTCCATGAGGTCCTGTCTGTCTGGTTTACTCAAAAAGTTTGAGATTTTGGAGCACTTTGGATTTCAGATGAGGAATGTTCAACCTGTATATGGAGCCCCTGGCTACCACAAACTGTAATGGCTAATGGAAATAGCCAGGGCCATGATGTGGGAGAGAAAAATTATTTTGCATTTCCTCTTCCTGGAGAGTCAAGAATGGCTTGTGAAGGAGAAAAATAGTTTTCACACATTTACCAGGTCTTGGCGATTTATGTTTAAGTTCCTATTTAGTTTAGTTAACAGAACATCCTTTGAAGAGTGTTTGATTTGATTGTTTTCTCCAACCCTGAGGCCTCTTTGGTGAATGCAGACAAAGTAGGTTATTTTAGTTGGAACAGTTCACAGCAGGGCAGATGGCATCAAGCTTGTCGCCCACGTTCACATCTGTCCACACATGATCCATCCATCTTAGGGAGTGTCAAGGCCTGGGAAGGATGGCAGCTGCTCATGGAACCCACAGAAAAAGGGCACGGGCAAGTCTCCTCCTGACAATCCCTCAGACCCTTATAATAGTTAAATTATAACCTGCAGTTTCTTCCTCCTGTCAGTATTTTCTGGTCATCTTTTACATGCGGCCCACTGTGCCAAGCATTGTATGGGCAACAGGAATGCACTTAAAGAGACTACAGGCTGGGCTGGGCGCGGTGGCTCAGACCTGTAATCCCAGCACTTTGGGAGGCCGAAGTGGATGGATCATTTGAGGTCAAGAGTTCAAGACCAGCCTGGCCAACATGATGAAACCTCGTCTCTACTAAAAATACAAAAATTAGCCGGCAGTAGTGGTGTGTGCCTGTAATCCCAGCTACTTGGGAGGCTGAGGCAGGAGAATCGCTTGAGCCTGGAGGGCAGAGGTTGCAGTGAGCCAAGATCGCACCACTGTCTCCAGCCTGGGCAACAGGGTGAGACCGTGTCTCAAAACAAAACAAGAAAAAGAGACGACAGGCCATTCAGGGAGAGCAAATCTGTTTACAATTATTACACTAGGCGACACATGATAAAGCTCATGCACTATGGACATAAAATGTGCTTGGGAATTTTAGAGCAGAGAGAATTAACCCTTGACTTGAAAGAGGAAAAAAAAAAAGAGGTGGCATTGAAGAGCCTGGAAGGTCAGGGAATATCTTGTTATTATACTGAAGTAAGGTGTATGGCATTCTAGGTTGAGGCCTGGAGGCTGAGAAAACAGTACGTCTGGAAGGAATGAGGAGGAGATCAAGTTAAGGTGATAGTTGAGGGCCTAATTGTTGAGAGGTCTGAACTCCTGGCAAAATAGTTTTATTCAGTACGTATTATTAGGTAGGTGGTTTATCTTTATTTTGCAGCTGGAGAAACTGAGGCTCAGGCGTGCTCAGGAACATCCAGCTAATGAGTGGCCTTATCTGGATTTAACCACTGTGCCTCTCTATATTAGGTTAGTTCTTCTATATCATAACATAGGGTTGTATTTCTAATCCCAAGTGCACGTGGTTGCTGGAGGTCAATTATTACGGATTGAGCATTAGATAAACTAGGAAACAAAGAACCAAAATTAAGATAAGGAATACCTAATCCTTTCTGCTTAGGGAAATCTAAGCCTACTTTTCACAGAGACAATACGCAACCTCAAATGAGCTACTGCATGGATGAGAGAAAGGTATGTCATCCTGTAGTATCTCCGAGGTAGGAGTTAGGTAACACATGGGCTGAGCATGCTTGGCTCAGTGAGAGAGCCCTTGACAGTTCAGAGAGTAGAGGGAGGGAGAGAGTGCAGGAGCCTTCTGATGGTACTACCGAAGCTAAGAAGTAATTTATATGTCCCAAGTGGATTTTTCACATTAAGTGTTGATATTCAGAATGAACTTAAAAGGCATTCTGCATAAACCAGGTGGCAAAATCAAAGTTAGATTAAGCCATCATTGATAGCAATTAAGCATTAATGTATAAGGTATTTAATTGTTCCTGGAGATTCATATTTCTTTACATCTTGCTTTATGTACATATCAAAATAGTGGCCCCTAAGTCCTCAAACTTAGCTGTTGGAATAACAAGTTCTATTACAAAAACACAGGCTAGTAATAGATAGTGGTAAATCTCTATCAGTGACTTGCCTGTGGATAACTTGGCCACTGAGACCACAAGGCTTTGCCAAAGGCACCCCATCACTTGGTGGCAGCACATCTTCATTGCAGGCAAAGTTTTCAGGAAGAAGATATGTCTGGATGTTGCATTTTATGTGGTAGTTTCCATGATATTGATATTGTCAATCCAAACCTAAACTCATACGGAGATAGAAAATGTTGAAGATGGGTAAAGATGTTTTGCAATGGGGTTTGTATACCTTGAGAGAGAGTGATGATTTTTATAGCCAGAACCCTGCTTTACTAATACACATTCAAGAGATGGGAGTCTTCAACCCTTGGAACATCTTGTCTTAAGAACTTACGATTTTTGGCCGGGCACGGTGGCTCACGCCTGTAATCCCAGCACTTTGGGAGGCCGAGACGGTGGATCACTAGAGGCTAGGAGTTCGAGACCAGCCCGGCCAACATGACAAAACCCTGTCTCTACTAAAAATACAAAAATTAGCCGGGCGTGGTGGTGTGCGCCTGTAGTCCCAGCTACTCGGGAGGCTAACAAGGCACGAGAATTGTTTGAACCTGGGAGGTGGAGGTTGCAGTGAGCCATGATTGCACCACTGCACTCCAGCCTGGGCAACAGAGTGTGACCCTGTCTCAAAAAAAAAAAAAATAAAGAAGAAATAATGGTTTTTCTATTCTTCGATCTTCCTGGGCTAGGACAGCTGTCAGTCTGAGTTTCCTGAGTTACCTAGGAGGGTAGTTGGATTGATGGATTGATGGATTGAAGATCTAGGAGTGAAATGAATTAACTTTGAGGTTTTGTTCAGCCTCAGGAGTTTATGACTGACGAGTGGTAAAGATTTCCATTAGCACTGACCTAATGCATTATTGAAAAAAAGCAAAATGCCAATTTTGAAGGTGGGATGGGTTATCACTTCTTGACTGTCACTTATGATTCATGTATTGACTCATTTTCCATATCACCAATGCCAACCATACAAAAGGTTGCATTTACTCTTGTAGGTCCTAGTTAAGTCTGAATTCCTTTTATCATGTATTGAGGGTGTTTGGTGAGATTGTCCTGTATCCAGTTGAAAATCTAGGCAATCTGTATTTTAAATCTTAATGACTTTCACTATAAAAATTCAGAATGCTCATTTGAAAAACTTCCAACCATACAGAAATGTAGGACTCTTAAAAAGTAAAAAGCCCTGAGATAAAAGTCTCCAATAATATGCTGTATCTCCCCACCCCACCCCCAAATCTGCTGTTGTTAACAGTATGGACATCTTGATTTTTTTCTTTTATATATCCATTTTAAAATATTCATTATTCTTGTATGCTCTCTGCCTCTCTATTCTCCTTTCTCCTTCACTCTCCATTTATCTATATTCTTATATATATATATATATATGTAGTTCTCTTTCCCCCTTAGCAATAAATGGAATTATGTCTTCTACAGTGTTTTTCATAAGCCTTTTTTGGCTTCTCTGTAAATCTTGGTGTCAATCAGTACCCTCTTTGTAATGGCTGTTTGGTATTCTGTTTCTTCTTTTTTTTTGGAAGTGCTACAAATTATTTCTTCAAATGGCCCCCCTCTATTTTTTTTCCTCCGAACTCCTGTTGAAAAATATATGAACTCTTTGCAAGTTTTTGCTCTGGCAGACAATAAATAACCTGCATCTTAATTCTGAGCACTTTGAAGCTTTCTGACAGTTGCCCAATTGGTATTTTAGCCTCTTAGAATGTGGAACTCTATTGTTCAGACAGAGGCGTATTGAAAGCCTTGGTACACACAACAGATGCCAGTGGGGCTCCTCAGGTGGACATCCCAGTGGGAGGTTACTGCCCCTGAATTATCTACAGGAGCTCGAAGAGGCCCCAGAGCACGATATGGAGCTTTTTAAAGCCTTGAGAAGAAGAACCCTTGCAAGTGGACTGACTGGGGAGCTTCAAGCCTGAAGTCTGACTCATTTCATGGAGAAGCTAATTAGAGAGGACCCTTCCCGCCATCCTCACGGTGCAGTGCAGAACAGCATCCCTGGTTGGTCCCCACAGTGTGTGTATCACCCCTCAGCTTGGTGCTGTGCCTTACACATACAGGGAACTGGGGTGGCTGCCCCTTAGAACAGCAGGAGTATTAAGAGTCCATGCAGTGTGTGGCCCTGTCCCTACTTCCATCTCCACCTTGTCCTACTCTGGTTAAATAGGGAGTACATTGTTTTGCCATATTTCTGTTTTATACATTTCTAGGACTGAACATTTTACAGCAAACTTGTATTGCCTTTGTATGTTCAAGAAAAATTATTTTTAGAAATTTAAGCCTGGGCAACATAGTGAGACCCAGTCTGTACAAAATATGAATTAAAAAAAACTTAAAAAATCAGCAGGCATGATGGCGCACGCCTGTAGTCCCAGCCACTTGGCAGGCTGAAGTGGGAGGGTTGCTCGAGCCCAGGAGGTCGAGGCAGGAGTGAGCTATGACGGTACCACTGCAATCCAGCCTGGGCAGCAGAGCAAGGCCCTGTCTCAAAAAATAATAATAAAAATAGGCCAGGCACGGTGGCTCATGCCTGTAATCCTAGCACTTTGGGAGGCAGAGGCAGGCAGATCACCTGAGGTCAGGGGTTCGAGACCTGCCTGGCCAACATGGTGAAATGCCATCTCTACTAAAAAAAAAAATACAAAAATTAGCCAGGTATGCCAGATCTGACCTGCAGACCCTGACCCAGTGACGGATAAAAGACTGACACGGATATTTTGCCTGTCAGCATGGCTAAGAGGCTCTGCTGCCTGACTACAGCATTGGCCTCCATAAGCCGGCAAAGTTCGCATTTATTTAGTACAGATTAAATGACAAAGGTCTCGAGTAAACACCACTAGAAGGTAATTAACATTGCCGACCTCCTGAGTAGAGAGCAGTCATACACCCACAGATGATCAAAGGTCGGTCTTAGGACCACATGAGTAAACAAGCTATTTAGATAAAACCCCCCACATTCACTTACTATTTGCTCTTTTGCTATCAACTCAAGGTAAAGAGGATTAGGCTGCCTTCAGCCATAACCCTTTCCTAAAGCTTTTGTAAAACCTTCCGGCCTTCCAAGAAAGCTTGCGTTTTTCCTATAATTTTCTCTTACAATTTCTGACATCACCCTAACCGAGCTCCTACAGGGGCATGGTAGCAGACGCCTATAATCCCAGCTACTTGAGAGGGTGAGGCAGGTGAATTGCTTGAACCCAGGAGGCAGAGGTTGCAGTGAGCTGAAATTGTACCACTGCACTTCAACCTGGGTGACAGAGCAAGACTCTGCCTCAAAAAAAAAATAATAATAATTATAATGATAATAATAATAGGCCGGGCACAGTGGCTCATGGCTATAATCCCAGCACTTTGGGAGGCAGAGGCGGGCAGATCACCTGAGTTCAGGAGTTCGAGATCAGCCTGACCAACATGGAGAAGCCCCGTCTCTACTAAATATACAAAAAATTAGCTGGGCATGGTGGCTCATGCCTATAATCCCAGCTACTCTGGAGGCTGAGGCAGGAGAATCACTTGAACCCAGGAGGTGGAGGTTGTGTTGAGCCAAGATCATGCCATTGCACTGGGCAACAAGAGCAAAGTCTCAATAATAATAAATTTCAATTAAAATTCCAAGACAGTAGCCTATCAGTAAGTGAAAAAATTGGTGTCCATCCTCATCCACCACTCCAATATTACACCTAATAGTTTGGCATTTATCTTGCCTGACCTTTCTATGCATCTACATAAGTTTATATACTTTTTTTCCTTTGCAAAGATAGGCTCACACGTATACAGCTGTGTGACTTTTTGTCCTTTTTTTTTCTTTTTTTCCCCCGCCACCCTCCCCCCCGATTTTTTGTATGTAATATGTCATAGATGTCTTTATACCTCAAATATACCTCAAAACATATAGATCTGCCTTATGCTCTTTATTAGCTATATTACTTGCTTGGTGCAACAGTGCAGTAATTTCTTTTTTTTTTTTTTTTTTTTTTTTTTTTACATTTTGGAACTTTAAGCTGTTTTCACTTTTTCTTCAAATGATCTTAGAGTTGATATAAAGATATCTTCATCCAACAGGAATGATTGACCCAATCATTTATAGTAGCTAGGCAGCATGAATAATCAAAACATACAGTTTACCTAGCATCTTCAGCTAAGCCCTTATTTTCAGCTTCTGTCTGCATCTCACCCTTTCCCGCAGCTATTTGCTTGTGACATATATTTTGGAGTCCATCTGTGGGGTTTTAATGGCTTTGTGTTCTGAGTGTTTGATTTCTTCCTGTCCTTGCGGAAGTTTCCCGAATACCGTGTTCTTTCAGTGGTCCACAGACCTTTTGAAACTACTCAGGTTGAGAACAGGAGAGCCTGAAACTTCAGATGGAAAATGTCAAATGTGATATTTTGCCAGTGAGCATCCCTGGCATTTACTCGTCATATATACAAAATAATGAGGTAGTCTGTCCCCATATTTTTAGCAAGGACCCCAACAATTCTTACAATAGAGCAGTCCAAGAGTACTACAGTGCTCTTACAAATATGGGGGCAGTGGCTATGTTTATGCAATTTTTCTTACTATGAATACGGGGACGGTGGCTGCGTTTCTGGAGTTTCTCTTACTACGAATATGGGGATGGTGGCTGTCTGTGTTTGCTCTCTGCCCAGCAGAGAGCAGTGCCGTGAGATGCGTCAATTGCTGTGTGGAAAGAACCATAGAATGCTGCTCAAAAAAGTGAAGTCCCTTTTTCAAGAAAAAGGGGTCTCAAATACAGTGACTGTAGTGTTGGGTCAGCAAGACCTGAGTGGGGTTTTTCTGGTTTGGGTTTTGCCTTTAAGATGGGATATGCAGTGATTGTTCTGAGATACTGGAAATATAAGCAGAAAAAAAAAAAAGGTATATGGAAAAGAAACATGGATGTCCCAGCAGGGAACGGTGGCTCACGCCTGTAATCCCAGCACTTTGGGAAGCCAAGGCAACCGGATCACCTGAGGCCAGGAGTTAAGACCAGCTTGCCCAACATGGTGAAACCCCATCTCTACTAAAAATACAAAAATTAGCCTGGCACGGTGGCATGTGCCTGTAGTCTTAGCTACTCGGGAGGCTGAGGCAGGAGAATCGCTTGAACCCGGGAGGCGGAGGCTGCAGTGAGCTGAGATCACATCACCGCATTCCAGCCTGGGCAACAGAGCAAGAGTTCATCTAAAAAAAAAAAAAAACAAAAAAACATGAATGTCCCATGAACCCCAGAGGACTTGGATGAAGGAAGCCTAGTCCGTGTACTTGCTGCTTTTCCCCTTCCTCTAGTGGAACCAGGACAATATATATTTTTTCCTTTTCTAAAAAAATTTTTGTGGGTACTTAGTAAGTGTATATATTTACAAGGTACATGAGATGTTTTGATTCAGGCAGGCAGTGTATAATAATTACATCCTAGAGAATGGTGTATCCATCCCCTCAAGCATTTATCCTGTGTGCTACAAACAATTCAGTTATATTCTTTCAGTTATTTTTAAATGTACAATTAAATTATTGACTAGAGTCACTGTGTTGTGCTATCAAATACTAGGTCTTATTCATTCTTTCTATTTTTATTTTGTACGCAGTAACCATTCCCACTCCCCACCATGCCCCACCATTACCCTTCCCAGCCTCTGGTAACTATCCTTCTACTCTCTGTCTCCATGGGTTCAATTGTTTTTGTTTTTAGCTCCCACAAATAAGTGAGAACATGCAAAGTTTGCCTTCCTGTGCCTGGCTTAATTCACTTAACATAATGCCCTCCAGTTTCACCCATGTTGTTGCAAATGACAGAATCTCCTTTTTTATGGCTGCATAGTACTCCATTGTGTATATGTACCACATTTTCTTTATCCGTTTGTCTGTTGACGGACACTTAGATTGCTTCCAAATCTTGGCTATTGTGAACAGTGCTAAAACAAACAGGAGTGCAGATATCTCTTCGATATACTGATTTCCTTTCTTTTGGGGGTAAATCCAGTGGTGGGATTGCTGGATCCTATGGTAGCTCTATTTTTAGCTTTTTCAGAAACCTCCGAATTGTTCTCCGTAGTAGTTGTACTAATTTAACATTTGCACCAGCAGTGTGTGAGGGTTCCCCTTTTCTCCACATTCTCACCAGCATTTGTCGTTGCCTGTCTTTTGGATAAAAGCCATTTTAACTGGGGTTCGATGATATCTCATTATAGTTTTCATTTGCATTTCTCTGATCAATGATGTTGAGCACCTTTTCATATGCTTGTTTGCCATTTGTATTTTTTTTTTTGAGAAACATCTATTGAAATCTTTTGCCCATTTTTAAAATCTGATTATTAGATTTTTTTTCCTATAGAGTTGTTTGAGCTCCTTATGTTCTGGTTATTAATCCTTTATCAGATGGGTAGTTTGCAAATATTTTCTCCCATTCTGTGGGTTCTCGTTTCACTTTGTTGATTGTTTCCTTTGCTGTGCGGAGCTTTTTAAGTTGATGTGATCCCATTTGTCCATTTTTGCTTTGGTTGCCTGTGCTTGTGGGGTATTACTCAAAGAGGGGACAATATTCTTTACTACTGGGAATCTGAGTTCTCCTTTTTCTGTAGGTCTTTAAAAAAAAATCCGTTATATCTTAAATGAGCTTCCATAGCTCTTAATAGCTACAAAACAAAGTGTTACATGAAGTTGACATGATTATTCTGAACTTTAAACTATAAGGATAAACTGCTGTCACATGGGGTAGGATTTGATTTCTAATTACTTAAGATAAGATTGAGAAGTCTCCAGACAATATTTTCTATATGGGGCAAGTCTTCTGAGGATAGAACTAAAAATCTGCTTTGGAACCCTGCATGCCCCAACCTTTAAATAACTGTTTATTTTAGCTCCGTCCTTTAGAGTGGAAACTGGGCGGGGTGGGTGAGAGGAGCCAAGTTCTGGGGACAAAGCTGCTCTCTTTTTAATGAGGCATAATAATAGGCACATTCTCTGGGCCAGTCAGTAACAAACACATAAATAGAAAAAAATGGTCTTTCAAGTTGCTCTGAGCAGAATTTGCATTCCCACTGAGAACCTTGTTTCATGATATACTTACTTCACTGTGGGACTGCCGGAGGACTAAGGAAATGAACTGCTTAAAGATAGGGCCTAGGAGATCCTGTGGGTTCCATAAGTAGGGCCATGTTTTTCTTTCTTTCTTTCTTTCTTTCTTTCTTTCTTTCTTTCTTTCTTTCTTTCTTTCTTTCTTCCTTTCTTCCTTTCTTCCTTTCTTCCTTTCTTCCTTTCTTCCTTTCTTTCTTTCTTTCTTTTTTTTTGAGACAGAGCATTGCTCTGTTGCCCAGGCTCGGCTCACTGCAACCTCTGACCGACGGGTTCAAGTGATTCTCCTGCCTCAGCCTCCCGAGTAGCTGGAATTACAGGCATGTGCCACCATGCCCAGCTAATTTTTGTATTTTTAGTACAGACAGGGTTTCACCATATTGGCCAGGCTGGTCTCAAACTCCTGACCTCAAGTGATCGACCCACTGGCCTCCCAAAGTGCTGAGATTACAGGCGTGAGCTACCGTACCTGGTTGGGCCATGTCTTACTAGTGGTCACAAGATAGAAGACCCTGCAGGCTCTGACCCTTTCTGGAAGGTTTCTCTATCAGAACGGACATCAGGTGGCTTTTCCTCAAGCCCCATATTTAATGTCTCTCCCCAAAACAATTGAGATAAGTGGATTCATAGACCAAAATACGTAACAGGCTTAGAAAATAAGTGTTGGCCCAATGCGGTGGCTCACGCCTGTAATCCCAGAACTTTAGGAGGCCGAGTCAGGCAGATCGCTTGAGCTCAGGAGTTTGGGACCAGCTTGGGCAACACGGTGAAACCCCATCTCTACAAAAAATACAAAAATTAGCCAGGGATGATGGTGCACTCCTGTAGTCCCAGTTACTGGGGAGGCTGAGGTAGGAGGATGGCTGGAGCCCAGGAGGCAGAGGCTGCAGTGAGTCGAGATCACACCGTTGCACTTCAGCCTGTGCGACAGAGCAAGACCCTGTCTGGAAAAAAAAAAAAAAAAACCAGAAAAAAAAATAGTTGTTAATTAGTATGATTATGTTGGTCTCATTGCCACAGTTTATGTTGTCAACGCTTTCTCTCACTTTTTTTTCATCTGTTTGTCTACCTGCCCATGACAGTACCCTGTTCACAGTTGGGGCTTAATAAATGTGGAAGGGGTTTGAGTTTGGGGTTCAGGAGACAGCCAGGCAAAGAAGCTTCCAGAGCAGAGCTAACTTGACTCAGAAAGCTTTACAAGGAGTGTCTTTCTGTGACATGTTTTTTTTCCCTCTCCTTTGAAGAAGGAAGAGATGGCAAAACTCCACCATCCATCTTCAGACACATACTCTTCTCATTAAACATAGGCCTTTCTTCCCAGGAAAGTGAGCATTTGCTGTTGCATTTGCCCCTCTGGTGTGCTGGCCGGTGTTCCTGTTTTAATTCAGGATGCTGTTCACCCCTACAGTGTTCTCTTTGCATCACTGGAAGTCGTTTTGGAGTGGAAGTCCATTTGGACCATGAAAACATTTGATCTTGTCGGGTAGTTTAAAATTTCATTTGTCAGGTCAGTGTTTTGATTGTTTTGACCTTGAGGCTTTTTCTCACGGTCAATACCTTGGCAGTTTTAGAAAGAACTTTCACTCCCTCTCCGTCTTCCCCTCCACCTCCCATCCTTCCTGCTCTCCCTCATCCCTTCCACCCCGTCTCCTGTTGTGCACACACATTCTCTCTCCACTCCTTTTCTTCCTCTCTTACTCCCTTTGAAGTCTTCTTGTTTTACAGATTTTTTCATAGCTCTTTAAATATCTTCATTTCCCAAACGATTCTATGGAGCTGATGTTAATCAGAAGCCTTTAAGCTGAGTGTGTGTGTGTGTGTGTGTGTGTGTGTGCTGTGTTCCTTCAGACATTTTGATGGCTATTTAACAAAAATGGTGTGCACTAGAATAGATTCAAACTGACCTGGGTTTGAGCTGCAGCTCTACTACCAACACTGGAACTTCATACACAGGACACTGTTGCAGGATGAATTGCTTCTCTTTCCTTCCCTTATTTCTCGTCTGTGAAGTACACGTGTTGACAGCACCTTCCTCGCACTGGTAGACATGAGAATTCAATGAACCAATCCAAGTTGAGCTTTAGCCCAGGCAACTGTCATTTCTAGACTTTTTACAAAAATTTGCGACCTGCTTTTTTCACTTAATAATCTAAAGACAATTTAACAGAGGTTCTCTGAGCTGAAGCAGTGCCCTGTCAAGCAAATATTCCTCCAGCTCCATCATGGTTTGCAGAAACCTTCTGCTAGGACCTGCCCTCGGCATGGCCTGGCTTCTACCTAACTCTCAGGACTGGCCTTCAGGCCACGTGAAGAAGAAAGCCAACTAAATTTCCCAGAGTTCTAATATACTGACTTTTATCTTCTGTCTTGCAGCTGATGCTTTTTTCAAAGCCGCTATAAGCCTTGTTCCGGAAGTTCCAAAGATGATTAATATTGATGGGAAGATGCGGCCATCGGAATCGTTCCTTCTGGAATTCCTCTGCAATTTCTTTTCTACTTTATTAATAGTTCCGGTACGTTTCCTCAGCAGAACCGCAGGACATGTCTTCCTTTCACCTGCCTTATAATATTATATGTGTTCTTAGGCCTAAAACTGCAGGAACATTCTATCTAGTATCTTTGTGTTGGTTTTCCAGTTAGGTATTTGAATTGCTTAATGAATTTTCTATTCTTGCTGGGTGGGGATCATACTATAATAGTAGAGGTGAGGTACTATGTCAGCTCAGGCTGCTATTACAAAGTGCCATAGACTGGGGTCTTAAACAACATTTATTTCTCAGAGTTCTTAAAGCTGGAAGTCTGAGATCAGGGTGCCAGTCTGGTTGAGTTCTAGTGAGGACCCACTTCCAGGTTGCAGACAACCATCTTCTCTCTCTTTCTGTCTCTCTTTTTTTTTTTTTTGAGATGGAGTTTCACTACTGTTGCCCAGGCTGTAGTGCAATGGCATGATCTTAGCTCACTTCAACCTCCACCCCCCAGGTTCAAGTGATTCTCCTGCCTCAGCCTCCTGAGTAGCTAGGATTACAGGCGCCCGCCACCACACCTGGCTAATTTTTGTATTTTTAGTAGAGATGGAGTTTCACCATGTTGTTCAGGCTGGTCTTGAACTCCTGACCTCAGGTGATCCACCTGCCTTGGCCTCCCAGAGTGCTGGGATTACAGGTGTGAGCCACCATGCCAGGCCTTTTTGTGTGTTTGTTTAGGAGTCTTGCTCTGTCACCCAGGCTGGAGTGCAGTGGTGCAGTTATAGCTCACTGTAGCCTTGAACTCCTAGGCTCAAGTGATTCTCCCGCCTCAGCCTCCTGAGCAGCTGGGACTGCAGGCCCATCTTCCCGTTATGTCCTCATGTGACAGAAAGAAAAAGCAAGGGCAAGCTCTCCGGCCTTTTGAGCAATTGGTCCTCTGGGACCTAATTACTACCCAAGGGCCCCACCTCCAAATCCCATCACATTGGGATTAGGGTCTCCGTGTATGAATTTGCAGGGGGATACAAATATTTAGTCCACTGCACTCTCTATACTGCCAAGGCAGAGGTGTCGCCCAGTGGGGAAGGGCACAGGCCTCGGAACCAAGATGTCCAGCATGGAATCCTGGCCCATCCTTCTTCCAGCTCTGCGTTCTTGGGCAATAATATAACATCCCTGGGCTGCAGTTTCCTTGTCTATAAAATGAGGATAAGAACTGTCACTTCTGGGTTGCCATGAATATTAAGTTAGTGAGTACTCACAATGTCAGAACCATGCCTCTGCACATAGTAAACTTTCTAGAAAGCACTAAGAAGGTGGCGACAAAGTTCTTTTGATGGCAAATAACAGAAACTAAACATAGCAGAAATTAAGAGGGGCATTGTTGGAAGGATGCTGGGTTTTTCCTGGGATGGAAGAGATGTACAGCCAGGCTTGAGTTGGAAAGAATGAGGCCACTCCCGGGACCCAGCAGGAGGAATTCCTGGACCCTCCCTAGCAAGGGTCCTTATAACTTGGAGTCCATCTACTCCCTGGGGGTCTGGCAGAGTGACATGAATTTGGATGAGGAAAATGACAGCTTTATTTTAACAAACCTCTGAGTGAAATTTACCTTTCACTCGATGAATTACAGGCAAAAAGCCACAGTAGTAGTAGCAGTAGCTGGGACTTTGTCACCAAAAGAAATCAACAGATATGTTCACATCACATTTCAGATGTGAAAGATATTTCAGAAGATTGTGTATGTTCTTCTTCCTTTCAAAGCACAGCAGTTATTAAGCCCATTGCTAGAGCTGTTAATGCATTCACAAAGAAGCAACAGATTACAGTATCACAGAAGCATTGAAAAAATATTTTGCCAGCTGTATTTTAGTGTAATTGGTTTGCTTTTTAGTCTTATGTGTTTTATTTGCTGCATTAAAAATAATATTCCAAGGACTGGGCACCGTGGCTCATGCCTGTATCCCAGCACTTTGGGAGGCGGAGGTGGACAGATCACCTGAGGTCAGGAGTTTGAGACCAGCCTGGCCAACATGGCACAACCCCGTATCTACTAAAAGTACAAAAATTAGCTGGGCATGGTGGTGGGCACCTGCAATCCCAGCTACTTGGGAGGCTGAGGCAGGAGAATCGCTTGAACCCAGGAGGCGGAGGTTGCAGTGAGCCGAGATTGCACCACCGCACTCCAGCCTGGACAACAGAGCAAGACTCCATCTCAAAAAAAAAAAAAAATGTATTCCAAGGGCCAGGCATGATGGCTCACTCCAGTAATCCCAACACTTTGGGAGGCTGAAGCAGGTGGGTCACCTGAGGTCAGGTGTTCGAGACCAGCCTGGCCAACATGGTAAAACCCCGTCTCTACTAAAAATACAAAAATTAGCCAGGAGTGGTGGCAGGCACCTGTAATCTCAGCTACCAGGGAGGCTGCGGCAGGAGAATCGCTTGAACCTGGGAGGTAGCGGTTGTAGTGAGCCAAGATTGTGCCACTGTACTCCAGCCTGGGCAACAGAGCAAGACTCCATCTCAAAAAAAATAAAAATAGTATTCCATGGAGTGTATAGGCTTCACCTGGCTGCCGCAGGGTGCATGGCACAGAACAGATTAAGCACCGCTGGTAGAGCTTAATGTGCATGGGAATCTCAGACTCTTGTTAAAATGCAGATTCCTGGGGCCCCTCCCAGAGTCTCACTCAGTAGGTTGAAATAGGCTCACAAATCAGCATTTTTAAAATCATCTAATTGTTTTATTTTGAGAAGGGGTCTTGCTGTATGCCTAGGCTGAGCTCCTGGGCTAAAGTGATCCTCCTGCCTCAGCCTCCCAAGTAGCTGGGCCAACAGGCATGTGCCAGCCACCACGCCTGGCTAATTTTTTTTTAATGTTTTATAGAGGTACATTCTCACTACATTTCCCAGGCTGGTCTTGAACTCCTGGCCTCAAGCAATCCTCCTCCCTCACCCTCCCCAGTACCTGGGATTACAGGTGGGATCAACCATGTTTGGCAAATGGGCATTTTTAAAAGCCCCCTTCAGTGATTCAGGGGTAAGTGGTCCTAGGACCATATTTGAGAAACATCACCCTGAACTTGAGCCATAAAAGTGCCTGAGCTCCAGTGGATCCAGGTTCCTTTTTGGGGTGATGATATGTTCCAAAATTGACTGTATTGATGATCGCACAACTCTGTGAATATCCTGACAATCACTGAATTGTACATTTTAGCAGGTATACTGTTTGGCATGTGAATTATATCTCAGTAAAGCTGAGAAAACAGAAAGTGACTCAGCTTCTGACTCTCCCTGTTCAGATTCCAAGTCTTCAGACAGAGGGGAGCGAGGTCAGGAGGCCAGGCTCAAGGACTGCAGACATGGCTTCAGGATGGGGGCCTCTTGTTGTCCTGCAGGGAGGATAGGCGGCACCCCAAGATGGGGCAGCGTGCACTGGCATTTTCTAGAGCCCCTTCACTTGACACTTGATGTCACTGTTTTCAGATCTCCATATTAGTACTCTGTAAGTTTCTCTCTTTGGGTAAGCTAGTTATTTATCAAGTGAGAAGGCAAAAGAAAAAAAATCAGGGTTTTGAATTAAGCAGTTGGTAAAAGTGAGAAGGCAAAAGAAAAAAATCAGGGTTTTGAATTAAGCAGTTGGTAAAAGTCATTGTTTATTGATTAATCGGGATGCATTCAGCATCTGCAGGTTAAAAATCACTGGAGCCTTTTTGAAAAGCCTTCTCAGATTCAGAAGCTTCTGTTCAGTCCTGACCTGAAGAGTTCATAGCGCTGAGACTTTGGGAAAGTTTTATAACTCCTCAGAGCTTCAGTTGTCACCTTTCTGAGGTGTCATCACAGTGCCCACCTCAAATGACTCCTGTGAGGGTTAAATGAAATGATAGCTGGGAAAGTGCTTTGTAAACCTGAAACTCTGTCCCTGGGATTACAGATTGATGTCTGGAGGGCAGATCCAGCCGGTAGACATGTAGACACTTGCTGGCTATGTCCTGATGGAGAACATTTGGAATGAGTTTCCTACATTTAAAAATTGGTAGATCACAGAAAATCCCAGATTTGCATCTCCCCTTGAAAAATCAGGTCCTATCACGTGGGGCCCGCATCCTGCGACCTGGCCAGTTGGCTGCAGCTGGGTACCAGCTGCCCTGTGCAGGCAGCGTATGCCTTTCTCTCCAGTTTTCCTGGGTACCTCTGGACCCATTAACCCCATTTCTGTTGTCCACTTGGCCCCTTAGGCATTTGTGGAAAGAGCTCCTGCTCTCAACAGATTCATTATTCCTTGAACAGATTTGAGTTATTTATTCCTTGAACAGATTTATTATTCCTTGAACAGATTTGCGTTATTATTCCTTGAACAGATTTGAGTTATTTTTCCTTGTAGCATTGCATGTGTTTTAGCTGGGGTTTAGTAATGATATGAGACAAAGAATAGCTGCAGTTCACAACACCTCACTAGGTGCCCCATGCCTTGCTAACGCCACTCATTAATACTCACTTCCTGGGAGTCCTCCACCCAAGCCCCCCAAGGTAGGAATCATTGCACCTTTTTCACTCATGAAACCTGAGCCAGAGGGCCCTTGCAATGTGCCTGAGGTCACAAAGCTTATAAGTAGCAGAGCTGGGATTTGAACCGAGGGCTACGCTATTCCAGAGCCTGTCCTGCATGACTGAAGCCGGAAACGTTTGCAGTGTGCCTTATTTGCTCAAGTTCATTGAGCACTAGCAACCCTGTATCCCTCCTTGTGGGACGCGGCATTAGTAACTACTCACAGATGCTACAGGATGTTTATCCTGAATAGCCAGGGCTAAGAGCTGAATAAACTCTCAGGTGATGGGATGCGCCACACCTGAGCCATGCCCATTATGAGTAGATCTAGCATTAACAAGACTCCCACATCTCACTTCTACCTGGTTCAGTTTTTTTCTTTTTCTTTTTTTTTTTTTTTTTTTTTTTTTGGAGAATCTTCCTCTGTCACCCAGGCTAGATGGAATGCAGTGCGCGATCTCGGCTCACTGCAACCTCTGCCTCCTGGGTTAAAGCAATTCTCGTGCCTCAGTCTCCCAAGTAGCTGAGACTACAGGCGCCCACCACCACACCTGGCTAATTTTTTTTTTGTCTTTTAGTAGAGACAGGATTTCATCATGTTGGCCAGGCTGGTCTCGAACTCCTGAGCTCAAGTGATCTGCCTGCCTTGGCCTCCCAAAGTGCTGGGATTTGTGCTGGGATTACAGACATGAGCCTCTGCGTGCAGCCTACTCAGTTCAAATTATTTGTTACCTTTCAGGTCACAGCTTTTATTTTAGTTTTATTGTATTGGGGCGAGAACACTTAAGGTGAGATCTACCCTCTTAACCGGTTTTTACGTGTACAATACATTACTATTGACATAGAAACTGTGCTGTGTAGCAGATCTCTAGAGCTTATTCATAACTGAAACTGTCCATTGGTTAGTAATTCTTCATTCCCCTACCCCCACCCCCTGCAACCACCATTCTACTCTCTGATTCTATGAATCTATTTTAGATACTTTCTTTATATGTGGACTCATGCAATATTTGTCTTCCTGCAACTGGCTTATTTCACATAGTTTAATGCTTTCGAGGGTCATCCATGTTGTTACATATGGCAGAATTTCCTTCTTTTTTAAGGCTGAATAATATTCCATTGTGCATGTGTATAATGTTTTCTTTTCTTTTCTTTCTTTTTTTTTTTTTGAGACAGGATCTCACTCTGTTATCCCGGCTGGAGTGCAGTGGCATAATCACACTAGCGGCATCAACCTTGACCTCCTGGGCTCAAATATTGTCCCAACTCAGCCTCTTTGAATAGTTGGGACCACATGGGCAAGCCACCAGGCCCATCTAATTTTTGAGTTTTGTGGCGACAAGGTCTCACTATTTTTCCCAGGCTGGTCTTGAACGCCAAGGCTCAAGTGCTCCTCCAGCCTTGACTTCCCAAAGTGCTGGTGTTACAGGTGTGAGTCACTGCACCCAGTCTTTTTTTTTTTTTTTTGAGTCTTGCTCTGTTGCCCATTCTGGAGTGCAGTAGTACAATCATAGCTCACTGCAGCGTGAGCCACTGCACCCAGCTACCTCATTTTTTGTTAGCAATTTATCTGTCAATGGACATATAGATTGTTTCCACATCTGAGCTCTTGTGAATAATGCTGCAATGAGCATGGGAGTGTAGGTATCTCCTCAAGATCCTGATTTCAATTTGTTTGGATATGTACCCAGAAGTAGCATTGCTGGGTCATGTGGTAGCTCTATTTTTAATTTTTTTAGGAAACTCCATACTGTTTTTGTTTTGTTTTGTTTTGTTTTTGAGACAGGTCACCCAGGCTGGAGTGCAGTATTGCAGTCTCGGCTCACTGTAACCTCTGCCTCTCCAGTTCAAGTGATTTTCCTGCCTCAGCCTCCCGAGTAGCTGGAATTACAGGCGTGTGCCACCATGCCCAGCTAATTTTTGTTTTTTTAGTAGAGACAATGTTTCACCATGTTGGCCAGGCTGGTCTCAAACTCCTGACCTCAGGTGCTCAGCCCCCCTCCGCCTCCCAAAGTGCTGAGATTACAGGCATGAGCCACTGCACCCGGTCCCCATACTGTTTTTCATGGGGACTGCACTGTTTTGCTTTCCTACCCACAGTATGAAAGATTTTCTTAAAGGATGGGTTTGAAAGTTTGATTCATTTTATTTGTTTAGAAAAGATAGGAACTACCAGGCACGGCTGCTCATACCTGTAATCCCAGCACTTTAGGAGGCCATGGTGGGTGGATCACCTGAAGTCAGGAGTTCGAGACCAGCCTGGCAAATGTAGCAAAACCCCATTTCTACTAAAAATACAAAAGTCAGCTGTGCATGGTGGCATGCGCCCATAACCCCAGCTGCTCAGGAGGCTGAGGCAGGAGAATCATTTGAACCCAGGAGATGGAGGTTGTAGTGAGCCAAGATTATGCCATTGCACTCCAGCCTGGGTGACAAGAGCAAAACTCCGACTCAAAAAACACACACACAAAAAGAAAGGATAGAAACCATTTGATACCAGATCAAGTCCCTGGTCCAATTTATTGATTCTTACAAATGTGGGAGTAAACAGTCCCCAGGGTGGCCCTCTCTCCCCTGCAGACAGAGAACTTTTTGGAGCATGTTGAAATGTTCTGCTTTAGCATCAGTAGTCGTCAGCCTAGTCAGGGACTAGTTTGTGGAATAATCTTCCCTATATAATCAAACTGGCTCATTTCATGTAACAATGTGGTAAGACAAAGTAGACTTGACTGAACAAGTTCAGTGTCACAGTTTTGAGGCCTAGTTTTGATACAGTTGCAATTTGCAAGAAATGGAAATGCTACTACCATCAGTTTTGTAGCACTAACGATCTCGGATCCAGCAGGGAGATGTCTTTTCTCCTACTTATCCTGGAGAAAAAGGTCCAGCCATAAACACAGCAAGTTGTCCAGGTCTATGTTTCATCATTCCGTCTATTCCACAAACATTTGTCGATCCAGGAATTAAGGAGTGAGCAAGAGAAGCATACCCCAACTCAGGAGGACAGACTTCATGTTAAACAAATAAGTACACATTTAACTACAATTGCACAAAGCGCCATAAAGAACTACAGAAGCCAACTACAGTTGGCACTGGTCCACCAAGAGGCTGATGACTACTGATTAGTGCTGGAAAACTGATGGTATTAGTAATAACACTTCCAGCTTCTCAGGAGGCTGAGGCGGAAGGATTGCTTGAGGCCAGGAGTTCGAGACCAGCCTGGGCAACATAGCAAGACCTCATCTCAAAAGAAAAAGTTTTCTTTTTTTCTTTTTTTTTTTTTTGAGATGGAGTCATGCTCTGTCACCCAGGCTAGAATGCAGCGGTGTGATCTCGGTTCACTGTAACCTCCGCCTGCTAGGTTCAAGCGATTCTCTTGCCTCCGCCTCCCGAGCAGCTGGGATTATAGGCACCTGCCACCGTGCCTGGCTAATTTTATTTATTTATTTATTTATTTGTATTTTTAGTAGAGATGGGGTTTCACCATCTTGGCCAGGCTGATCTTGAACTCCTGACCTCGTGATCCACCTGCCTCGGCCTCCCAGAGTGCTGGAATTACAGGCGTGAGCCATGCGTCCAGCAAGAAAAAGTTTTTTAATGAACCATAGAGACCTCTCAGAGCTCCAGATTTGGGGGATGGGGTCAGATAATCAGGAGAGTTCCCGAAGAAAGTGCCATTTGAGCTGTGATCTGAAGGAACACTAGTAAGTAGTCAGCTAGGCACAGATGGGGAGAGGAGAGGGCATTCTGGGCCGAGGACACAGCGTGGGTGAAATCCTGGAGGTGGGAAGCGGCACTGTGCTCCAGAGGGACTGGAGGAGAGCCAGAGTGACTGGCACATCAGGAGGGCACAGGGGATGCCCGAGCTGCTGGTGAGACAGACAGGACTGAGAGAAACAGCAAGCTGGTCTCTGACAGCTTCCCGTCAAGTGGTGATCTGTCTCCCTTCGTCCTCCCCTGCCCTCCCACTATCTCTGTTTTCCCCAGTGCCCTTTCTTTCCTTTCCCTGTTCTTCCTTTTGGAAGAACATACGAGCTCACCTGTGTTCTGGTTCCTTTTCTAAAGGGCTTTATGATTACTTAACCAACCTCATAACCATGGACCAGCCAACATTTCACAAATACTCACTCAAAACAAGCCTGTTATTATCACCCTCGTTTCACAGAAGTGGAAACTGGGGTGCAGAAAGATGAAGGGTCAGCAGCTGGTCAGTGACGAGCCAGGGTCCAAGGCCAGGATGTCTGCCCAGCCGCCATGCTCACTGCCTTTCATCTTGGTTCTCCTAGGAAGAGTTAGTTACTTCTAGGGTATTATTAGATTGGTGCAAAAGTAATTGTGGGTTTTGCCATTGAAAATAATTACTTCTACACCAACCTAATACTTTTTTCCCAAGGGGTTTAGTAGAAGGATTCCTGCAGACCAGAAACCCAGAGGGATATTGCTGATGTGGTAGGTGTTGGGCCAGCAGGGAGAGAGGTCTGAGCCCCTGCCAGGTGCTACCTGGGAGCCACTTTGTCAGCATTTGTTTGTTCTACTTGGGAGGTAGCCCTGCCAGGGACACCTGGGGACACCTTTTCCCACTGGAAGCGCCATCTGAATCCAGAACCGTTTTCTTTGTCTTAAGAAAAAAAAAAAATCTTTGTCTGCCTTACTTCAGCTGTTGGCACTGAACCATCTGTACATTTTTTTTTTTTTTTGAGAGGAGTCTCGCTCTGTTGCCCAGGCTGGAGCGCAGTGGCACGATCTCGGCTCACTGCAACCTCTGCCTCCCAGGTTCAAGCAGTTCTCCTGCCTCAGCCTCCCAAGTATCTGGGACTACAGGCACGTGCCACCATGCCCAGCTAATTTTTGTATTTTTAGTATAGATGGGGTTTCACCATGTTGGCCAGGCTGGTTTCAAACTCCTGACCTCAAGCAGTCCACCTGCCTCGGCCTCCCAAGGTGCTGAGATTACAGGCTTGAGCCACCACACCCAGCCCATCAGTACAATTAAAAAAAAAAAAGTTACAACCACTGAAGCATGGATGTCACATGGGAAACTTTGTCCATGTACAGAAGGTTGGAAATAGTCTCCCAGCTCTTCGGTTGTGAGCAAAAGCTCACGGAAATGGCTCACTACAAACCTTTACGTCTCCACTGGCCCTTGTACCACCTTTTTGACAGTGTGTTGCATGGTCTGTCACAAGACTTATGCATTTGTGTTGAAATGAAGTTGCTGGAACATTCAGATTGTTGTCTATTCCCAAGGCAGATCCTTAAATAAAATATATTTTTGGACAGCCACATAGCAGAACCGAATAGCCTAGTTAAAAACAGCTGTTAGCAAAAGAAGGCTGGGGGGGCGGGGGTGGGGAGGCGGGGGGGCGGGGAGGTTCCCAGCTGAAACCAGCTCTGAGTGGAAAGCAGATCATGGCATGGGCAATTTTGATGTGTGTAGTTTGTGGATGTCAGACTTTTGAGCATCTTGTATTCTCATTCTTGCCAGTATCATAAGAGCAATTCTTTTTTTCTTTTTGTAAGATGGTCTCACTCTGTCACCCAGGCTGGAGTGCAGTGGTGCCATCATAGCTTTCTGTAGCTGAGACCACAGGTGCACACCACCACACGTGGCTAATTTTTTTTTTTTTTTGTAGAAACAATATTTGTTATGTTGCCCAGGTTAAGAACAATTATTTATTTATTTATTTATTTATTTATTTATTTATTTATTTATTTATTTTTTTGGAGACAGAGTCTCGCACTGTCACCCGGGCTGCAGTGCAGTAGTGTGATCTCTGCTCGCTCATCCTCCACCTCCTGGGTTCAAGCAATTCTCCTGCCTCAGCCTCCTGAGTAGCTGGGATTACAGGCGCACACCACCACACCCGGCTAATTTTTGCATTTTTAGTAGAAACGGGGTTTCGCCATGTTGGCCAGGCTGGTCTCAAACTCCTGACCTCAAGGGATCCGCCCATCTCGGCCTTCTGAAGTGCTGGGATTACAGGCGTGAGCCACCGCTATCTAGCCCAGGCTAAGAGCAATTCTTACAGATATTAACAGCTTGTACAAAACATCCCACGCCCCTCCACAATTGTCCTCACCCACTTGAAAGTATGACTGCAATATGTACACACATTCACGTTGGATATAATGGCAATGCTGCTCATACTCCACACTTGTATTCTAAGTAGCTGACTGCATGTATGCCTCCCCCTGTTCACAAGTTCTATAAAGTCAGAGACGCTTGGTTTATCTGCAGAGAGGCAGTGCGAATCTGGTACCAGTAGTTAGAAATGTCCACTCTGGAGCCAAACTCCTGGGGCTTGAACCTTGGGTCCCCCATGTACCAACTGTGTGACCTTGGGCCACTTACCCTCTCAGTGGCTCATTTCCCATCTGCGAAATGGGGCTTCGTCGTAGTATCACCCTGGAACATAGAAAAGCTATGGTAGCTGCTATTAATATTAGCTGTTGTTGTTTTCATAGCCACTTCAGTACCTGACACATAGAAGGTACCCAAAAACTACAATCCATTCAACATTATTCACCCAATGCATGTCAGTGCCCAGCACTGTCCCAGGAGCCAGAGACAGGGCGGGATTGAATGTCATCAGGGACACCATCCACATTGAGTTCCTGGAGGCGCCATTAACAGAATACAGTGTGCAGCCAGCAGACCTGGCGGTGTATTGGCAAATGCAATAGATGAAGTGCCTGTCCTCCTGGAGGTTATAGGCTAGCATGAAACAGAGAGAACCAGGAAAACCACGAGATATTGTTGGGCAGGTCATTGAAGGAATACCTAAGATCATTTCAGATAGTGAGAAGTGCTCTGTAAAAAACAACACAGAGGCTGGGCGCGGTGGCTCATGCCTTTAATCCCAGCAGTTCAGGAGGCCAAGGCAGGTGGATCGCTTGAGCCCAGGACCTTGAGACCAGCCTGGGCAACATGGCAAGACCTCATCTCTACAAAAAATAGAAATTCGCCAAGCGTGGTGGTATGTACCTGTAGTCCCAGCACCTCAGGAGGCTGAGGTGGAAGATCGCTTGAGCTCAGAGTCAAGGCTCCAGCGAGCTGTGATTGTGCCACTGTACTGTAGCCAGAGTGACAGAGTGAGACCCTGTCTCAGAACCCGCCCCCCCCCTAAAAAAACAGGATGATTTGTGATGAAGAGAGAGTAAGAGGACTGCAGATGGAATGTCAGGGAAGGCCTCATTAAAGAGCTAATGTGTAAGATGAGAACTGCAGGCTACCAAGGAGCCGTCTGGCCAAGCCCTGGGGCACAGACTCTAGTCAGAGAGAACGTGCCTGGCTGGAGGCCAGCACCTGGACGTGTGTGCCAGCCCCTGGTGCCACTCTGTGCCCTTTGTCCTACTGTGTGTGGGGGAGACTGGCCTCTGGGGACTGCCTCACCTATCCTTCCTCTAGCTCCCAATTTGTTCAGCCAGTAGGAGGCAGCAGCATATGCAGGGCAGGAGGAAAGCGAGGCTGGGGTATTTCTCCCCCATTCCTCCTGGGCCATGTTTTGGCGATGGCTTTGTTCCTGCAAGCAAGACTACATCTTGGGCTAGATGGCCTCTTGCCGCTGCAGGTTCCAATCATGCTGTTCCCCCTGCCGCTGCGGGTTCCAATCGTGCTGTTCTCCCCACCTTAATGTGGCTGGGGTAAGGGAAGGGGACCCGCATGGGGTGGGCTAGCAAGGCCATGGAAGGGGCTGGCCGTGCAGAGCTTCTGCACAGAGTGAGAAGTCTGGAGAGCTTTCAGCAGGGCATCCCCAGACTCACATACACCTTTTTGGAATGGAATTGAAGCTGCTTACTTTTTTACACCCCAAAACTTTTTATAGATTCAGTTTAGCATCTGAGAAACACTGTTTGCTATAAACTCTGTGACTGTCTCTCAGGTTTTGCCTCTCCCAAGAGAGCGTCCTCCATTTGGCTGTTACCGTTGTTGAGCATCCCAAAGAGTGAGGCTCTATTTAAAGTCACTGCCTCGAGTGGTGGCAGGGATCATCCGGGGGCTCACCCAGCGTAGGTGGCTTCTACCGTTCCATCTGCTACGATACCCGCGATCCTGCTTTTGTGGTTGGAACAGGGCTTCCTTTTTTTTTAACTCCCACCACCCACAGAAAAATAAGAGTGTAATTTTGGAAACAGGCCATTAAGCTGACAGGTAACTTTGCCTTCTCCTTTTTGGGATCCAAAAAGGGATTCTCAAAGCTCGTTTGCCCAGACAGGAGCGTGTTGATTCGTGGGAATCACGTTTTGTCATTTTCCTCTGTATTGTTTAACCAGGCTTGTGAGTGGGTCTTGCCTTTGTTCAGTAACTGACAACGTTAATTTCTCTACAGCTGCTGCGGGAGGATCTGGGCTTCTGTGTTGATTTTCTTTTTCCCTCCCTGCTTCATCTTTGGGATTATTTATCCTTTTTTCGGTTCTCTGCTAGGATCATCCTGAACATGGGGTCCTGTTTCTTGTTCGAGAGCTTCTCAACGTGATCCAGGACTACACCTGGGAGGACAACAGCGATGAGAAAATCCGCATCTACACCTGCGTCCTGCATCTCCTCTCCGCCATGAGCCAGGAGACGTACCTTTACCACATAGACAAAGGTAGCAGAGCCTCCCCCACCAAACCATGCTCCGCATGGATTTCATGAAAGGCAGACAGAATGCTTTCATTTTCTCTTTTATTTTTTCCTCCCTTGTATTTTAGCTTCCATGAACTTCTAGTCCAGGGTCTCACTGTATTTACCTGATCTAAGATTTACCTGGAGCAACTCTTAAGAGTACAGATTCTTGGGCCGGGTGCAGTGGCCCACGCCTGTAATCCCAGCACTTTGGGAGGCCAAGGCAGGCGGATCACCTGAGGTCAAGAGTTCCAGACCAGCCTGGCCAACAGAGCCAAACCCTGTCTCTACTAAAAAAACAAAAATTAGCCAGGCCTGATGGTGCACCCCTGTAATCCCAACTACTCGGGAGACTGAGGCAGGAGAATCGCTTGAACCTGGGAGGCAGAGGTTACAGTAAGCCAAGATGGCACCACTGTACTCCAGCCTGGGCAACAAGAGTGAAAACACCATCCCAAAAAGGAAAAAAAAGAGTACAGATTCTTCAGCCCCATCCTGCCCTTGATTGATTGATTGATTGATTGATTGATTGATTGAGACAAGGTCTCACTCTGTCCCCCAGGCTGGAGTGCAGTGATGTGATCTCGGCCCACTGCAGCCTTTACAGCCCAGGCTGAAGCAGTCCTCCCACCTCAGCTTCCCAAGTAGCTGGGAATACAGGCATGTGCCACTGCTCCTGGATAATTTTTTAAATTTTTTTTTGAAGACGGGGTTTCACCATGTTACGCTGGTCTCAAACGCCTGGGCTCAAGTAATCTACCCGTCTCAGCCTCCCAAAGTGTTGGGATTATAACCATGAGCCACCACACCTGGCCTTCCCTTCTTAATTTGCATCTTTAACAAGCACCTGAGATCATGTTGAACATCAGACCAGTCTGGAGAAACACTGTTTAAAAAAATAATTATAATAATTTCAACTTCTATTTTAGATTTAGGAGGTATACGTGCAGGTTTGTGACAGGGGTATATTGTGCAATGCTGAGGTTTGGGGTGCAAATGAGATAGTACCCAATAGGTAGTTTTTCAGCCCTTGTCCCCTCCCCTTCCTCCCCACTCTAGTGGTCTCCAATGTCTGTTGTTTCCATCTTTATGCCCATGGGTACCCAATGCTTGGGGCCCACTTACAAGTGAGAACATGGCGGTAGTTAGTTTTCTGTTTCTGCACTAGTTCACTTAGGATAATGGCCTCCAGTTGCACCCATGTTGCCACAAAGGCCATGATTTCATTCTTTTTTAGGGCTGCATAGTATTCCATTGTGTGTATGTACCACATTTTCTTTATCCAATCCACTGTTGATGAGCATCTAAGTTGATGCTATGTTTTTGCTATTGCGAATAGTGCTGCAGTGAACATACGTGTGCATGTGTCCTTTCAGTAGAACGATTTATTTTCCTTTGGGTATATACCCAGTAATGGGATTGCTGGGTCAAATGGTAGTTCTGTTTTCAATTCTTTGAGAAATCTCCAAAACTGCTTTCCACAGTGGCTGAACTAATTTGCATTTCCACTGACAGAGTGTTAAGTGTTCTCTTTTCAGAGGAACCCTCTTTTGGATCAGTGTGCTACACAATAAACTGGAACAATGGCTAAATATACACATGCATGAGCTTCGTGCCAGGCCTGTTCCTTACCACAGTCTCAGGAAGGACCCTGGTGTGGGTGTTTGCAACTGCTCCTCAGATGATGCCAAGGCTCAGCAGCCCTTGTCTGGGTGCTCTGGAGGAAGGAGGTGGCCTTGATCACCTGCTACCAGACATTTTGAACTTGCTAGTACAAGTTGGGAGCAGCCTCCTCGTGTCCTGGACTTACCACAGGACATCCCAGTTCCAGGCCTTTTCCCACTGAGCCCAAGTATCCTCCTGCCTGGCGGACCCTCAGTTCTAATTTTTGGATTCCAAAAATTGGTCTTAATGTCAAAAGTGCTTTGGCCAGTAATTGTATACTTTACAGTTAAAAAACCAACTCTACACTTGCAAGTTGCAGTGAACACATTAGCAGTGCTTAAGGGATGGCCTGCCTTCTGTCATACCTCTCAGGCTTTCTCTAGCTGGGTCTGGGGACTGAGGATAAAGATGTAATGCAGGGAGGCTGGTTCATAGCAAGAATGATGGCGCCTACCCTGATCTGAGCACTTACTGCGTGCCAAGGACTACATCAGGCTCTACAGGCCTTTTTCCCTTAATCCTTACAGCTTTACTATGAGGACAGGCATTCATGTCCCCATTTGATGTGTAAGCAAGAGGAGATCCAGAAAGACAATGTGATATACTCCAGGGCTTCCGGTAGTTAGTGATGGAAGTGAAACTCACACCCAGAGTGGTGGGACGTGCATTACACTGCTTTGTTGATTACAAAATAACAGTGTTGGCTGGGCACAGTGGCTTGTGCCTATAATCCCAGCACTTTGGGGGGCAGACGCAGGCGGATCACCTGAGGTCAGGAGTTCGAGGCTAGCCTGACCAACATGGCGAAACCTCATGTATACTAAAAATACAAAAAAATTAGCCAGGCTGTTGGCAAGCGCCTATAATCCCAGCTACTTGGATGGCTGATGCAGGCGAATCGCTTGAGCTCAGGAGGCTGCAGTGAGCCAAGATCACACCACTGAACTCCAGCCTGGGTGACAGAGCAAGACTCCATCTCAAAAAAAAAAAAAAAGCAATGTTTTAATTAAAGTGTATTATATAACATATATGCAATAAACTATAGAGCTCAGTGAATTGTCACAAAGTGAACACTCGCAGGTAACCACAGTCCAGATCAAGAAATAGAACACCTCCTTCAGTCAGCATCACCACCCTACTCTCGAAGACACACCACTCTCTCTCCTGACTTCTAGCATTATTTATTAGTTTGCCACTTTCTGAATAAGTAAATATTTGCAAGCATTCTTTGGTATTTGGCTGCTTTAACTCAGCATGATGTCCAAGATTCATCTGTGTTGGTATGCAAAACGGTAGTTCACCTTTTGCATTGCTGTATAGTATTCCTTTGTGTGGATGTACCAAAATTGATTCATTCCTTCTGGATGGAAATTTGCATGTGGCCAGGTCCAGTTTGGGGCTATTATGAGTAATGCAGCTGTGAACATTCTTGCATGTATTTCTTGGTGTACATTCCCATTGGCTGTCTGCGTGGAGGTGGCGTTGCTGGCTCATAGGATCTGCTTATATTCTGCGTTGGAGGATACTGCCTCACAGTTTCCCAAAGGGTTAAACCAATTGACATTCCCACCAGGCACGAATGAGGCTTCCATTTGTTCAGTTGCTATGGTCATTCTTTTTCATGTCAGCTGTTCTAGGAGTGGAGTTTGCATTTCTCTGATGGCTGGCGAGGTTGAACACCCTTTCCTGTATTTCTTGGCGTCTTTGTTTCCCCTTTTGTGAAGTGAACATTGAAGGCTCTGAACAAGAGAGAAAGCTTTGAGGACCAGACAGAGACCTGGAAGTGAGGCTATCACAGGAGCATGCCCTGCCCTCTCCTCTCTCTCCTCTCCTTCCTCTCCCTCCTCTCCTTCCTCTCCCTTAAACAGATTCAGCCCATCCTTTCTCTGAACAAGGCCGCCAGCGAAGACGACTAGAGCCAGATTGGCAGCAGAGGGAGCGAGGCTATATTTGATAGGCAAGAGTGTAGTTTTCTAGCTTTTAGAGATGAAAACAGAAGGATGGATTTTCTTTTTCTTCTTCTTAGTCCAGCTGTGTTTACTTTGAATGTGCAACTGTGACCTGCCCGGCGTCTTGGTAGGAGACCCAGGGAATCACAGAGTCTCTGCAGGTTGTGGGGGCTCCTTTTTCCCTGTTCACTTCCTCATTCTAGGGAGGCTTTTAGACGATGTTGACACAGCTTAGAACTTGGAAGAGAGGGATTAAATAATTTCTGCATTTTTGGAGGATGCCTTGGCCACTTTCTTCCCAGATTAAGAAAAAGAGAAGGCTCTGACATTGCCTGGAGCAATCCCTCCGGTGCTTTTACACGAGGTTACAAGACAGCGTGCATGTTTGATGTAGAAGTGAAGAATAGTCTTGGATCCTCAATGTTTATGTATTTAGTATGCAGATAGAGTGTGTCTTTATTGGAAGAGTACAACTCAGGATGCTTCTGTGAAGCCAAGGCAGCCCTCCTCACTCTTCCACGTCACCTGCCAGGCCCTCAAAGCATTCGGGTTTGCAACTTGGGGTGGGACAGATGCAGAGATTGTGGGCTATTTTTAGTGGCCATTTGCAGGGGACATCATTTCTCCCCCTCGTGAGAGCCACGTCTGGACTTGAAGGCCCCCAATACACTCTGACCTGACCAAATTACTTTTAATTCTCAAATGCGCCCTTTTCTCCTTCCCTCTATGACCACCAAGTGTCAGCATGGAAAATAAATTCCTCCCTTCTCACCCCTTTTCCCACTTCTGCTAGCGAATTCCACCTTTAGGACTCAGTCCAGGTCTCACTGATTCCAGAATCCTGTCCCAAGCATAGATTTTAGTATCCCATGATCCCCTGTACTGCCCCCCCTTCCTTGAGACTGGGAGGCGGAGGTTGCAGTGAGCCAAGATCGTGCCACTGAACTCCAGCCTGGGCGACAGAGCAAGACTCCATCTCAAATACCTCTGCACACTATTGCAATTGCCTGTTTGTGTGTCTGTGTCTCCTCACAGACTGTGACCTCTGTGTCTGTGAGGGTAGGGCCAGGTCAGCCTTGTCCCCCACTAGGTTCCCGCTCCTAGCCTAGAAGCTGGCATGAAGCAGGCCTTATTCAGTAGGTGTTGCATGTGTGTGTGAGTGGCCTGCTCTAAACACACCTCTGGCCCCTTGGGGTGGTTGGACCTTCCCTCTTCTCCATTGCTGGGCTGTTCAGAATCAAAGTGAACTCCAACCTGGAGGAAGACTGGGAATTTATGCAGGAACTATTCTGGTCCTCAGCAGCAGACATGAGAAATTCCTTCACCAGCTGCAGTTTTGCTGCCCTGCACAATCAGGTGGTGTTGAATGGCTGAATTGAATTCTTCTCGCTTCTTACAAGAGTAACTGCCGTCCCCCACTGGGGAGGTACAAGTCATGACACAGCAGCCAGAGCCGGCTTGGAAATTCTGAGATTGACTCCTGCGGCCCAGGGCCAGTAACTACCAACCTGGTGTCAGACGAGCAATCAATCGCAAAGGAAACCTTGGGGAAGTATCCCAGCAGAGTCCCCATAAACGAGCAGTTTAAGATTGGATAAGAGATTCCTGTGATCAGAGAAGCTGGGGAACAAAGGAAACCAGTTGTTCTCCTTATTCTTAGGCAATATGCCTGCAACCTGCTTTCAAATGGTTCAGCCAAAAAAAAAAAATTATGTGTGTCTGTCCATCCTTGTAGAGACAACAAGCAAGAGAGCTTGCACAAAAGTAGCAAAATATTATCAATTGGTGATTCAAGAAGTAGGTGTTCATGGCCGGGCGCGGTGGCTCATGCCTGTAATTCCAGCACTTTGGGAGGCCAAGGCGGGAGGATCACTTGAGGTCAGGAGTTTGAGACCAGCCTGGCCAACATGGAGAAACCTCATCTCTACAAAAATACAAAATGTAGCCCTGCCTGCAGTGCAGTGGCGTGATCTCTGCTTGCTGCAACATCTGCCTCCTGGGCTCAAGTCATCCTCCCACCTCAGCCTCCCGAGTAGCTGGGATTACAGGCACACATCACCACATAGAGCTAATTTTTGTATTTTTATTAGAGACAGGGTTTCACCATGTTGCCTAGGCTGGTCTCAAACTCCTGAGCTCAAGTGACCTACCTGCCTTGGCCTCCCAAAGTGCTGGGATTACAGGCGTGAGCCACTGTGCCTGGCCATCTCGTGCTGTTTGTCCCTCGTTTGTGCACAGGCCCTACTGTGTTTCTCATAAATATTGTCTCTTTTGAATTGTGTGTATCTGAGACAGTATCCTTCCTACTTGTTTCCTCAAGACAGTGATGAATGTTCTTTCAATGGGGCGAGAAAAGCACAACAAATCACATTCTAGCAGATAAGCTAAACTGGATGTGGTTTATTAAAGACATCCCTAAGCCACAAAACTGGATTAGCCGTGTGCACTTGTGGCCGCGTGTACACAACCACACCCCGAGGCACAGGCATGGCTCTTGGTTTATGAGATATCCACGCACTCAGGACAGTGACCCAGATTGCAGGCCCGTGCCAGGTGAGAAGCAGCGAGTGCCGCCGCCGCACCGTCCCCCTTCCTGACCACTGAGTGCTGTGTTGGCTCCAGAGCTCTCCCTTTAGCCTGGGGGTTCAGATGCTGAACTGGGCTCCCCAGACAGAGTGCTGCTTGTTCACAGCCGGTTATGCTCGGCCACATACAAGTCCCCATCTGGTAGCTGGAATGAAAGCAGCTGTAAGAGGATCCCATGGAAAAGGTATGTGAGCTCATGTGGGTGTGGAAGGAAAGAACTGGCTCTGTAGGCAGAGCTGGTGGTTTTGTTGTGAACTCTAGGGTTTGCAGCAGGCTGGCCCTAGCCAAAAAAGGAAGGAAGAAAACCACTGAAGTGTTCCCAGTAGGGACCAACTAAATACATTCTCTTCCATCGTACAGTGGGATACTACGCAGACATGACAACAAAGCAACAGAGCTGTACGCGTAGCGCCCCCTTACCCGGTGTCTCTTCTTTTTTTTTTTTTTTTTGAGATGGAGTCCCACTCTGTCGCCAGGCTGGAGTGCAGGAGCGTGCCAGTAGCTGGGACTACAGGCGCGTGCCACCACGCCCAGCTAATTTTTGTATTTTTAGTAGAGACGGGGTTTCACCATGTTGACCAGGATGGTCTTGATCTCTTGACCTCATGATCCACCCGCCTCAGCCTCCCAAAGTGCTGGGATTACAGGTGTGAGCCACTGTGCCTGGCGTTTTTTTTTTTTGAGACAGAGTCTCGCTCAGTCACCCAGGCTGGAGTGCAGTGGCTCCATCTCGGCTCACTGCAACTTCTGCCTCCTGCGTTCAAGCGATTCTCCTGCCTTAGCCTCCCAAGTAGCCGGGACTACAAGCGTGCACCACCATGCCCAGCTGATTTTTTGTATTTTTGGTAGAAACTGGGTTTCATCATGTTGGCCAGGCTGGTCTCAAACTCCTGACCTCAAGTGATCCACCCACCTCAGCCTCTCACAATGCTCAGATTCTAGGTGTTAGCCACAGTGCCCAGCCCCAGTTTCATTTTCTGCAGTTTCAGTTACCCCACAGTCAACCTGGTCCAAAAATATTAAGTGGAAAATCTCAGAAATAATTCATAAGTTTTAATTTGCACACTGTACTGAATAGGGTGATAAAATTTCACTTCGTCCCACCCAGGATATCCATCATCCCTTTGTCCAGTTTATCCACACTGATGCGACACTACCTACCCATTACTATATAGGAAAAAGCATAATATATATAGGATTCAATACTGTCTGTGGTTTCAGGCACCCACTGAGGGTCTTGGAACGTATCCCCCAAGGATAAGGGGGCATTATTGTATGCTGATATAAAAATAGCACGAAGATTTATTTTATTTTGTTTATTTTGAGACAGGATCTTGCTGTGTTGCTCATACTAGAGTGCAGTCATGTGATCATAGCTCATTGCAGCCACCTACTCCTGGGCTCAAGCAGTCCTCCCACCTTAGCCTCCCAAGTATCTGGGACTACAGGCGTGAGCTACCAAACACAGCTAATTTTATTTGGAGAGATGGGGTTTTGCTATGTTGCTCAGGCTGGTCTCAAACTCCTGGACTCAAGTGATCCTCCTGCCTCAGCCTCCCAGAGTGCTGGGATTATAGGTGTGAGCCACTGATCCCAGCCCCAAGATTTATCATTAAGTTAAAAAAACAAAGTGTAAAGCAGCACAGAGTGTGGTGTCTCTTTCGTTGCCCAGATTATGCTCTGTGTGAAGTTCAGTTGAGAGGAAGGAGTGGGGAGGGAAGGAGGGAGGGAGGAGGAAGGGAGGAGGAACTCAGACTCAGGCTGTCCTTGGCTGGGCCTGTCTTACTCTAGGCAGTGGTTGTCACAGGACGAGACCCAGCAAACAGTGGAGGAGCTTTTGGCAAGAGACATTATCAAAGGGATTTACACTTCTAGAGTAGTTGAAATAGAAAATCTCTGCAGTCCTTCCAAAGCCAGGTTTGAGGAGAGGGTGACAGGGCAGGCAGCTGGATGCGGTAGCTAAGAGCGTGAGCTCTGGAATCAGACTTCCTGGTTTAGGATCCCAGCTAGGACCACCTCTGAGCCTCATCTCCCTAAAAGGGAGATATTAATATCATCTCTTGGCTGGGCTGGTGGCTCACACCTGTAATCCCAGCACTTTGGGAGGCCGAGGCAGGCGGATCACTTGAGGTCAGGAGTTCGAGACCAGCTTGGCCAGCATGGTGAAACCCCATCTCTATTAAAAATAAAAGAATAAATTAAAAAAATAGCCAGGCGTGCTGGCAGGTGCCTATAATTCCAGCTACTCAAGAGGCTGAGGCAGGAGGACTGCTTGAGCCTTGAGGCGGAGGTTGCAGTCAGCCAAGATCGTGCCACTGCACTCCAGCCTGGGTGACAGAGAGAGACTCCGTCTCAAAAAAAAAAAAAGAAAAGAAAAGAAAAATCATGTCTTCACATACTGGTTGTGGGGGACTCTGCAATAAGGCAGTGAAAGCCCTAGCCCAGTGCCTGGCAGCTGCTGTGATGATGATTATTATTATTAATGTCACCCCCGCTCCCCGCCACGCACACATGGGCTAGAGGGGTGACTTCCACACCCCTGGCTTAGACTGTCCTGCAGGCTGGGTGTTTTCTTTGTGATTCCCAAGGCCCCAAGCCCAGTGGGAAATTTCCGCCACTTCCATGTGCCCTGCCACGACTTCCTGCCATCTGCTGACTCGGTGTGACATGACACACGGCTGCCTCTCCCTGGCCAGCATGGCCGCGGGGCTTGGGTCTGTCTCACTGTTCTTGTTTGTTCAACAGTGGACTCCAACGACAGCCTCTACGGGGGAGACTCCAAGTTCCTGGCAGAAAACAACAAGCTGTGTGAGACGGTGATGGCTCAGATCCTAGAGCATCTGAAAACCCTGGCCAAGGACGAGGTGGGTGCCCTCTGCTGTCCTCCACCCGCCCCTTGCTCTGAAAGCACAAGTTTCCAGGGTGGTTCAACCTTGGTTCATTCTAGAAAGGAAACTATGTCATGTGAGTAATGTGTTTATGTGCAAACCACTTCTCCATTGCTTTGGGGCCTTCGCTCCTGCTGTTTTCTCTGCCTGGACTGCGCCTCCCCCAGGGCTTCCCCTGGCTGTTCCTTCTCGTCATTGAAATCTCAGCTCAAAGGACCTCCTCAGGCCTTCCCGGACCCTGTCTGAAGGAGCCACCACCACCTGCATGCCTCTGCCCGATTGTCCCTGTAGCGCCTGTTCAGTCACCGTCTGAAATGTTCTGTCTGTCCATCCCTCAGCTCCCTGACTAGAATGTAAGCTCCATGGGAGCAGGGACCTGGTGAGTCTTTTTTTTTTTTTGAGACAGTCTCACACTATTGCCTGGGCTGGAGTGCAGTGGCATAATCTCGGCTCACTGCAACCTCCGCCTCCCGGGTTCAGGCGATTCTCCTGCCTCAGCCTCCCAAGTAGCTGGGATTACAGGTGCCCGCCACCACACCTGGCTTATTTTTTGTATTTTTTTAGTAGAGATGGGGTTTCACTATGTTGGCCAGGCTGGTCTTGAACTCCTGACCCTGTGATCCGCCTACCTCGGCCTCCCAAAGTGCTGGGATTATAGGCGTGAGCCACTGCACCCGGCCTGGACCTGGTGAGTCTTGAAGACCTGCCTGTGTCTGAATGACAAGACAGGGACTCTGGGACACCCGGTAACTCTCTGCACCACCCCACGTCTCATGCAGAGCCCGGCCTGCGGCAGATGCTCCATCAGTTCATGGTGAATCCCTGATAGCGTGGGATTGCTATACCTGGGCTCTTTCAGTGCCCACAACAGCCCTGTGAGATGTAGATGCTGTGTTTATTTCCATTGAATGGGGAGGGAAACTGAGGCTCAGAGAGGGTTATTCAGAGCCGTTGATATTTCCTCTGGCTGTGATGAAACAGCAGAGATTCTAACCCGGATTCCCAAACCTGAACTCTGCACTGCTACATTGCCCTCCTCAACCAAGGCCTTTCCACTTCACTTTTCTTTTTATTTTATTTTTTTTGAGACGGAGTTTCGCTCTTGTTGCCCAGGCTGGAGTGCAATGGCATGATCTTAGCTCACTGCAACCTCCACCTCCCAGGTTCAAGTGATTCTCCTGCCTCAGCCTCCCAAGTAGCTGGGATTCAGGTGCCCGCCACCACACCCGGCTAATTTTTGTGTTTTTAGTAGAGATGGGGTTTCACCATATTAGCCAGGCTGGTCTCGAATTCCTGAGCTCAAGTGATCCTCTTGCCTCAGCCTCCCAAAGTGCTGGGATTACAGGCATGAGCTATTGCGCCCGGCCAATATATACCCATTCTGTCCAGGGTGTTCAAGCGTGTGTTTGAGAGAGTAGGATTTTTTCTGGCCTCCAAGTTCAGGGGCACTGCCCGAAGGGCTGGCCTTAGGGTTAGTAGTTGAAAGGGCAGAGACCTACATACCCAACAGTTGCAGAAATGCTGCAGCCCTGGGGGCCCGTAGCACCTTCTGTAGGGAGGGAGGGTATGTGACTGTGTCCTACTGACCCTGGGGACCCCGAGCTGCAGTACCAGAACTCTGAGCAAGTTAGTGCCTGGAGGGCTCTTGGTTGTTTGTGGAAAGAGTGGCATTGGAACCCCAGTTTCTTCTTCAGGAAAACTGGTTTATCAAACCCGTGAGTATCAGACGAGGCAACTCTCCTAGAATGATTGATACCAGAGGCTGGGAAGGGTATGTGGATGTGTGTGTTGCGGGGGGGCAGGGGAGGGCAATGAAGAGAGGTTGGTTAATGGGTACAAAGATAGATACAGTTAGAAGGAACAGGCCAGGCACAATGCCTCAGACCTGTAATCCCAACATTTTGGGAGGCCCAGGTGGGAGGATTAGTTGAGCCTAGGAGTTTGAGACCAGCTTGGGTAACATAGTAAGATCCTGTCTCTATTAAAAAAAAAATTAAAAATTAGGCCAGGTACGGTGACTCACGCCTGTAATCCCAGCACTTTGGGAGGCTGAGGTGGGCGGATCACTTGAGGCCAGGAGTTCGAGACCAGCCTGGCCAACATGGCAAAATCCCACCTCTACAAAAAATACAGAAAAAATTAGTTGGGTGTGGTGGTGTGTGCCTGTAGTCCCAGCTACTTGGGAGGCTGAGGCAGAAGAATCGCTTAAACCCGGGAGGCGGAGGTTGCCGTGAGCCCAGATCATGTCACTGCACTCCAGCCTGGGCGACAGAGTGAGACTCCATCTCAGAAAAAAATTTTAAATTACCCGGGCGTGGTGGTGAGTGCCTGTAGTCCCAGCTACTGGAGAGGCTGAGGCGGGAATTGAAGGCTGCGGCGGGAACTCGAGGCTGCAGTGAGCTGTGATCATGCCACTGCACTCCAGCCTAGGCAACAGAGCAAGACCCTGTCTCCAAAAAAAAAGAAAAAAAAAAAAAAAAAGAAAAAAGGGGGAATAAAAGGGAATAAGTTCTAATGTTCAATAGCAGAGCAGAGTAACTACAATTAACAACAGTGTATTATACATTTCAAAATAGCTATAAGAGAAGACTTGAAATGTTCTGTACACATAGAAATGATAAATGCTTAGGCGACAGACACCCCAAATACCCTGGCACAATCATTGTAATTCTAGGCATGTAACAAAATACCACATGTACCTCATAAATACACACAAATATTATGTATCAATAATTTTTAAATGTTGCATATCTGAGGCTCATGAATCAAGATGAGAAAATAAAACCCTAAATACACATTGTTTTAAAAGACCTTTTACAAACATGCACAAACACTCAGCAAGGGTTCATACCTCTTCCGTTTTCTGTGTAGATGGTTTTCAGGAGAGAGCCCTTTCAGCCTACAGGAATAATGGAAGCCCATCACCTTTAGCTTGTACTAATTAGATCCCCCCAAGGAAAGCTTGTCTTAGCTTTTTCCCCTGATTTCTTTTCTTTTTTTTTTTTTCTTCCAGAGACAGGGTCTTACTCTGTCATCCAGGCTGGAGTACAGTGGCACTACCTTAGCTCACTGCAGCTTCAACCTCCTGGGCTCTAGTGATCCTCCCATGTCAGCCTCCCAAGTAGCTGGGACTACAGGCATGTACCACCACACCCAGCTAAGTTCTTATTTCTTACACAGCCGAGGTCTCTCTGGGTTGCCCAGGCTAGTCCTAAAATACTGAGCTTGGCCGGGCACGGTTGGCTCATGCCTGTACTCCCAGCACTTTGGGAGGCTGAGACAGGCAGATCACTTGAGGTCAGAAGTTTGAGACCAGCCTGGCCAACATGGTGAAACCCCACCTCTACTAAAAATACAAAAATTAGCCGGGCGTGGTGGCACATGCCTGTAATCCCAGCTACTTGGGAGGCTGAGGCAGGAGAACTGCTTGAACCCAGGAGGGGGAGGTTGCAGTGAGCTGAGATCACGCCACTGCACTCCAGCCTGGGTGACAGAACGAGACTCTGTTTCAGAAAAAAAAAAAAAAAAGACAGAGCTCAAGTGATCCGCCCACCTTGGCCTTGGGCTCCCAAAGTGCTGCGGATTCTGGGCGTAAGCCGCCATGCCCAGCCTTCCCCTGATTTCTTGAAACCATTGGTTCTGGCTCCGCCCTCTAGTCCAGGGACCTCTTAGAACAATGATGTGTGTTTGACAAGCCACACCCACAGAACACTTGACATGTGGTTCAAAATTACGTGTCTTCATACCGAGGCAATAGGCTGGGTTTAATCAGAGGTGGTCACTGACAGCATAAATGATCATAGCCCAGAAGTCCCAAGCTTGCAAGAAAAATAAAGCCCAGAACCATATAATTTGGAGCTATTTATATTTAACATTTATGTCTCTTTCTCTGGTGGAGAGAGGGGTTGATGGTGATAGTGATTCTGAAAGAATAGCAAAGATGGAATGTTTCTGAAGAACATTTCACGTGGCATCAATACCAGCGATGTTCACTGAAAATGTCTGTCCATATGTGCACATTTATTAGAAAAACATCGGTCAGGCATGGTGGCTCATGCCTGTAATCCCAACACTTTGGGAGGCTGGGGAAGGAGGATTGCTTTATTCCAGGAGTTTGAGACCAGCCTGGGGAACATAGTAAAACCCCATCTCTAAAAAAATTTTAAAAGTTAGCCAGGCATGGTGGTGTGCACCCTGAGTAGCTGGGACTACTCAGGAGGCTGAGGTGGGAGGATCGCTTGAGCCCAGGAGTTTGAGGCTGCAGTGAGCTGTGATTGCACCACTACACTCCAACCCTGGCAGCAGAGCAAGACCCTGTCTCTAAAATAAATAAATAAATAAAAACATGGTCATATGGGTGGACCAAGCTGAAACTGAACATGTTATCCTTCTTTTATTTTATTTTTTTTTTGAGACAGTCTTGCTCTGTTGCCCAGACTGGAGTGTAGTGGCACAATTTCAGCTGACTGCAACCTCCACCTCCCAGATTCAAGTGATTCTCCTGCCTCAGGCTTCCGAGTAGCTGGGACTACAGGCGCGTGCCACCACACCTAGCTAATTTTTTGTATTTCTAGTAGAGACGGGGTTTCACTGTTAGCCAGGATGGTCTCGATCTCCTGACCTCATGATGCGCCCGCCTCAGCTTCCCAAAGTACTGGGATTACAGGCATAAGCCACCGTGCCCGGCTATCCTTTGTTTTAATGGTGCAATTTGAAGTTCAGCTCAACAGCCATACTGGAGTCCTCTGAAGTCTGGTACCCCAAGAGCATGAGGCTTGGTATCCAGGCCCATCACAGACCAGGAAGGGCCTGGTGGATTTCTCCCCACTGAGTGGGGTGGGCGGCTTCTTGCTGTTGGAAAACCCTGATGCCTGTGCCGTTCTGAGAATCATATCGCAGCTCTGGTAGCAACCGTGCTTCCAAAGTCATCCTCTAAGGCCACGTGAAGGTGCCAGCCTCATTTTAATCACAAGCTGTATTTTATGAAGTTGTTTGTTTGGGTGTGGTGGAGCTGGGAACCATGCCAAACCCCGAGAGCTTCCTGGAAATGACAGTTCTCATAGGAAAAGCAGCTCTTTTCTATTTAAAACCTCTGTGGCGAGGGGAGGGGATCAGGCCCTGATTTGGTTCCCAAGCTACGTGTTTGTATTTTTCTCGGTGTTTGAATATATCAGCTGGCATGTGTCTCATCCCTCAGACACGTCTCCAATGATTTCACTTTTAATGGGCTTTGGCATTTAAAACACATGCGAATTGAGCTTTTTGCTAATTGAGAAGATATGGAATGGAGAAATAGCCAATTAGGTATTGTGCTGCTTGTCTGACTTTTAAAACAGTTTCTCCCACTTCAGTGAAAGGTAGTCAAAGGGCCTCTCTCCAAGGAGACTTTTAGTTAGCTCTGAAAGAGTTTTATTTTAGCTTGGTCTTGTAGATTCAGGCAGAAAGTGGGGCTCCCGTTCTCCCAGGTGTCAGACGAGGACCAGGTTAAAAGGAGAGCAGGATGGGCTCAGGTTCCCACTTGGGGCATAACTGCATTGTCTGTTAGAACAAATGAAGGCAGAGCAGGTGGTCGCCAGCCAGTTTGCGAGTCCGTGCCCAGCAGGTGCCAGCCCGCGTGCCCTGTGCCAAAGCGCTTTTCTCTTGTAGCCCGCGGGCCTGGGCGCCCACAGCACAACCTGCTCCCTGATGATTGGGCTCTTTGCCGTCGGCTCTGCTGCTTCTGTGACTGTCGCTGCTCTAGGCTGTTGCCAAGGCAGGCTCAATTTTGCCCGGAGTGGGGAGGGGAGGTGCCGAAGAGTCTTAATTACCACTCAGCCACCTTGCCCAACTGCATTTGAAGCTGTTCCTTGACTTTTTCTTTAAGACAGGGTCTTGCTCTGATGCCCAGGCTTGAGTGCGGTGAGATCATAGCTCACTGCAGCCTCAAACTCTTGCCCTCAAGTGATCCTCCAGCCTCAGCCTCCTGAGTAGCTGGGACAATAGGTGTGTGCTACCATGCTCAGCTAATTTTTTTTTTCTTTTCACTAAAAGACTTTAAATTCTCACTTGGGAAAGGACAGTAAGAAGGGGTAAATCAGTTGGCATAGCAGCTCGCAGGCGCCATGTGAATTATCTGTGGAACGTTGGATGGATAGACGGTTGATAAGTTGGTTTTAGCCACCGAGAGTAGTTGAGAAAAGCAGGAAGAAATGTGTTTTGGTGTAAGCCCAATCAAGCCATTCTTAATCCCTGCATACAACTGCATAGCCAAAGTTGGCTCATGGCACTGGCAAGTCAGCCCTTTCTGAGTGCGATTCCTGATAAGATGCGACCCTGAGTGTGTGGCCTGGAGAGGGCTGTGAGTACGAGCACAGGCTCTGGAGTCAGAGAGCTGGAGCTCGGACTCCCCTCTGCATTGTGAGGACCCATCTGTGGTCCTTGGGCAAGTTCCTAACCTTTCAGAGCCTCAGGTGCCTCATCTGCAGAATGGGAGCATATTCATTTCCTGTTGCCACCATAACCCGTTGCCACAAACTTGGCATCTTAAAGCAGTACCCATTTTTGATCTCACTGTTTGGTAGGTGAGAAGTCAGTGCTAGCTGGGGCCGGCGTCTCTGTTCTGGGTTTCACAAGGCCAGAATCAAGGTCTTGCTGGCTGGGCTCTTATCAGGAGGCACTGGAAAGAATCTACTTCCTTGTTCCTTCAGGGTATTTGCAGATTGCATTTCCGTGTGATCATGGACTGAGATCCTGTGTCTGTTGGCCAGGTGTCCTTCTCAGCTTCTAGAAGCTGTCTGTGTTTCTCAGCTCATGGCCACCACTGGTGGCCCAGGTTCTCCTCATGCCTTGAATCTCTGGCTTCCCTTCTTCCTCCTCTTTCCTGTTTTTCTCTTCCACTGCTTGTCTCTGATTCTGGTCGGAGAAATGCTTCTGCTTTTAAGGGCTCCAGTGATTCGAGGGCCCACTCAGGTCATCTAAGATATGCTCCCTACCTTAATTCCATCTGCAGTCTCTCCACAGCAGCACCGGGATTCATGTTTGAATAACGGGAAGGAATGCTGGGGGACACCTCTAGAATTCTATCATGGGCGGTTAGGAGTGTACCTGCCACGGAGCTGTCATGAAGGTTAAAT